>NC_000016.10:59107954-59410985 GCF_000001405.40 Homo sapiens
AAGAAAAGCGTCACCTCTGTGAGGTGGTTACTATTATTGTCCTCATTTAGCAGATGAGAAAACAGGCAGAGAAAAATTTACATGATTTGCTGGCACTCATGCAACTGATAAGTATCTGAACTGGGATTCGAACCCAAACTAACTCAGAGTTTAAGCTCTTAACTGCCATTCTAGAGTCCTCCTTGGGGACAGGTGATTGTAGGTAGAAAAAAGAAATATGGGGAGAGGCATGCTGAATTGAAAAAAAAAACCTCTCTAAATGAAACTGAGAACCACATCTTCTAGTACTAATTATAGGTAGAGAACTCTGCTAAATATTTTGCAAGCATTATCCAATTTAATGATAAAAACCATACTGGACATGAGAAGCCATTATATCCATTTTACAGAAAAGAAAAATGAGCTGGGTTGGAATTGCAGCTGGGACATTTTTGATACTGTGATCTTAGATACATTCATCTGTCAGACTCCAGCTGATTCCAAACTCCTTGTTCATTCTATTAGGTTGTGCTATAAGAAAAAATTCTGTAAGCTTTAAAAGTGGTAAGTCAACTCAAGGCACAGCCAATAAGCATTTATATGACTGTACATTATTTACCTAACTCTGCAGAGGGAGCCAGATATCCTTTAGTGTAGTAACGAAGAATGGCTCCTGCATATCCCCAGCAATTCTCAGGAAAAGGTGGGTGTTATATTCTCTTAAATAGAGAGGCGTTTTTTTCTTAGTCCTATTACTGGCAGCTTCTAAATTTAATAACAAAATGCTCACCTACAAATAAGAAGAATAAAAGCTTAACTTGCCAGGGGGAAAAAAAGTTCTATGATGTAACAGACCCAGGAATAAGTGATATTCATGGGAAGGTCACTGCCTGAGGCTGCTTGATAAACTCCAGCCCTTTCCTATATCCACTGTTTAATGTTTAAGCTTTGGATGCTAAGAGTGGTTATAATAAACTGTCCAACAGTTTCTCACTTAGACTTCCCAAGAAGGTGACAAAATAAAATCAATGTAAAGCTGTCAAAAGAGAGGCTCATCACTGAAGTATATTTTGCTCAATCACCCATTTGAAACCAAGTATTTCCTTTAATCAGCTCTTTTGAGAATTTAGCCAATGGAACACCAAGAGCCTCCAACGATCGTTTCCCATCTACATTCTTTTTAAGAAAAATGCAGGCAAATTCCTGAATCGACCTTGTTCTGATAAGTCTCCTTGAGGTAAGGTCGTCATGATTCTCACCCACATTTTTCCACTGTCTTGTCAGATGAATCCGTGAAATTCACAGATTAACTCAAGTCCCTCACTCAGACATTCTAAATGCACCAAATGTTCAAGTGTAACAAAAAATTACACATCTGGTAATTCTGCGTGTTATTTATAGCCTTTCTGATAGAGGCATAATTGATTCAGAAATGTAATTTACAGCTTGGCATCTCCGTTTCAAAGCCTCAATTCTATGACATCCACCAAGAGAGTAATCTCACTTTTGTGAGGAAGCAAACATAATAATTGTAAAGAATTTTTGTATGATAGTCTCACGCTTTTGCATAAAGTTTTTCTCGCTCCTTGTTTTTCATTTGCAAAGTGGGCAATATTCATGTCAGCCACACACTTTTAATTCTACAGAATGGTTTATGAAGGCATAAATGGAGCATAAAGTTGATCAACAAACCCTAGGATGATGGCAAATGGCTAAGGCAAGTTTCTCTTGCCCTCTAGTTTTAATTGCAACCCTCATAAGAAAACACTCTCTAATTTAACTAGGTAATTGTTTTCTTCAAAGAGAACATTTGTTATTTAGTGCCATTTTGAAAACTACTAAAGAATATTGGAATTTTTTTTTTATCCAAGAAGAGTCATAAAACCACTTTTTCTCCACTTTTTCTTCTTCAGTCTCTGTCTTCCACACCCTTCTTAAGTATAAAATTGATGCCTTAATTATTGCCCCAGTCTCTTGTCTTGGGCACATTTTGAGGAGGATAAGCTTATGTGAGGGTATAATTTCCTCTAGCTAGTGGGGGCCCAGCATGAGTTTTATTGAAATAAGCCTAGGTATCTAACCTTCATCATCATGTCCAAAAATTAGAGTTACATAACTGAAGAATGAGCCCAGTTTAGTTCAACTTTGTATAATAAAGTTGTGAGTTGTTTTTCAGTTGCCACGAATCCCAGGATTGCAAGTTTTGCAACCTGAGCATGCCTGGTGAACCAAGAGTGCAACCATGGGTAGAAACAAAGTGCTTGTGTACCGGTGAAATGTATCTGAGTTACTTGCGGTGAATCCGCATGGGTCTGCAGCAACCTCAATTCTTGCCTTCTCAGAAGAAAGAATTTGACTGAGGATCATTAGGCAGAAAAAGAGACCGAGGCACGTTTCAGAGAAGGAGTGGAAGTTTATTTTAAAAGGCTTTAGAACAGGAAAGAAAGGAAAGTATGCTTGGGAGAGACCCAAGTGGGCAACTTGAAGGACAAACGTGCTGTTTAACCTTGATCCTAGGACTTCATAGGCTGGCCCCTTTCCCAGGATTCTTCCCTTAGGATGGGCTGCCCACATGTGCAGTGCTCTTACCCTTGGGAGGTGAACACATGCAGTGTGTTTAGGAAGTTGTAGGCATGCTCATCTGAGGCTTTCTTCCCTTTCCTGGTGGAGTGTAACTGGGAGGTCATACTCTGCCATTTTGTCTTTCGATGCGTATGCCTGGGAAGTTGCTTCTCTCTGGCACCTGCATTCAATGAACACTGTAGTGTGATAGGTGTGGACCATTAGGAAATGGCCTCTTCCTGGTGCCAGGTGCTAATTTATCACTTTTGGAGAGGCAATGTGATCATTGCTGAGCCATCACCCGACATTCCCAGTGGGTGTGGGGAGAGCCCTCTCCTGCCCCGTTCATGCCTGTCTGTAACACTTGGGACTAAATTATGAGACAAACACCTAAGGCATGTGCCATACTCCAATCAGATAGAGTCCTGGCATCACCCTTTGGCATGATCCAGTCAGATCATGCCTCCCAGCAGCACCTCATTGCAAGATCCAATCAGGTCATGCCTTGTTATCCTCTGCTTATAAAACTTACCTCAGCCTCATCTTAGGGAGACAGGTTTGAGCATTGTCTCCAGTCTTATTGCCAGCCAACTTGCAATAAAGCCTTTCTTTTCTCAAAAGTAAGTGCCACACTATTGGCTTCTTTGTGTGTTGGGCAGCGAGCCCATTGCTTGCTTGGTAATAATTATTCTAATTCTGGCCATGCATATCTGATCTATATCATGTAAGTTTACTTCAGTTTCTAATTAAAAGCTCAGGTTTCTCTTTGGTCATGGAAAATAATCTGTTCAGAACTATCCCCTTAGCATTGCTGGCCCACTCTGATTCCTAGGCCAGACTGTTATTTATGACACTAGGAGCAATTCTAGGAAATTTCAACAACCCCTTGGTCCTTCATTGAGCCCTACTTTCTGGGCTTGCTCTTCACTCCCTGCTTTCCATTCCTGCCTTGTTACTTGTGTCTGACACTAACACTGCTATTCAAGCATTGCCTCTGTCCTAAGAATCCAGCTGTGATGCTCCATACCTGCAGATGTGATTTCTTTGTTTACAGAGATGGCCAAGATAAAGTCAGAATTCACTGTGAGCTTTTGCATTTCTCTTTTTTTTTTACTTGACTCATCACAGAAAGTCAGAAATATACTTCAAACAGTAATATGCAAACAAAAGTACACATAAGACAAATATAAATGCTGCTATTGTATTTGTATGTTTTCTCCGTATGTCATCTCTCTCTCCCTGCTCTGTCATCTATCATCTTATATCATCTACAAGCTTGACATCATATTGTTAATGCAAATTTTATCTGTGATTTTCACTCAGTATTTCATCATTTTTATGCTCCTATTTATAAAAAAAATTTAAAACCTTTTTTGTTTTGAGAAAGAAATGTTTTCTGCATTATAAATGTGTCAAAATTTACTTACCCATTTCCATATTTAGGCATTTTGATTAATTATCAAGTTTTTATTTTTCATAATCAAACCTTGATGAATATCTTTTTACTCATTAAAACTCTCTATTGAGGACTTATGTGTGAGGCCCTATTTTATGCACTGGAAATTCAACAATCACAATAGATGAACTTAAGCACATAAGGAAAAAGAAGTCTAGGGTAAAATGGGAAAAAAAGGCAATTCTATTACTGTTTGAAAAGTGTTAAGGGCACATAAAAAGTACTGGATACAATTGGAAGTCAGAGAATACTTCAAGGGAGAGGTAGTCTCTAGACACAAATGTGAAGGATGAATAAGAGTTAACCAGATAAATGAAAATATTGGGAAAGAAGTCACTTTTGTAAACGTAATGAACACTAAGTGCAAAGTCCTATGAGCAAGAAAAAGCATAAGTTTGAAAAAGTACAAGTAACTTAGAACATTTGGAACACTGAATGTGAGGACTTATAAGACTGCTTAAGAATATAGTTTAGGGCCAGATCATAAAAGGACTTCCACAAGATTTTAAGGAATTTATTTCTTATTCTGAAGACAGTGAAAGTCTTTAAAATGTTTTAAGCAGAGAGAAGCATAATTGAAAATGCATTGTAGAAAGATTATTGGTAGCTTTGTAAAGATTGCACTGGGGAGGAGCAAAGTAGACAGAGGTGCTAGTTAGGAGATTACTCCCATAATGCAAACATAGATGATGATAGCTGGACCGAAGGTGGTAGGAGAGTGGGAATTAGGATGAAGAAAAAGAATTTAAAAAATTGCCTTGATATGACATGATGATTTTACTTAGTAAGTATGGGAGAAGAGGCAGCCAAGGATGATGTCCCCTGGGGAAATTGTGATGCCATGTGCATAGAAAAGCAACAGGGAGAAGAAGCCAGTTTGTGGAGGTGCATTGATTTAGAAGTTGTGAGCTATTTCTGAAGAATAGGCAATCTCCTATGTGAAGTTTAAAAGAGAGATCTGAGTGGGAACAGAATAGAGATTTGAGTGAGAGATACATCAACTCTTATAATTTTATTGGGAGATAATTCTAGGAATGAAATTATTCATCAAAGATTGTTGATGCATTTGACACGGTGATATCTAGAAAGGTCACAGATGTTGGCCTGTTGGCACAGTAATTTAGACTTCAGATCAGCCCATCACTGTATTCTTAGGAACCTTTTGTCCTCTGGGTCTATGCTTGAGCCCCATCATATTTCTTTCTCTCCATTCTACTGTTGCAGGACCAGCATTGTCTGAACCATACTATATAATGATGACTCATTCCTCATGGGATGGGGGTGGGGTTTAAACACATGACATCTTTGAAGTATTGTTTTAGCGTTCTGAGCAGTGGCTGGAATATTTATATCAACAATAAATAACACAACAGAAGAAAGACCTTTTTCAATATCTGGCTTCTACTCAAACTGTAGGCTCAGCTGTGATTCCTAAATGTTTTAATTAATGTCTCTCAAAGGGAGGTTTTACTAAAGCAAATGAGAGGCACCTTGATACATATCCATTTATGTATCAAGGCTTATGAGCCAGGGGTGCTGACACTCCCTGAAGATCTTACCTCTCTTGAAATGGATGATGCTTCCCATGCTGATGATGGGGCCTGCATTCTTTTCATTATATCACTGCATTCTCAAAGAAACAGAAAGCAATTAATTAATTAATCAGATGGTAAGTCATTGAGTGTTGGATAATTGGCTTTATATTAGGATACATTTGGAATTTTAGAGATGTCTATTTATATAGTTAGGTAGTTTATCAATGTCCTGAAAGGACAGAGTGACTGGGAAGAAACACTGTATATGAACCCACCCCAGACTCATGATAAGAAGATTTGATACTGTCTACCTAAGGAGAGTGTATGCTGTTTTGTTTTATGTAATAAGTACTATTAAATATTGACTATTTATAAAGTACCCAGGAGTTATGTTAAACACTTGACATGTATGATCTCTTCTAAGTCTAATCACAGCCTGTGGTGTACATACTATCAATATCATCTTGTTACAGAAGAGGAAACCAGCTTAAAGATTAAATAACTTGTTCAAGACTATACAAATGGTAAGTAGGGGAACCCATATTCAAATCCAGGCAAACTGATTCTAGATGAACTGGAGGTTATCCACAATTCAGAGTAAAATAGTTCAAGAGTGTCTAGAAAAATCATTCTTTGTCCTCATTCTGGAGCTCACAGTAATAGTTTCACAAAGGAAGACAAGTTAAAGTATGGTAATGGTGTCAGTGTGTATGAAAGACAAAGAATTTCTAAATGTCTTGTAAAACACTTCAGAAGATATCAGCCTCCTTGTATGATTTCCAGCAAGAAATAAGCAGATTGACCTTCTGGTTCTTATCCTCAATTATCTATTCTTATCTTTAATTAGCAAATATTTGTCTTCTATGAGCAGAAACTGAACAGTCACTGGGGTTAAACAAGTCATAATCTACATGAAAAGAAAATAGTAATTTTTTTTAGAAGCATATGGGATTTCATTATTTTATTGGGTTCTTAAGGTCTCCACATAGTCAATGGATATTCACCAAATCCACAGTGGATATTGGCTCTAGCCAAAGGCCTGACTCCTCTCTTTGATTAGTAAAGAGGTACTTCAGACAGAGTCAACGTGAACTCTGAATGTGGATGGCTAGTTGAGAAGGGCCACAGACAATCTCCTGTACTACTGAACTCTTCCTAGCCAGCTCTCCATTTACTTTTCATCCTTGATTGACCTTTAAAAAGTTAGTCATTTTCATATTCATAGACATATATATTTTAAAATTCGTAATCATCACTTTTAATAGCGTTTCTGTAGTGGTTGGTGCTGTCTCTCATATAACAAGCTGGCATTAATCTCTTGATGTTTAATAATACTGATTAATTTTCCTGTAATATTTCAATATTCATCAGTAATGAATTTTTATAAGGGCTGATCTTTGAGTCTCTCTTCTGCCATCTAGGACAAACCTCAGTCGACCTGGTATGTCTGTGTATGGAAGATGATATGTGGCATTTAAAGACTTCTAAAGTCAAACAAAGGAAGTTACTCACTGTGTTGATATATGGATGTACTGTCAATAGTTGACACACCATGCTAAGATCACTCATGAACCTAAAGGATAAAACCCAGAAATGCTAGCAAACTAGCTAACAAAAGGCAGTACCCACATTACAATTTAGTGTCTGTTTGTCAGTATTTATTTGGGGGGTCAAGTGCTCTGTTTACCTAGAAGTACTGATTCAGATGCCTTTTTTCCAATAATCACCAATGATAACTTTTTGAGGAAGTGAAAGTTTTGCAGGTAAGATTTCTTTATGCAAGCCTCTAGGTTAAGTGGCAGAATTGCAAGAATAGTTCGGGGTTCTTAAGTTTAAACCAAGGTTGAGCTTCTGTGAATGCCAATGCTAGTCTTGTTCTTTTTCCAGCCTGGCATATCAAAGGCTAAGTAGTTCACTGGAGAATGACATTGCTGAGACTGGAATATTTATTTTCTGATAGCTGAATTCTTCACTTGCAATGCTAGTATTTTATGCAACACTCATGACAATCTTATGATATTCATAGATATATTCATGTTGGAACTTAAAACTGAGTGTGTGGTTGGGGATGTTGTTATGTAATAATAAGAAAAGAAAAATAATAAAAGTAACCTTTGAGGTCAGAAAAACTCAGAAGAGAATTACAACCCTACCATTAGCTACCCATGCAACTTAGACAAGTCATTTATCTCTGTGTTAAATAATTCTAGTTGCTTACCCAATATCTAGTGCCAATTCTTTCGTTCTTTCATTACTTTATTCCTTCATCTATTCTTTATTCTTTGCTAACGGCATAGCACTTACTTTGTGTTAGATCTGATTCTAAGAACTACACAAATATAAAGTCATCACTAACCCTGATTTTATTCAGGGCTGCACTGGAGTTTGGAATACTTAATTCATTGGCTTTCCTTACAGATATAGGTGGTTATGTGATGTAGTTTTGGACAACAGAGATTAAACTTTGGGTGGGGCCTTTTGAAAATATTTTCTCCTTCTTATAAAAAGGGACAGGCTTGGCTGGCACACAGCCCTTTCCTGTTCACTCTCTGCTTATTTATATTCCTTTATCTTCCTACCCAGAGCACATTTACAATGCCCAAAGGCCGGCAGCCATCTTGAAAGACTAAGGATAAAAGCCATGTGCTGGGCATGGCATACCAAGGAGCCCGAGTCCCTAATGGGAATGTTGACCCTCTGCATAGCATCTCCAGCCCACCCAGAGTTTCTGTTCAAGAGAAATGATGCTTCATTTGTCTGAGCCACTGTTAGTCAAGTTTTCTTTAGCTTGTACCTGAATAATTCTAATTGTTAAGCATTCTTTGGGCTTCAGTTTGCTCATCTGTAAAATGGGATGTAAATGTAAAATCCATGTAAAATGTAAAATGTAAAATCTCTGAAAGGATTGTTAGGATTAAACAAGATAGAACATGTAAAACACAAAGGACAGAGTATTGTCCAATAAACCCTAGTTCTCCTTGACATGTGCATATAAACCTTTCTCTATTCCAACACATGGGGGTAGGAAGAAGTGTAGAACATTAGATAATCTTGATGGTCATTAGTGTTTTATACTCATTCGTTTAGCTTTTCTTTTTGCAACTGCTTTTGCAAAAATTATAAGTGGGAAAATTATGGCAGTGAGAAATCTGATTTAAACATCCCCAACCTCTTTTTCTTGTCTCTTAATTGTTACTGGGCTTTTGGGCCAAGCTAATCTGGAGAGACATTTGATTTATAGTTGAAATGATAATAGGCCTTCCCAAAACTCAACTGCCTTTGTAAAGCTAATGAAAGGACATCAGGCTAGGGGGAGGAGAGGAACCTGAAGATATGCAACACCACTATTGTAGATTGGTGGCCATCACTATTGTAGATGGGTCTTTTGAGATATCTTTTCAGGTTTTTTGCATGTCTGACACCCATGGTTTCACCTGGATCTATTGACCCCCGCCTCAACCAACCAGTCTTGTGAAGAAGTGACTCAGCTGGAGGACAGCTTCCACCCCCTGTGATTTTATCTCCACCCCAACCAATCAGCAGCAAGTACCCATTACCTGGCAACCCCCACCCCTTCCTCCAAAGTGCCTTTGAAAAACCCCTAACCTATGAGCTTCAGATGACTTTGATTTGAGTACTAACTTCGTCTCCCAAGTGGCATGACTGGCCCCTTGTCTATTAAACTCTTTCTTTACTGCAATGCTGTGGTCTGTCTTTGTGCAGTGAGCAGGAAGAACCCCTCAGGTGGTTACATTCTTTTCTCTTTTTGTTCTGTGTTGTCCCTACAGCCATTGCTATGAGGTATGACATCTGCACACTCAATGCATAATCATACCAAATTTGCCTTTTAAAATTCCTTCTTGGCCAGGCACCGTGGCCCACGCCTGTAATCCCAACACTTTGGAAGGCTGAGACAGGCAGATTATGAGGTCAAGAGATTGAGACCATCCTGGCCAACATGGTGAAACCCCGTCTCTACTAAAAATACAAAAAATTAACTGAGCTTTGTGGTGCGTGCCTGTAATCCCAGCTACTCAGGAGGCTGAGGCAGGAGAATCACTTGAACCTGGGAGGCGGATGTGGCAGTGAGCCGAGATCACGCCACTGCACTCCAGCCTTGCGACAGAGTGAGACTCCATCTAAAAAAAAAAAAAAAAAAAGAAAAATTTCTTCTTATACACAAAGGCAAGTTGGGGGAGGAATAATATTTATTGAGGTAAGACTAGAGAATGGGGCATTGCTATGCTTCTGAAAAATATGTGCTTTAATGATAGAATAATCTGCTTTTGAATCCCATCTCTTCAATATGTGAACTGTGTGACCACACTGGCAAGTTGTTTAACCTTTCTGAGTCTCAGTTTCCCACCTGGAAACAACGAGGATAAAGCCCATCTCTCAGGCTCCTTGTAAATGTTAAGTAAGTGAATGCCCTTGGATGCATAGTGCCTGGACTTCAGAGGGGTTCTGGAAGCATTCTCTTTCTTTGTCTACTTCTCATTTTTTTCTCATTCAGTATAGTTAGGTGCTTTTTGTTGCTGTCAGTGTTTGCAGCAAATTCCAAGAATTCACTTAGAGCATACCCTCTCAAGTGGCCAGAGAGAAGGTCTTTGCATTGGGCAATTTCTGTAAGTATGGAGCTCCGTTATGATACAACTGAAATATTGTTTTAATGTCTCTCTCAAAAGGATTTGCTCTAAGTCATGCTTTGCACTGTGGGAAGGTGGATTTTATTTGTAAAACAGAAAATAAAAAGCTTTGAACAAGAAAATTTCTTTTAGAAATGGAATCCTAATAAACATTGCATTCTGAAGAGGTCAAAGTTTAGAAAATAAAGTGGAAATGCAGGCAAAAATAAGAAAAAGACAAATCTGAACCTCTCTCCTTATAGGTCACCCCTCATTGGCTTAAATACAGTGGAGATTTGCTCTGTGTGAAATAACCATTGACATCAAAATCTTTGCAAGTGAGTAACCCAAACAGATATGGGAGAATTACACAAATCTTCAAGCTATTTTCCTTGTCTGCAGTGGGTGGGTGGGGCATAAAGCGAATGGGAGAAAAAAGTGGTTGAAATCATATCAAGTGATGAAATTTCCAGAAGCTCAAAAGATTACAGATTTTTGGTCACTTATTAAAATTCTGAGTGGCAGCAGATATCATCTGTGTTACCTTACAAGACAGTGGCCTCATATGGTTCCCAAAATACCCAGAGATGGAGAGAAATATTTAGAACTATCCCCAGATGGAAAGGCTGCTTCTGAAGAAAGTGTTTTCTTTTGCACCAGAAGAATTGCAGAGGGCATATCTGTCATATTAATTTAGACTATTCCTTTGGTCTTCTTGGCAGATGGGGTCTGATCAGTGGGAGGTTTCTCTAAGGCTGAGACCAGGGCAGCCATTTTGTGCCAGGCAATCCTCCCTCCTTGGGAAGAGATGATTGAACTAAGAGTTAGACGTCCAATCCAAGTTGGATCAACCACATTCTTTGACAATTTACAATGAGAAAAACAGAGACTGGAATGTGGGAGCAGAGCCAGAGTAATGGTGGATTTCTTAATGGGAGGTCTATTGACCTCTAAAACTGAGGTCCTGGGGGTTTCTCATTCTTCTCATTTATGCTTCAAATTTTCACAGGAAAAATACCTATACAACTACTCAGAACAGAATAATAAATGAAAACAAATTTCTACAGTGATCATAGTATACTTTGCTATTGTCTTGTATTCCATGGTACTCCTATCTCTGACATCAATATTATATTACTAACTGACATGGACATATAAAACACCAGAGATAAGTAATAGCTATTGGTTAGCAGATAGAGAATGTGCCAATAGATACTCATTAGTAAAAATTAAACATGAGACTCATGAGGAAAATGAGGCTGCTTTGGACTGAAAATTAATAGCATGAGCCAAGATTTCATGTAACAAATTGGAGATCTGCAAGGAACATTCTTGTGATCACCACAGTCCACCCACTTGCCTCACACAGATCTACTTTTCCACACGTGTTCAGGAAACAACTCCTTCATGGTTTCTGGAGGTCTTTCTTCTTGAGGAGAATTTCAAAAAGAAAGAGGTACGTGGAATGAACTACAGCTTCTACTACTCCCATTGATCCTGGGGCTGCCCCTGGTACTCATCCTCTCCTTCATTATCCATTCTAAATTCTTCTCACCTCTAGCCTTCACCTTCCCAGGACTAGGTAGCTTATCTGGTGGTGTGACCAAATCTTCATACCTGAAGCATCTGAACTGAACTTGATTGATAATCATGCCCTTCTCAATGCAGGGTTTTTACATATGTGTGTGTTTACAGTTGTGCCTGGGCACAAGAGGACCAGGAGACACTCAGGGAATCACCTGGATTCCACACGTATTTCTCCCTGCCCCTATTGTGTCAAAACAGCCCTACCTCCTCTTGCTGATCAGGATAAATTACTCCTACAAGTATGCTGGCTCCTCTTTTTATCTACTGGCCCCAATAGAACAAATCCTGCTCAATAGAACAAACTCTAGTGATGTCTGCCCATAAGAGTGTGCCTTTTTTGGGACCAGGACCTCCAGCCTTGCATACAGGGGCAGGAAATACAAAGTCCTCCTCTGGATCATTGGGCATGAGGGTAAGTGGCCACTTCTGCTTTCACTCTTTGGTTCTCAAACCCATGTGTATTAGTCAGGGTTCTCTAGAGGGACAGAACTAATAGGATAGATGTATATATAAAGGGGAATTTATTAAGGAGTATTAACTCACATGATCACAAGGTCTCACAATAGGCCACCTGCTAGCCGAGGAGCAAGGAAACCAGTCTGAGTCCCAAAGCTGAAGAACTTGGAGTCCGATGTTTGAGGGCAGGAAGCATCCAGCATGGGAGAAAGATGTGGGCTGGGAGGCTAAGCCAGTCTAGTCTTCTCATGTTCTTCTGCCTGCTTTTTATTCCAGCCACTCTGGCAGCTGATTAGATATCCCCCCCCGCCCCCTCCAGATTGAGGGTGGGTCTGCCTTTCCCAGTCCACTGACTCAAATGTTAATCTCCTTTGGCAACACCCTCACAGACACACCCAGGAACAATACTTTGCATCCTTTGATCCAATCAAATTGACACTCAGTATTAACCAGCACACCATGTATCCTTCCTGTTGGGAAGGAAGCATCCTATAAGGGTCTGTAATTTAATGGGTATGTTATATCCTGAAGAATGGCACTCCATCCTTTCGGAGTGTTTCTTCAAGCTGGCACTTTAGTTATGCCTTTAGAAGCTGTTTCAATGTTGTATGAATTCAGATGCCTCTGGAGAATATAGTATGTGTGATATGACCAGTAAATTCCATAGTCATGGGTCCACTCCTAGGCCTCTTGCTATAAAGTGGGTCTTCTGGTTGCATGCTGTGCTAGGTGGGACTTCATGCTTGTGGACCAGGAATTTCCTAAGTCCCCAAATAGTGAGGAATAAACCTTCCATGAATGAAAGGTAAATTCATAGCTGGAATAGTTGTTATCCCTGTAGGTCTGTGAGGCATCTTCTTATGGTTGCCATAATTTCTTAACCTAGATTTTGAAGCTCCCAATGATTCATCCTAACCTTATTTTTTTGAAGGTTAATTTTTCCACTACTGTATTTCATGAAGGCTGTATTCTGGTTAGGACATGAACTTTCCTACCTGGTGCCTCAACAACAGTTTGATAGGAGAAAGGGAAGAACTAACTCACACCTATAGGACCCCTCATAAATTAGAATTTAGTCTTACTATACTTTTTGCTTATTTGCTTTCTTTTTTGTATGTTTGCTTTATTGATACAGGAACTGAAATTGGAAAGAAATTTCATGCCATAGATTCATTTGCATGTTGGAAAAAGGCATAGAGTTATTCAGGATGAGACAAGTAACTAAAGTATTCCAGTAATCCTCATAATCTTGACTTTTTGTTTTATAATCTTATTGCCAAAGCAAGCTTGAAGATTTTTTTTTTTCTAGAGAACATGGATCTTTTCCTAGACTAGAACTGTGAAGATTTTTGACTTGCTGTTTGCAGAATATTGGAAAACTGATGAGCCAAGATGAGACTACAAAATCCCTATGAGTCACAGAAAATGTTAACATAGGCCTGTATGGAAATAAATGCACATTTTTTGCCAGAGTTCAAAGGATTTAACATCTGGTTCAGTCTGCTGAAGTAAACTTGAATAAGATCTTCTCTTCCTCCATTCCCTTTTTTCCTCAACAATTTTGCTACATGAAATCAAGCCCTGAGTTTTGTTTTGATTTAGCTCTAATTGGAGCTATGCTTTCACTGAATCTAATTTCAGTTGGAACTAATTACAGGGGAAAAGGTCATAGCTGTACTGAGAGTAGTACTCTGTTCAAAATTTATTGGCACCATATAATAATAACTCTACTTCTGCAGAGATATAAATGAAGACAAAAATAAATTGCCAAAACATTCTGGATCTTCTTTTTGTTTAAATCAGTAGGGAAAAATCCATACATAGTTATTGACAAGAAAATCTTTCTTAGGTATGAATAAATATAAGCTTTTCAGTTGATTTGTGTCCATTTCCTGACAACAATCAGGGAATTGCCAAGAAAGAGACATATTTTGTGCCTTTTGAGCTTGAGATGATGATACAATTGTGTTTCAATTGGTGTACCATGCTTACCTATATAAAATGCTCTTTTATAATAATCTGGCAGCCTGTAGGGGGAAAAGAAAAAGTAAAACACTCTCCATTGGTTTTTTTTTTTTTTTGAGGATAAAAATAAATTTACTTGCATGTACAAGAGAAACATTCGTCCAAACTGAAAGTAAGTCTTTGACTTCCAAATTGTTGCATGACATCTTGGCTAATGCTATTACCTTTCAGTCCAAAGCAGCCTCATTTTCCTCTTGAGGTTCGTGTTTGATTTTTATTAATGAGCATCTATTGGTGCATTCTCTATCTCTATCTGAGAACCATTAGCTATTACTCATCTCTGGTGTTTTATGTGTCAGTGTCAATTAGTAATATAATATCCATGTCAGAGATAGAGTACCATGGAATAAGAGACAATAGCGAAGTATACTATAATCTCTGCAGAAATTTGTTTTCATTTATTATTCAGTTCTAAGTAGTTGTATAGATGTTTTTCCCATGAAAATTTCAAGTATGAATGTCTGACAACATGTGTCAATTTCTCTACTGTGAGGGGAACTGATGCAGTGTGAAGAAACACAGATTAGATTAAACTTGAGGTTTCCTAGCCTCCCTTCTCAGTGTGAGCCTCTGCTCACATTTCCTTTCTTGCTCTCTTTTGGTGGTCGTGGTGTGTCGAGAGCATTATTTACTTATCACAAAGGAGTTAGAGGTTGGTAACTGACTATCAAGTACCAAATGCTAATAAATTTTTTAAAAAATCAGTGACTTCCATGAACCTACCAGGGTTGGGGACTATTTGTCCTGGAATGCAATATATAATTTTTTTTTTTTTTGAGACGGAGTCTCACTCTGTCACCCCGGCTGGAGTGCAAGGGTGTGATCTTGGCTCACTGTAACCTCCACCTCCCAGGTTCAAGCGTTCAAGCAATTCTCCTGCCTCAGTCTCCCAAGTAACTGGGATTACAGGTGCACGCTGCCACGCCCAGATATTTTTTTTGTATTTTAGTAGAGATGGAGTTTCACCGTGTTGCCCAGGCTGGTCTCGAATTCCTGAGCTCAGGCAATCCACCCGCCTCAGCCTCCCAAAGTGCTAGGATTATAAGTGTGAGCCACCACTCCTGGCCTGCAATATATAATTTTAAGGCAGAGTATTAATACTAGAGGCCACATGCGGGCCCTGGAATATCCATTAAAATAATTGCTTTGATCCTAATATAAGTGATAAAATATTTTATTTTAAATGAAGACTTCATTGCTTTGAAAATATATGTGTCATTTAGATGCTGGGTGTATTCAGACTTGAAGTACCTAGATAG
The DNA here is from genome assembly GCF_000001405.40 of Homo sapiens. Taxonomy (NCBI): domain Eukaryota; kingdom Metazoa; phylum Chordata; class Mammalia; order Primates; family Hominidae; genus Homo; species Homo sapiens. The sequence goes on from NC_000016.10 coordinate 59,123,439, forward strand.
TGAACACTAAAATGTATGCAGTGGTGAAGGGAACAAAAGACCCATCAGAGTCAAATATCGTTATGCATTTTTATAAAATTATTGACAGAAAGGCCCCCTTTTATTTATTTATATGCTTATTTGTTTAAATCTTTTTATCTGGTATTCAACACTGAAGGCCTAAGGAAGGGAGTTACATAGGAGTGATTAATGGACCCAGAGCTGCCAGGCAGGCTCACTATTTGAACATAAGCAATCAATCAGTTAGTGGAGCAGCACAGTTCTCTTTGGGGGACCTGCAGTTGCCTTGGTCCTATACAGAGCTTGTTTATTCCAAAGCAGTCAGTCCCATATAGAATGCCCCAATGAGCAATCATGCCCCACTATAATTCATTAATTTTGCAGCTTATCCTATGAGGTTTCTCCTTGAGTCTTCTGGTCCATATAAAACTGTGAATTATGACCTTATGTATTATTTCAAATGAGCTAATTGCCATCTCCTGGTAATAATGAAACCATTAATCAGGGTAACTAAACACAATTCTAGTACTTTCACTGGAGAGGGGAAACTTCTAAAAGAGTTGTACTTCACCAGGGTCCTATAACCCTATTTTCCTCTCCCACTCAACACACTGACATTTTGTAATGCTAACATGAGTAAAGAATAATCATAATACTTAGCATTTATATAGCTCTTAAAAAACATTCACTAATTAATCCTCATGCCAGCTCTACTCGGCAAGCACCGTGTCTATTGTTATCCATGCTTTTCAAAGCCTGGAACTGCAGAAATGTTAAGAGATTCTCAGAAAGGTTAAGAGACTTGCCAAAGGTCACAAAACAACATAGTAATGGAAGTTAATTCCAGCTGAGACATCATGTCATGCAAACATGTGGTCTCTTGGAGGCTTGAAGGCCCATTAGTAATATGAGGCCTGGGCTATGGGAAAAACCCAGTTGTGTTGTGCAGAAAACATAATTCAATAGCTGGAAACAGGTGACATGCATTTGTCAATATATGGTCAGAAGAAAGAAGCAGTCTGAGCCTCAATTTCTCAGTCTGTCCTTGGTAGGAGAATGTGTACCCTGCAAAGCAGCTTTCTTCTCTGTTCTGCTCTTCTAAGATTATACAATGAAATATGCAAAGCTCTTAAAAATTACTAAAAAGTCGAGACGATTTCAAAAATATACTGCTCTTCTCTGGGGTAGTGTCAGACTACTAGACTCCCCCATTGAGAAATAATGTGAGAAGTGGTGGCAAATTTCACATTTACAGACCCAAGAAAACTCAAGAGGAGTGATAATTAACAATTAATCAAAAACACCTCCTAAAGTCTACCTATTCAAATGTAGGAAAATGTCTTGATTTAAATTAAAAGCATATTCCTTTTTTTTTTTTTTTTTTTTTTTGAGACAGAGTCTCGCTCTGTCGCCCAGGCTGGAGTGCAGTGGCGGGATCTCAGCTCACTACAAGCTCCACCTCCTGGGTTCAAGCCATTCTCCTGCCTCAGCCTCCCTAGTAGCTGGGACTACAGGCGCCCGCCACTACGCCCGGCTAATTTTTTGTATTTTTAGTAGAGACGGGGTTTCACCGTTTTAGCCGGGATGGTCTCGATCTCCTGACCTCGTGATCCGCCCGCCTCAGCCTCCCAAAGTGCTGGGATTACAGGCGTGAGCCACCGGGCCCGGCCGCATATTCCTTTTGATAGTCAATTTACATGAGCTAGTAATACAGAATAAAATACATTTTAAACTACAAAACTGCATTTCAGAGGTTAAAAAAGTGAGATCAGGGACTGAGCTCATAGGAGGAATGAGAAAATGTTTGGGAATATTTGAGATGTTTTCCCAAATGAAATACTAAAACTCAAATTTTATTTTCTCACAAATCATTTTCCCCCTACCATTCTTTTTTTTTTTTGAGACAGAGTCTTGCTCTGTCACCCAGGCTGGAGTGCAATGGCGTGATCTCGGCTCACTACAAGCTCCACCTCCTGGGTTCAAGCCATTCTCCTGCCTCAGCCTCCCTAGTAGCTGGGACTACAGGCGCCCGCCACCACACCTGGCTAATTTTTTTGTATTTTTATTAGAGACGGGGTTTCACCATGTTAGCCAGGATGTACCATTCTTTACCATTACAATAATTAATAATAACATAAAAATTTTGTTTGATGTTCTGAAAAAGAAAACTTGCCTCCCTTGATGATTTAGTATCTGGAGCAGCTCAAAAAAATACCTTCAGATAGAGAAAATCAGATGGGAAAGATAGCTCTAATTAAGTTATGAGATGTCATCATCACACTAGTTGACAGAGAATTCTAAATACCTGCCATGCTGCCCACCCCCTTAAAACACTCAGTGCTGATGTGATAAAATCCCTTGATTTGTAGAGTAAAAATGAGATAACCTGAGACTTTCAGAAAAATTTTATGAAAGAGAAAAGGTAAGCAGAAACCAATTAAACCACAAGACCGCAGGAAGCAAGAAAATCTGCCCATTACTCAAGCTGCGTTAAGAGAATCATGCTCGTTTACAAAGCCCATTATCTATTTATTGGCTCCAAATAGTTGGCATACTTTTCCAGGCATTTTCCATGTGCAAGATTACATACTTTGGATGTAATTGCATGTGCAAGATTACGTACTTTGGACAAGGTAGATTTGGACTGCTTTTAAAGCTTAGTTGGTTGAAAGTCCCCACTATCATCTGTTGATCAATATAGAGATATTTATTCTCAACAGAATCTAACTCAAGTATTCAAATGTTTATTTCAATCCTATTGATCACTCCTATATAGAAGATACAGTTAAAGGGATAATAGTGAACTTCTCATTCAAATGACAGTTTTTTTGTTTGCCAAAGATTGATAAAATCTGTTACCAAAGGGACTGTGTTTGGCAATAACACAGCTTACTCCTGAGCCATGGTAGGTTGTATTAGAGGCTGGGCATAGCAAGACCTGAACGACCACCCTCACTTTGTAATCTAATAATATATTACATAAGAACAAGCACACCAGCCATCAGGAGAAGCACATAAGAAGAAACCCCCTGTGAACTCAAACTTTGGTGGCAATCTTGAATCATTTGTGGTGAAATTTTAAATTTTTTTTTTCTGTATTCAAACATGGGCTGCAACTTTGAATGACTTTAAATGAGATAATTGTGATTTTGTGTGACATTGTCATAAATCAAAACAGTCTTTCTTAGGCATCAACACATAGTCTTCATCATCTTGTAATGAATCACTCAGAGTTCAAGGGTGAAGGTGGCACTTCATAAACAAATAATACAAGATTGCATCATCTAACCACTTGTCTTGGTATCAAGCAGCATCCAACTTTCCTGCATATTAGTGCCATATGGTGCCTTTGATAGGACAGAAAAGTATTTGAATCATTAGTATGCTCGGGCTGAAGCCAACAGGGTACACACTTTCAATTCTGAAAAGGCTCTCTCTTAAAGGTGACTTATATTCATTATATTCTGATGCTTTGTCTATGTAAATTAGCAATCAAATATTCTAAGTACATGATGGAAAATAATTTTATCTACTGCTCGCATCCTAAATCATAGTCGTCAGGTTTAAAAGTCTGATTGGGGAGTTTTGTTAAAATATCTTCCAAGTGTTAATTTGGTACATTTTCCAAGTTAGTGAATCTTCGAGCATGTGAAAAAAATCTATATATGAAAATGTAAAATTTATTTAGAAGGCAAATCAAATTGGACACAAAAATCTTTCACTGTGCTTAATTTAGTCAGCTTCTTCCTCATGAGATGAGCTAGTAGAATGAATGAACTTTAATTAACTTATTGGCTCCTGGTCACATGATTGCTGTGTTAATCTATCATTTTAATAGGCTGTCTTCCATGGGTATTTTTATAAATGTTCGACAAAATGAACCAACAAATTAATTTCTAATAATTCTCTATTTTCACAGTACTTCAAATGGTATCCATCATTCTCTGATTTTAATTACAGTTCTGTAAAAGTGTGAGTAGAAGATGCAAATTCTCCTTTGATTCTAAACAATTTGTGAGGAAACAAGTAATTTGAGTAATGCCAGATAGAGAAGCTTTAGCAGTAAAATTTATCTTTTTTCGTGTGGAGTTCTGACAAAACACAGTCATGTAACCACCACCACAATTAAGAGATGCGAGAGTTTCATTTTCCTCCAAATTTCCCTCATGCCCTTTGTAACTTTCACTCAGCAAAATGCACGTAAGATTTGTCCATGTTGTTGTGTGTAACAGTGCTTCAATCCATTTTACTGCTGAGTAGCATTCTGCTCCTGTGGAATGGATGTACCACAGTTTGTTTATTCATTTACCAAGAGATAGTTCAATTGTTTCCAGGTTAGGTGATTATGAATTAAAACTTCAAATATTTATGTCCAACTTTTTGTGTGAATCTTAAGTTTTCATTTCTCATGAGTAGTGGGACTATGTGGTCATAGGGTATACAAACGTTTCATTTATTAGACTTCCACACTTTTCCAAAGTGACAGTAACATTTTGCATTCCTATCAGTAATGTATGAGAGCTCCTAGTGCATATTTGCCAGCTCTTGGTATTATATCTCAGTTTGTTTTTGTTTTTGTTTTGAGACAAGGTCTCACTCTGTCTTCCAGACTGGGGTGCAGTGGTGTGATCATGGCTCATGGCAATCTCGAATTTCTTGCCTCAAGCAATCTTCCCACCTCAGTCACCTGAGTAGCTGGGACTACAGGCTCGTGCCACCAGGGCCCAGCTATTTTTTTTTCTTTTGTAGACACAAGGGTCTCGCCATATTCTCTAGGGTGATCCTGAACTCCTGGGCTCAAGCAATCCTTCTGCTTGGCATCTCAAAATGCTGGGATAATGGGCATGAATCACTGCATTGGGCCTCATTTTGTTTTCAGTTTGCATTTTCATGACTAATAATGTTAGGCATCATTCATGTACTTATTTGCCATTCCTGTATCTTCTTTGGTGAATTGTCTGTTCAAATCTTCTGCCATTTTTTATTGCGGTGTTTGCTTTCTTGAGTTTTGCAAGTTCTTTATCTATTCTGGATATATGTTTTGGATACAAATCCTTTGTCAGATATGTATTCCGCAAATATTTTCTCAGTCTGTGGCTTGCCTTTGCATCTCTTAACTGTTCTTTTGCAGAGAAGTTTATAATTCTGATTTATTCAACTTATCAATTTGTTAATTTTTTTAAGGATGAAGATTTTGATGTTGTATCTAAAAAAATCTATGCCTAATCCAAGGTCACAAATACTTTCTCCTGTTTTTTTTTTGTGGTAGAAATCTTATAGTTTTAGGCTCTCCATTCAGGTCTATAATGTATTTTCTATTAATTTTTATGAATGTTGTGAAGTATGGGTTGTGGTTCTTCTTCTTCTTTTTCATATCCATTCATAGCATACATTTCATATCCATCCAGATCATGCTTATCTGTTCAAGTGGCATTTGTCTAAAAGGTTTCTTTCTCTATTGAATTGCATTTGCATCTTTGTCAAAATCAATTGATGCTAGGTGAACATTTTCATAGATGCCTTTTAACAAATTGATGAAGCTCCTTTCTATTTCTACTTTGTTAAGATATCTAGAAAATCAAGAATGAATTTTCTAATTTTGTCTAATGTTTTTTTCTGCATCTATTGAGATGAAATTGTTCTTCTTATTTAGTGTATTAATAGGGTAAATTACATTGTTTGTTTTCTGAATTTTAAATCCACCTTTTCTCCCTGAAATAAACTCCACTTGGTCATATTATTATTATAATAATATTCTTTCTTAAGGTGATATTTGCATAACATACAATTAGCCATTTTAAAGTATGCAACTCAATGACGCTTAGTGCATTTACAATGTTCTGCAACTATCACCTTCTCTGTAGTTTGAAACTTTTTTTATCACCCCATTGGTATGGTATCACAAACCAATACGTAATCATTCCCCTTTCCTCTCTGCCACGAATTCCTTGGCAACTGTTAATCCGTTGTCTAAAATAAATTAAATTTCTTTTTCCTTAGCTTTATTAAGGTATCATTGACAAATAAAAATTGTATATATTTCTGGTCTACAATATGATGTTTTGACATGTGTTATACATTGTAGAATGACTAAATCAAGCTAATTAGCATATGCATTACCTCACATACATATCACGTTTGTAGTTAGAACACTTAAAATCTATTGTCTTAGCAATTTTCAAGAATTCAATATATTGTTGTTACCTCTAGTCACCATGTTGTACAATAGATCTCTTGAACTTATTTCTACTGTCTAATAAAAATTTTGTGTCCTTTGACCAACATCTTCCTAACCATCCTTCACTCCACATCCCCATCCCAACCCCTGGTAAACACCATTCTAGTCTCTGCTTCTACAATTTCAGCCTCTACATGTAAGTGAGATAATGAGGTTATTTGTTTTCCTCTGCCTGGCTTATTTCACTTAACAAAGCATCTTCCAGGCTCATGTATGTTGTCACAAATCACAGGATTTTGTTATTTAAGGGTGAATAGTATTCCATTGTTTTTATATGCCATATTTTCTTTATCCCTTCATTTGTTGATGGGCACTCAGGTTGTTTCCATATTTTGACTTTTGTGAATAATGCTGCAACAAATGTGACAGTGCAGACATCTCTTCAACATAGTGATTTCGTTCCTTTGGATATAAACCCAGTAGGGGGATTGCTGGATCATATGTAGTTGTATTTCGAATTTTTGAGGAAACTCAGTGCTGTTTTCCATAATAGCTGAACTGATTTATATTTCCACCAACAGTGTATAATTGTTCCCTTTTCTCCACACCCTTGCCAGCTTGTGTTACTTTTTGTCTATTTGATAATATCCATTCTAACAGGTGCGAGGTGATATATCACTGCAGTTTTAGTTTTCATTTCCCTAATGATTAGTGATGTTGAACATTGTTTAATATACTTGTTGGCCACTTGTATATCTTCTTTTGAGAAATGCCTATTCAGGTTCCTTGCTCATTTTTAAAATTAGATTATTTATTTTCTTGGCATTGAGTTGTCTGAATTACTTGTATATTTTAGATATTAACCTCTTATCACATGTATGGTTTGCAAATATTTTCTCTCATTTTGTAGGTTGTTTCCCTTCACTCTGTTAATTGCATTTTTTGTTTTGCTGCAGATGCTTTTAGTGTAATGCAATTCTATTTGTCTATATTTTCTTTATTTGCCTGTGCTTTTGGGGTTATATCCAAAAAATCATTGTGAGCCCAATTTCTAAGAGTTTTTCCTCTTAGTTTTTTCTAGTCATTTTACAGTTTCAGGTCTTACATTTGAGTCTTTAATCCATTTTGAGTTGATTTTTGTGAGATAAAGGTCCAATTTTATTTTTCTGCATGTGGATATTGTTTTTCCAACACCATTTATTGAAAAGATTATCCCTTTTTCATTGGTTTTCTTGGCACCTTTGTCAAAAATCAATTGACTGTCAATGCATGGGTTTATTTCTGGGCCCTTGATCCTGTTCCGTTGGTCAATGTGTCTGTTTTTATGCCAGTACCATGATATTTTGATTACTGTAGCTTTGTACTGTATTTGAAAACCAGATACTGTAATCCCTTCGGCTTTGTTCTTTTTGTTAAAAATTGCTTTGGTTATTTTGGGTCTCATGTGGATTCATGAAAATTCTAGGATTTTAAAAAAATTTCGTGAAACATGTCATTAGAATTTTGATAGGGATTGCATTGAATCTGTAGAACAGCATAGACTATTTAACAATATTAATTCTTCTAATGTATGAACATGAGATCCCCTTTGATTTAGTTGTGTCTTCTTCAATTTTTTTCATCAATGTTTGATAGTTTTCAGTGTGCAGGTCTTTCACTTCCTTGGTTAAATTTTTTCCTAAGTATTTTATATTTTTTAGCTACTGTAAATGAGATTTTCTTAATTTTTTTCCAGATAGTTCCTTGCTAGTGTATAGAAATGCCACTAATTTTTGTATGTTGATTTTGTATCCTGCAAATGTACTGAATTTGTTCAGTTTTTTTGTGGAATGCTTAAGATTTTCTTTATATAAGATCGTGTTGTCTGCAAATGAGACAATTTAACTTCTTTCCTTCCAATTTGGATGCCTTTTATTTCTTCCTCTTGCTTAATTTCTCTGGCTAGGACGTCCAGTACTATGTTGAATTGAAGTGGTGAAAGTAGGCATCCTTGTCTTATTTCTGATGTTAGAGGAACAACTTTCAGCTTTTCCCCATTCACTATAATTTAGTTGTGGATTTGTCATATATGGTCTTTATTGTGTTGTAGTATGTTCCTTTTATACTCAATTTGTTGAAGGATTTTTTGTTTATCATTAAAGGACACCGAATCTTGTCAGATGCGTTTTCTGCCTCTATTGAGATGAGCATATGGTTTTTTGTCCCTCATTCTGTAATACGGTATATGACATTTGTTCATTTGCATATGTTGAACCATTCTTGCACCCCAGGAAAAATCCTACATGATGGGATCATGATGAATGATTTTTAAAATTCTGTTTCCTAGTATTTTATTGAAGATTTTTACATCTATATTCATCAGGGGTATTTTCTTTTCTTGTAGTGCTTTTTTCTGACTTTGGTATCAGGATAATGCTGGCCTCATCAAATAAGTTTGGAAGTATTATCTCAATTTTTTGTAAGGGTTTTAGAAAGATTGGTATTTATTCTTCTTTAAATATTTGGTAGAATTCAGTGGTGATATCATCAGGTCGTGGACTTTTCTTTGATGGGAGGCTTTTTATTACCGATTCAATCTCCTTTCATGTTATTGGTCTGTTCAGCTGTTTTATTTCTAGGAATTTGTCTATTTATTCTAGGTTATCCAGGGTGTGGGTGTGTAATTATTCATAGTCATCTCTTATAATCCTTTGTATTTTTGTGGCATTGGCTGTAATGTTTTATCTTTCATTTATTTTATTTGAGTCATCTCTTTTCTTTAGTTAGGCTAGGTAAAGGTTGGTTGATTTTACTGTCAAATTCACTGATTGTTTCTTCTGCTTGTTCAAACCTGTTGAAAACCTCAACTGAAATTTTCATTTCAGCTACTGTACTTTTCAGCTCTACAAACTTGATTTCTCTTTTATGATTTCTTTCTCTTTAATAATACATTCTACTGGCTCATACACCATTCTCATTATTTCCTTTCCTTCTTTGTCCATGAATTCCTTCAGCATTTGAGCATATTTAAGATGGTCAATTTAGTCTTTTTCTACTAAGTACTATGTATGGACTTACTCAGGGACAGTTTCTGAATAATTTCTTCATTTTTTTCCCGCTGCGAATGGGCTAAACTTTTCTGTTTGGTGTGTGTGTGTGTGATTTGTAATACATCTTTAGAACTGGAGATTTTGAATATTGCAATGTGGTAACTCTGAAATCAAATTCTTCTCCCTCACCTGGGATTGCTGTTATTGCTTGTTGAGGGCTGCAATTATCCATTTGTTTATTGACTTTTCAACAGTGGTTTTCTCAAATAATATATTTCTTGTCGTGTGTGGCCACTGGAGTCTCTGTTCTGTTACCTCTATATTTAGCTAGTGATGGCTCAGAGATTTCCTTGAATACCTAGGTCTAATTAAAAAAGGAAAAAAGGCAGTTTGTTGCTTTAAATTATTTTGACTTATACTGACCAGGAAGTTGCTTCAGTTAGAGGGTTTTCCCCTCAATGTATTTGGCAATGTCTTTTTTTGGTTCTGATATCAAGTTAATTCTGTGTTCACAAAGTAAACTGGGAAATATTTCTGCTCTTTATCTTTTGTGTAGGATTTTTATTATTTCTTCTTTAAGTGATTGTTGTAATTTATCAGTGAGGCCATTTAGACCAGATGTGTAAGGTTTTAGACTACAAATTAGTTTTCTTTAACCGATGTAGAACTTTTTAGGTAAACTATTTCTTCTTGAGTGAGCTTCATTAATTAATGGCTTTCAATAAATTTTCTTTGACAGTTGTAGAACTTTTCAAGTAAATTATTTTTTCTTGAATGAGCTTCATTAATGACTTTCAATATATTGTTAACTTCATATAAGTTGTTATATTTTTAATGACAATGAATGTGTAGATTAACAAGCCCCCCAATTTTTTTTTCTTTTTTTGAGACAGAGTCTTGCTCTGCCGCCCAGGCTGCAGTAGTTCAGTGGCATGATCTCAGCTTGCTGCATCCTCCGCCTCTCAGGTTCAAGCAATTCTCATGACTCAGCCTCCTGAGTAACAGGGATTACAGATGTGTGCCATCACACCCAACTAACTTTTGTATTTTCAGTAAAGACCGAGTTTTGCCATGTTGGCCAGACTGGTCTCAAACTCCTGACCTCAAATGATCTGCCTGTCTCGGCCTCCCAAAGTGTTGGATTACAGGCGTGAGCCACTGCACCTGGCCAAGTTATTTATATTTTTAAGCACAAAATTGTCTATAACTTTATTTTTACTTTATTGTCTATAGGTTAGTAGTGATGTCCCATTTTTCATTACTTATGTTAGTAATTTATGTCTTCTCTATTGTTTTTAGCTGAAAGTTTCTCATTAGAAGTTTTTTTTTGTTCATTTCTGAGAAATATATTTTCTTTTTTAAAATTTATTTTACCTATTTTTCTGCTCTCAGTTTTATTCATCTCTGCTTGTTTCTTCATTACTTCCTTCCTTTTGTTTGTTTAGAGTAAGCATCCAGTCTTCTCCCTCTAGTTTTTTAGAGGAGAAACTTAGATTATCGATTTAAGATTTTTTTTTTTTTTTTTCTGGAGTACAGTGGCGCAATCTCAGCTCACTGCAACCTCCACCTCCTGGGTTCAAGTGATTCTCCTGCCTCAGCCTCCTGAGTAGCTGGGATTACAGGCACGCACCATCATGCCCAGCAAATTTTTGTATTTTTTATAGAGACAGGTTTTCAGCATGTTGGCCAGGCTGGTCTAGAATTCCTGACTGCAAGTGATCCACCCATCTCAGCCTCCCAAAGTGCTGGGATTACAGGCATGAGCCACCTTGCCTGGCCAATTTTTTATTGTTGAAAATATTTTCTAATTTTCCTTGTGACTTCATTTGCATTCTTTGGATTACTTAGAAGTGTGTTGCTTAATTTTCAAATATTTGGAGATTTTCCAGATATCTTTCTATTACTGATTTTTAGTTTAATTATATTTTTATAAAAAATATACCTTGTATAATTTTTAACTTTTAAGAATACGTCACAATATATTTATGAGTTAGAAATAAGGTGTGAATATTCCATGTGCACTCCAGAATGTTTTGTTCTGCTATTCTTGGGTGAAGTGTTCAAAAAAGGACAATTAGGGTAATTTTGTTGACAATATTATTCAGGCTTTCAATGCACTTTTGAATTTTATGTCTACTTTTTATTGATTACTATGAGAAGAGAGTTTGGTGGATTTTTTTTTTAAATTGTCTCTTGATTTTGCTTCAAGTATTTTGAAGCTCTGTTGTCAGGTGCACAAACATTTAGGATTGTGATGGCTTCTTGGTAAAATGACTTGTTTATCATTATGTGATATCTCTCTTTGTCCCTGCTGATATTCCTTTTTCCATAGTTTTGTCTGATATTATTATAGTCACTCCACTTTTCTTTTGGTAGATATTGTTATGATATGTCTTTGGCCACCTTTTTACTTTTAATATGTAGATGACTTTATATTTAAAGTAGGGTTATTTTGAAAGCATATAGTTTGTTGCCCCTGTTTATCCAGTCTGATTATCTCTGTGTTTCAAATGGTATGTATAGCTGGGCACGGTGGCTCATGCCTGTAATCCTAGCAATTTGGAAGGCCAAGGTGGGGGGATCCCCCGAGTCTAGGAGTTTGAGACCAGCCTGGGCAATATAGTGAGACCCGGTTTCTACAAAAAAAAAAAAAAAAATTAAAAAGCCAAGCATGGTGGCATGCACCTGTAGGTTGAGGTGGGAGGATCAGTTGAGCCTGAGAGAGGGAGGCCAAGAAAGCAGAGCGAAGATTGCCCCCCTGCACTCTGGCCTGAATGACAGAGCAAGACCCTGTCTCAAACACACACACACACACACACACACACACACACACACACACACACACCCCAAATGGTATGTATAGACCCCTTATACTTAGTATAAATATTGGTGTATTTGGATTAAAATCTACTACCTTACTAATTGTTTATTTGTTCTGTTTTTGTTCCGCTTTCTCTTTTCTTTCTTCCTTTGGATTATTTTATGACTCCATTTTTTTGCCTCTACTGTTGGCTTATTACTTATGCCCCTTAAAAAATTTTGTTTTGGTGATTGCCCTAGGATTTATTATATGCGTATTTAATTAATCATAGTCTATCTTCAAATAATATCACACTACCTCAAATGTCTTGTAACCACCTTACAACAGTGTACTTCCAATTCTTCTCTCCCATATCTTGTGGTTTTAATGTTACACATGTTACTTTAAAATAGTCTATAAACACACAATGTATTGCCTCTGTATTTTCTTTAGTTACCTTTTACATTAAAAGTAGAAAAAAATAGTTCAATATTTGCATTTTAAAAAACTATTTTTGGCTAGGCACGGTAGCTCATCATGACTGTAATCCCAGCATTTGGAGAGGCTGAGGTGGGAGGATCACAGGCGGTCAAGCGTTCAAGATTAACCTGGGTAACACCGTGAGACTCTGTCTCTAGAGAAACTTAAAAATTGGCCAGTTGTTGTGGTGCGTGCCTGTAGTCCTAGCTGCTGAGGAGGCTGAGGTTGGGAGGATTGTTTGAACCTGGGAGATCGAGATTGCAGTGAGCCATATTTGAGTCACTGCACTCCAGCCTGGGCAACAGAATGAGACCCTGTCTCAAAAACAAAAAACAACGGCAAAACCAAAACAAGTCTACCCCTTGTCAACTTGGTACTCACACACATTTCCTTAAACACAATCTCCAAATAAAGACAATAACAATGTCATAATCTCACCGAACATGATACAACTATCCTGTCTCAAAAAAAAACCCCAAACCAAAAAACAACTGCAAAACTACTTTCAATGCATTTATTCTTTATTTATATTCAAATTTCTATCTATTTATATTTCAATTTCTATCAAGATACCTTATGTATCTTCCGGAAGAACTTGGTTTAACATTTCTTGTAGTGGAAGTCTGGAGGAAATGATTTTTTTTTTCTGCAAAATTTTCATTTCTCCTGCTATTTGTGGAGTTTTAAGTTTTTTAAAAAATTATATTCTGAATACAAGCTCTTTATCAGATATATGATTTTCATATATTTTCTTCCAGGCTGTAATTTTTGTTCCCCTAAAATTAATAGGCTTTATTTTTCAGAGCAATTTTAGGTTTACAGAGAAACTGAGCACTAAATATGGAGTTCCCACATGCCTCCTCCTTGGCCCATCCCCCCTGCAGTTTCCACTATTATTAACATCTTGCATTAGTGTGGTATATTTATTACATCTGGTGAACCAATGCTGATACATTATGATTAAAGCGTGTAGTTTGCACTTGTGTTCACTGTTTGTATTATGCATTTCTGTGTACAGGTTTTGGACAGATGCATAATGTCATATACACATCATTACAGTATCATACAGAATAGTTTCACTGCCCTAAAAATGTCCTGTGCTCTACCTATTTATCCCTCTTTCCTTCCCTTGAGCCCCTGGAAACCACTGTTCTTTTTCTATCTCTCTACTTCTGCCTTTTCCAGAATGTCATCTATTTGGAATCATAGGGTATGTAACCTTTTCACACTGACTTCTTTTACTTAGCCATGTGCATTTACGGTTCAGCCATCTTTTTATAGCTCATTTCCTTTGAGCTGGAATAATATTCCATTGTATATATGTACCACAGTTTGTGTAAACATTCACCTGTTGAAAGACATCTTGGTTGCTTTCAACTTTTTGCAATGATTAATAAAGATTCTATAAATGTACATGTCCAGGCTTTTGTGTGGACGTGGTTTTTCACTCATTTTGGTAAATACCAAAGAGTATTATTGCTGGGTAATATGGTAAGATTATGAATCAGAATTTCTATTGTCCCACATTTTTATTTTTTATTTTTATTTTTAATTAATTAATTAATTGATTTTGAGACAGAGTCTTGCTCTGTCACCCAGGCTGGAGTGCAGTTGTGTGATCTTGGCTCACTACAACCTCCACCTTCTGGGCTCAAGCGATCCTCCTACCTCAGCCTCCCCAGTAGCTGGGACAACAGACGCATGCCACCATGCCCAGCAAATTTTTGTATTTGTTTTGTAGAGACAGGGTTTCATCATGTTGCCCAGGCTCGTCTTGAACTCTTGGCTTCAAGCAATCCACCCACCTCAGCCTCCCAAAGTGCTGGGACTACAGGCGTGAGCCACCATGCCTGGCGTTTGCCCCACATTCTTGCCAGTATTTTGTGTTGTTAGAGTTTTGGATTTGAATAATTCTAGTGTAGTGGCATCTTGTTGTTTTATTTTCCTTCACTTTTAAAGGATATTTCCCCCTATTACAGAATTCTGAGTCGAGGAATTTTCTTTTTCTTTCAGCACCTTAAAATGTCACTTTGTCGTCTTCTCAGTTATGTAGTTTCGGAGGAGTAATTTTCTGTAATCAGTGTCTTTCTTTTTTTAATATAATGTGTCTTTTTTCTCTGGTTGCCTTCAAGATTTTCTCTTTATATTTGTTTTTCAGCAATTTGAATGTGATGTGTCTAGTTTTATTTTTTTATTTTAAAAAAATCCTGTTTTGTGTTCTAGGAGCTTCTTGGAAATTTAATTTGACATCTTCTATTATTTATGAAAAATTCTCAGCCATTATCTCTTCAAATGTTTCTTTTGACCTGTTCTATTTTCCTTTCAAGTGTCTAATTATGTGTATACTGGATCTTTTGATACTGTCTTAAAGTCTTAAAGCTTTTGCTTATTCTGTTCTTTCTTTTTAAAATTCACTCATTTTACATTGTGTTCCAGGTTGGCCAATTTCTATTGACTTAACTTCAAGTTCATGGATTCTTTCCTTAGTTGTGGAGTCTACTGAGGAACCCACCATAGACATTATTCATTTCTGTGGTCATGCTTAAAAAAACATTCTACCATCCCGTTGGTTCTGTCTTATAGTTTCTCTGTCTCTGTTGAAATTCTCTACCTGTTCATGCAAATTTTTCATCTTTACCACTGGAGTTGTCTTAAGGAATTTTTTAATGAATTTTAAATTCCAACATTTGGGTCACATATGAATCAAATTCTGTTATTGGCTTTGTGTCTTGACAGTGGGTTGTTTTTCTTGCTTTTCTTGTATCTTGTAATTTTTGGTTGAATGGTGGACATCCTATGTAGAACAGTAGAGACTAAGATTTGTGACTGCAAATAGACATATCACTTTTTCTACTAAGCTGCTAGTGTGAGGAATTCAATTAATTTACTCAAGAACTAAGCTGGGTTTTTGTTTTGTTGTTACTATGTTTCCTCTCAATGCATCACTAGCTTCAAATTCCTTCTTACTACCTTTTGGTTACAGTGGGGTTCGATATTGGAGAATTTCTCTCAATGCTTTGGTTGACCCTCAGATTTAGACCTTTCTTATGAGCATGCCCCTTAGCAAAGGCCTTTCCTCACTCTTGTGCCTTTCTCCTGGGATTACACTGTTGTTACCTGTTAATTGCTACTTGGTGGTGTGTGTTGGGCAGGTATTCTCTTTTGTTTTGTTGCGGCTTCATCCTTAGGCAGATCCTCTGTTCCTTGGTTTTGACAATGGGAATTTTTCAGTGATCCTGCCCTTACACAGTGGTAGGGTATCTCTAATCGTCTAGGTCCAGGAGGGATTCTTGCCCCTCCTCTAGAGGCAGATGATTTTTTTGTTTGTTTCCTTTTATCTGCCTCAATGGGGCAGATAACTCTGGGAGCCCCAGAATTTGCTGCTTATGGCTTTTGCTGGATAGGGAGGTAGGAGAGAAGGATCCAGCTGGATCTTTGTGCCTTATCTGCAGCGAAGGCTACTCCTTTGCTCAAGGCTGGCAGCACTAGGAAAAGCTGTCTTTGGTTTCCCACTCTACACCTATTTTCCTCCTGAGCGATCTTTTAGTTTGCTAGTGCTGCCTTAACAAAGTACCAAAAACTGGATAACTTAAACATCTGGAGCCTAGAAGTCCAAAATCAAGGTATTGGCAGGGTTGGTTGCCTCTGAGGGCTATGAGGAAAGTACCTGTTTCAGGCTTCTCTGATGGTAGATAGCCATCTTCTCTCTATGTCTCTTCACATTGTTTTTTTCTACATGCATCTTTGCCTAAATTTCCCCTTTTAATAAGAGCACCAGTCATATTGGATTAGGATCCACCCTAATGAACTCATTTGAACTCGATTACCTCTACAAAGACCCCATCTCCAAATAAGGACATACCTTGAGATACTGGGCATTATGACTTAAACATATAAATTTGTTCTTTGTTTTTAAAAATTAATAGTTTTTATTTATATAGATGTATGGGGCACAAGTGCAATTTGGTTACATCCATAGATTGCATAGTAATTAAATCAGGGCTTTTAGTGTATCCATCACCCAAACAACATATATTGTACCCATTGACTAATTTCTCATCCCTCATGCCTCACCTCCATCACACCTCCTCTCTCTCCCAAGTCTCCAGTGTCTATTATTCCACTCTCCACATCCATGCATATGCTTTTTATAACACTCATTTATAAATGAGAACATTCAAGATCTGATTTTGTCTGGCTTGTTTCACTTAATATAATGACCTCCGTTTCTATCCCCGTTGCTGTAAAAGACGTAATTTTATTCTTTTTTATGGCTGAAAAGAACTAAAAATGATATTTTTAGTTCTTGAAAAATCTCCATGCTGTTTTCTATATAGGTTGTAACTACTAATTTACATTCCTACCAACAACATGAAAGAGTTCTCTTTTCTCCACATTCTTGCGAACATCTCTTAGTTTTGTCTTTTTAGTAATAGCCATTCTGCATAGGGTAAGATAATATTCCATTATGGTTTTAATTTGCATTTCTCTGATGATTAGTGATGATGAGCATTTTTTATATACTCAGGTTGTTTCTGTGCAGGATCATTTAGAAGTGGGTGATATAGTTTGGACATTTATCCCCTCCAAATCTCATGTGGAAATGTGACTTTTAATGTTGGAGGTGGCCCTAGTGGGAGATGCCTGGGTCATGGAGATGGATCCCTCATGAATGGTGTGGTGCTGTCATTGTGGTAATGAGTGAGTTCTTTATGAGTTCATGCAAGATCTGGCCATTTAAAAGAGACTGACACTTCCTCCTTCTCTCTCTTCTTCCCTCTCTTGCGATGTGATATGCTGGCTTCTTTGCCTTCTGCCATGATTGTAAGCTTACTGAGGCCTCATCAGTAGCCAAGCAGATGTTGGAGCCATGCTTGTACAGCCTGCAAAACTGTGAGCCAAACACACCTCTTTTCTTTATAAATTACCCAGTTTCAGTATTCCTTCATAGCAATGCAAAACGGACTAATACAGTGGGTATAGACTCTCCTTGTGTCTGCAGCTCCTAGGAGGTCTGTGCTCTCACACTGCCTGCAGCTGGCCTTTAGCAATTTGTTGAAACTTTTAACTGATATATTTTTACCTGCTTCTACAGTGTCTATATCTTCCTCTGGTGCCTCAGGTAAGGCAGTGCGTATGTCTGCATCTTTCCTTGGAGATGCCTGTTTTTTTCTAGATTTTAGGCTACTTGGTTGCTGCGACCTCGGCTCGCCCTTTCCTTCCTTCCTTCCTTCCTTCCTTCCTTCCTCCCTTCCTTCCTTCCTTCCTTCCTTCTTTCCTTCCTTCCTTCCTTTCTTTTTGATGGCATCCAGTGGCACGATCTCAGCTCACTGCAACTTCCGCCTCCTGGGTTCAAGCAATTCTCCTGCCTCAGCCTCCTGAGTAGCTGGGATTACAGGTGAGTGCCACTACACCTGGCTAATTTTTTGTGTGTTTTTAGTAGAGACGGGGTTTCACTGTGTTAGCCAGGATGGTCCCGATCTCCTGACCTCATGATCCACCCACTTCGGCTTCCCAAAGTGCTGGGATTACAGGTGTGAGCCACCATGCCTGGCGTGACCTCAGCTCTTTGATGGGTTTGAGAAAAGTTGTGGTTTTGTTAAATATCTGGGCTTTCTTTACAGTTAAGAGGTGGGAGTGATACTCTTTTCAGCTTTTTACATACTGAGAGAGAGAAGGTGACACTATTTTTAAATTTAAATTTATAATTGTGTATTGCCATATGTAGAAATACAGTTGATTTTATATTAGTCTTGCATCTTGCAACTTTGTTAAACTCACTTGTTAGTTATAGTAGCTTCTTTGATAGAGTCTAGGATTTTCTATGTCATTAATTTTATAATTTTTAAGTAGATGTATTTTTTTTATTCTTTTCCAATCTATATGCTTTTCATGTTTTTTTCTTGACCAATTACACTGGCTAGGACCTTCAATACAATGTGGACTAGCAGTGGTAAGATCAGACATCCTTGCGTTCTCCCCCATCTCAGGAGGACAGCATTTAGTCTTTCACCACAATTTATGATGTTAGCTGAAAGTTTTCGCCTAAATGTTTTTTTTATCAGGTTGAGGAAGTCTTCTTCTATTCTTATTTGCCAAGAGTTATTTACTGTAAATAAATGTTCACTTTTGTCAAATGCTTTTTGACAAAGTATTTTCAACTTGGTTGATTATTTTTACTTCTTGAGAAGGAAGACTTCTTAGACAAAAATTATTGAATGACTTGGGTAAGTAAAAAAATTCAATAATGGGTGTGACCTCAGTCTACCAGTAATATAAAATTAATATACTATTACCACATTCTAACCTCTGATTTATGGACTTACTGTCCATTATAGATCAGATTAGTAGAGATTTCTAGTCAAGTGGGAGCTTTAGCTACAGAATTACCAAAAGGCTGCACTGTAAGTCATATTCACCTCAAAAGTAGTCCTGTATCAATACAGTTTGGAGGCTTGTTCCCTCCACATCTTGTGTTGAAATGTAATCCCCAGTATTGGAGGTAGGGCTTGGTGGGAGGTATGTGAGTCATGGGGGAGGATCCCTCATGAATGTCTTGGTGCCCTCCTCACAATAATGAGTGAGTTTTCACTCTGTGGCTTCATGCAAGATCTAGTTGTTTAAAAGAGTTTGGGACCTCCCCACTTCTCTCTCTTGTGTGCTCTCTCTCTCCATGTGACACTCTGCTCCTGCTTCTCCTTCTGCCATGAGTAAAAGCTCCCTGAAGCCCTCACCAGAAGCCAAGCAGATGCCAGCACCATGCTTCCTATACAGCCTGCAGAACCATCAGCCAGTTAAATTTCTTTATTAATTATCTAGCCTCAGGTATTTCTTTATAGCAACACAAAAACGAATTAACACACGTATGGGTTAGCCAAAAAAGCATTTATAGCTATTTTTTATTTCATTATTAGCAACTCTTTTAAATTTTTGACTATGTTTTGGGCATTGTGCTGGGTGCCTGATATGTAGTATCTCATTTAGCCCTAATAAGAACTCTGGGAAATTGGTATTATTGTTTTCAGCATATCAAAATATTTAAGTGTGTGGACACTAAGGACTCACTGCCAAGGTTAGTATTTCAGCTTCACCACTTACTTGCTGAATGACCATGAGCAAGTCACTTAGCCTCACTTAATCCATTGTATCATGCGTAAAATAGGGAAAAATGATAACGACATGGTTTAGTTGTTCTGAGATTTAAATAAAGCTATTCAGTGTTACACTTTTGGCATGTTTTCTGGTGCATTTGAAACACTAAATCAAAGTTAGATATTACTTCCGTTATCTTGAAAGTGAGAAAAAGAAGAGATATGGAAACAAATGCACACAACTAATACATATCAGAGTTTAGATTCTAAGCCCACCTGCTTCCAAAGCACCCCCCTCCATCCACCATGCTGCTCTTATTTTATATGCTTATTAGGGAGAGGATTTTTTTGCTAATGTATAAATATAATTGGCATACATATTGCTTTATGCCTGTTGTCTCACTGTAATTATCAATAATGCCCCTTTAATTCTCATGAATGTCTGTTTTAGACAATAAATTATATAATCACCTTATTAATAATCCACATTTTAATTTATCTTTAGGTGACAAATTATTATTTCTAGTTCTAAATTTACTTGTGGCCCAAGCTCTCCAGCACACACACCTACACACACACACACACACACACACACACACACACACACACACACACACATGTTTATGGAGGATTTTATTAAAAAGTTGCAGATACTATGTAATGATATAACTTGAAGCATTTTTACTTTCAAGATTAATCACAATTTAGCAACTTGTGGCTTACGCAGGATGAACACACACGATTTTGAAAGTCTTGCCTTACAATGACACAATAATAAATCAATTCCTGGTGGTGGGAGCGCAATGTCAGTTTTACATAAATGGATACTCATAAGAGTTGATCACTGTTGAAATAAATGTGGGCTCTTAATAAAATGCTATCAGTTGTCCAAACCAGAGAAACATAGTATAACAGATATTCATAGTCTATGGATGGCTTCTAGGTGTGATTCTTTGGGTGCTGGTTCCAGGCAGGGAGGAAGATAAAGGCTATGAGGATATTTCTCACATACGATTTTTTTATCCTAAGGGGAATGTAGCTCATATCAGACTTTTTGTATTTTCTTAGTAATTAGAAACTTATTTATTAGATGAACATATATTAGATCTTATGAACATCTGCATTGTGAGAAAAAAAGTCTTCTTCAGTTGCTTCCACCTTTATACATAGAGTTTATAAATATCAACATGACTGAGGTGTCTGTGTTCCTGTCATATTTGAAATATTTGTATTAGTGAGACTCAAAGTGAGATTCAAGAAATTTTCCTGTTCCTTATACATTAAATTGTTATGGAAACCCAGATTCAAACAATTTTATTTTTATTCATTTGAGACTTGATATTTCCCTATAGCCAGCATTTTATTTACAATGTGTATTTCAGTTTCAACATAGTTAATTGCTTTTGTACCACATTTTATAAACAATTTTTTTTCAATAGTCATTGGAGGCCAAACTATAAGCAATGTGTTTAGTTTTCTGCTCAGCCAATCACATTGAGCCTAAAAAATAGACTTGCACGTAAGGAAATTCCCTGTGGAGTAGGAAACACAGCTGTTTTATCCTACTAGGAAGCCTGCAGAGAGATACTATTTTCCTTGGGGGAAAGGACACTCAAGTTTTGAGAGTCTAGGTACTGTACCATTGGGGAAACAGCAGAAAAGAAAATAGACCATCTTTTTCAGTTCTGTCATACAGACTATAAAGAAGTCCTTTGTTCAGACTCTATGTCCTCCTTCTTCTTGCTGAATCTTTAGTCTTTTAAAATTCTACCCTTAACTAAATGGGTAAAGCTGCAAAAAACATTAAACTTAAAAATATACCAGGGATACAGAATGAGGAGAGGTGATTGATCTTTGAGTAGGTATCCAACAGTGCAATGAAATTCTCAAGCAGGTTTCTTTTTATTTCAAAATGAGTTTGATTCAGAGGGATTTTATAGCTGCTAAATCATGCAATTGGCAGAGATTGTGCGTGCGTCTCACAGTTACTTTGAAAGATGTCAAATTTGGCAAAGGCAGTAAAAATACTGGGATTTACTGAGCTTGCTTTTTTTTTTTTCTTCCCAGAGAATGCTCTAAAATCTAGCATGCTCAGAAGCAATACAGTGCAACAGAAGTGTGCAGAATTGCAGTTTCCACAGAAAGAGTATGACTTTCTCAACCAGTGTGTTGTGATTACATCTTTGGCAAAAGCCTGGCAGCCTATGCTTGTTGTTACAAAAGGCTCCTTTTTATCACCAGTGGACATGGTGTCCTGTCATTGTCATTGACATGTAAAAGCTGCTCTTTTTTTTTTTGTTTTTTACAAAATAATGTTATTCGTACATATCTCTGTAATGTTGCCTTATGAATATATGCAAGCTTCTTTAGGACATATACCTATGTATGAGAATTTCTAGGCTGTTGGAATAACATTTTATTTTATTTTATTTATTTTATTTTATTTTACTTTAAGTTCTGGGATACATGTGCTGAATGTGCAGGTTTGTTACATAGGTATACATGGTGGTTCGCCACACCTGTCAACCCATCATCTAGGTTTTAAGCCCCACATGCATTAGGTATTTGTCCTAATAAAGCTACTAATTTTTATATTAATATGTATATTTTTACCAATCAAAGGAACCATAAGCTTGGCTTTAGAAGGAAAATTAGCTTTAGAAAGAAAGCTAATTTTTTTCTAATAAAGAGAAGGAGAGAGAGAGAGAGTTATCAATCTGAATCTGATCAATAACAAAGCAGCATATATACACCTACAAAGTGTGCACCACTTTCTCTCAAACAAGACAGAGATGACACATTGTATTATAAGCTGCTGAACAGCCTTACTTTGCTCATCCAAAGAGATGTAAGTCTGAAGGAGCGCCTCTGGACTGGTAGACAAACCTGCACAGGACAGTGGCCTTGGACCATGTGTGCTAAAACCTGGACAGATGGACCAGCAGCAAATGAAAACCTGTGTTGGGCTTGGGGGGTATTCAGATTGTATAAACTGCTGGATAACTTCCCTAAAAGAGGATATTAGGGTGAAGGATTCCCAGAGCTCTGAAAACATGAGTGATAATTAGGATAATCACAGAAGAAAGTTTATTACAGCTGGTGAGACATTGGCTGGGATGGGTCTAATTTGAAGTCCAATAGGGCAGTGATCAACATCTGGACATCTGTCCAAATGAAGCGACACTTTCTTCTGTGGATTAGGGGTGTGCAGAAAAGGTTCAGTTTAAGGAATGGGCAGAGACAATACTCAGCAGGTCATCAGATGGAGCCACAGGAGCACTGTGCAGCTTTTCTAAGAAAGAAGAAATGAGAATCTATAGTAGCGAAGATAAGTCTACCGTCATGGGCTATCACACTTGCTTTGCATTATCTTATTTAGTACCCACAAATAAGCCTTCAATGTAGATGAGAATATTCCTGTATTTGCAGTGAGCAAACAGAGACTCAGAAGAGTAAAGTAACCTTGCCAAATTCACAGAGCTAGTAGGTGCTGAAGGCAAGACTTCCATCCAAACATGCTGTATCCAGCTCATGCCTTGACCTGCAGTGATGTTTTCACTGGTGTTTCCAGTGGTGTATGTCTTTGGTTCTGAAAAATACTTGAGGATAGGGTAGGTAGTTTGAGCTCCAGTACTTAGATGTTCAGACTGAACCCTTGGATCCCTGAAATAAAACGAAATTAGTTTCTGTATATTTAGTGCTCACATTATTGAAATAATTCATCTGCTCCTCTGAACACAATGACTAGAATCACTTTTCACAGTTGAAGTCTCTGACTGCATAAAATCTTGTGAGCAGTATATTCATTCTCTCCCACTGCCCTCTAGAATATCTGATTTTATTTTGTCCTTGGGGTCATTGCTAAATGGTGGGAAGGATGAGCACATGAGGGAAAAGATGATACACACCATGCCTCTCCAGGTATTAAATGGACTTGAGTAGGCCGGGCGCAGTGGCTCACGCCTGTAATCCCAGCACTTTGGGAGGCTGAGGCGGGTGGATCACAAGGTCAGGAGTTCGAGATCAGCCTGATCAACATGGTGAAGCCCTGTCTCTATTAAAAATACAAAAAAAAAAATTAGCTGGGCGTGGTGGCGGTCACCTGTAATCCCAGCTACTCAGGAGGTTGAGGCAGGAGAATTGCTTGAACCCGGGAGGCAGAGGTTCCAGTGAGCTGAGATCGCACCACTGCAGTACAGACTGGGCGACAGAGTGAGACTCTGTTCTGAAAAAATAAAATAAAATAAAAAATGGACTTGAGTATAAGAAAATGCCTTTTCTTGGACCGGGTGTGGTGGCTCATGCCTGTAATCCCAGTACTTTGGGAGGCCGAGGCAGGTGGATCACGAGGTCAGGAGATCGAGACCATCCTGGCTAACACAATAAAACCCTGTCTCTAATAAAACTACAAAAAATTAGCCGGGAGTGGTGGTACGCGCCTGTAGTCCCAGCTACTCGGTAGGCTGAGGCAGGAGAATTGCTTGAACCTGGGAGGCGGAGGTTGCAGTGAGCTGACATTGTGCCACTGCACTCCAGCCTGGGCGACAGAGCAAGACTCCATCTCAAAAATAAATAAATAAATAAATAGAAAATGCCTTTTCTTTTGCAACTTTGTACATTTATATGAATCCCCTCTCCCCATGTAATTAAAGACGTTTCATTCTGTTTCCTCCATTGTGTAGAAATTCAGGAAAAATATAAACAGACATGGTAGACTCTAAAATTTATTTCAACAGGAAAAGCTTCCTCTCTCTAAGTTTCTAGTCCCTTTTTTCTGTTATGCCTGGACTATGCTTTCGTCACTTTGACACCAGTGTGATTTGCAACTGAAAAGCACGAGGAACAGTTCTCAACTTGGTACTTGGCTCAGCTTGGTTATAAGGAAAAATGAAAAATAATCTAGGTAGAAAAGTATTTTTAGACCTTTCTTCTTAAAAATAGTACTCATCACAATAATAGCAATCTGAATGCACACCTACCACAAACTTGGCACTGTGCTGGCCGAATTAAATAGTTGTTACAATGAGCAGGTGCTCACCTGTAGTCTTAGCTACTCAGGAGGCTGAGGTGTGAGGTTCACTTGAGCCCAGAAAATCAAGGCTGCAGTGAGCCAAGGTCATGCCACTGCACTCCATTTTTGGTGACAGGGCAAGAACCCATCTCAAAAAAATAAAAAAAATTTGTCACATCTAATTCTCACAATGATTTTGGTTCCTCATTCCTTAATCATAAATTGAGATTTGGAGAAGTTAAGATGTTACCAAGGTCACATGCTAAGATAGGGATCTAGCTGGGATTCAAACTCAAGCTTGTCTGTTCCTCAAGTTTGTTTTTTTTTTTACTGTGAACATACATCAAACTTCCTGAAATCTCTACAAAGACATGTGCTGCTCAGTGAGCCACGAGACAAGGGGGAACCCTACGCCGTCTACCAGAACGGCAAATTCCTAAGTCACATGCAGTGAGAGAATTTGAGTATCAGGAATTCCAGCTGGAAGAATGGCCAACCAGATGAGTTGAAGCCTCAGGGAACCCGCATGAGAATTTGGACGTTTTCTCATATTTTAACGAGAAACAGCAGAATTTCACACACACAAAAATACCATTTGACACATGCAAGAAACTTGTCATTGGGTCAAAAATTCTCCCCTGGGATCTTCAGGCATCTGTTTTCCAGCATCCCCTGCAGGTCAAAAACTGTTTTCCCTTCTGGTTCTTAAATCTACAAGACCGTCTCAGAGCTACATCTAGCAGCCGCCTCTTTCCAAATGGAACACTAAACATATTTTCTCTCTTGTTGTCTCGTCTTGCAGTCAGTCTTCTTCTATTGCTAGCTTGAGGGGTTATCTCTTTTTAGTCACAGCACAAGGGATACATTTTTGTAGCCTTTTCATGGAGTCATGTTCCATGTTTTCTCTTTTATCCAAGCAAGTCTGACTAATGGAATTGTAATGCACAAAGCCAGCTTGCCATCCTCAAGCAATGTTTCATGGCACATGAGCCTATGTAATGGCTAGAAAATATCCTCCCAAGCCTGAGACATGATGGTTTTGTGACTAGGCTTAATTGGATAGAAAAAAACACTGGAATAATTTCTTGATGCCACTTCTCTCAAGGTTCCCCAGCCTTGGCACTGTTGAAATTTTGGGCTGAAAAATTTCTTGTTGTGGACGCTGTCCTGTGCATTGTAGGATGTTTAGCTGCACCCCTGGCCTTTAACCACAGAATGTTAGTAGCACCCCAGGTGGGACAACGAAAAATATTTCCGGACGTTCTCAAATGTCCCCTGGAGGGCAAAATCACCCCTGGTTGAAAATCACTGTTCTCTTGTCTCTTTCCCTCTCTGCACAACCACCCTTACACACACATGTACAACAGCACTTTGAAGGGGCAGTTTTCTTACTAAAATTATCATTTGTATAGATGGTATGTATATGCTTTCTGACTATAGAAGAAATTCTTCTATTAATGCCTCTGAAATATACTGCTAACGGTTTCTTTAAAGACAAAACTTGGGATTGTGTAAATTCTTAGGTCTGTGCAATAACTTGAAACTGTTCAGGAGCTGAACCAGCTCCAAAGCCTGACACACCTGCCCTGGAACTTGCAGATGGAAAGCTGGGAGGAGGGGAAATAATCTCAACTTTATAAAAATGAAAGCCTAGGAATAAATTGCTTTTAGCTCTCGAACAATTCTAGCTTCTGGATTTCAATTCAAGGCAATAATAAATGCTTCTTTCAATTGCTCTCCACTTCAAGTAATAGTGCAAGGTCAGAACAATAGCAGGGAGGTCCTGTGTGCAGAGAGGCAGTTTACAGATTAGTTGTACTGATGCCAAACAAGAAGGGTCCAGCTCCACTTGGGGATTGGTGTAAATGGAAGTCCTCTTCACTCTTTGGGTTGGAATTTTTTTTTTTTAACATATCAATGCAAATTACCTGTTTCATCTGTGTAGCTTTCCCAGAGGACGCTGAATTTCAGGTCCATCATGTATACTAACCCACCAAACTTCAAGTAGAGGTCCTCAGGGCCTCTATGGGCCTTCATAGTCAGAGGCCTCAGGGCCTTTGACTATGAAAAAAAGGTCTGTTTCTTGGATTCAAGTGGCTTACACATCATTTTAGGAGACAAAATCCTGATATACTACATCCCCTGAAGACTTCCTTTATTCTTACTGAGAAGTTAATTTCTTCCTCCTCATGGTAACTCAGTATCAAATCGCGTTCTAGTTTGCTATTTTCCCACTCTATTGTCACATAATTATTTACCTATCTATTTCTCTGCAAAGTCTAGGATGAGAATGTATTCAAATTTATATTCTCAGTGTCTTGCAAAGGTCTTGGCATAGAGCTAGTGGACCTCTCTGCTGCATTTAATGATAGGGAACAATAAAGCCTTTCTGAAATTCTTTACTTCTTGGAGTCCATGTCCCTTCTTATTTCCTCTCTAATTATTCTTTCATTTTTTTTCTTTGTTTCCTTGGTCATTCCTATCTTGTAAAACTCTTTCTTTTTTTTTTTTTTTCAAAAGAGTTAGAGACTCACCCTGTTGCCCAGCCTGGAATATAGTGGATCAATCATAGCTTACTGCAGCCTCAAACTCCTGGGCTCAAGTGATCTTCCTGCCTCAGCCTCCCAAGTAGCTGGGACTACAAATGTGCACCATGATATCTTTCTTTCTTTTTTGTAGAGACAAGGTTTGGCTGTGTTGCTCAGGCTGGTCATGGATTCCTGGCCTCAAGTGATCCTCCTGCCTCTGCTTCCCAAAGTGCTTATAGGCATGAGCCACCACACCCAGCCTATAAAACTCTTAAACACCAGTGTTCCCTAGAGATTCTCCATTTTGCTTATTCTGCATCATTTCCCTAAATGATCTACTCTATTCTCTTTGGTTTAATTGTAGAGATTGTTGATTCTCAAATCTATTGCCCTCCATTCATCCTGACGTCTTTCCCAAACTTTAGGTTTGTGAAGGTTTGCTGGCTATATCCACCTAGAATCTCAAAGGAAATTTCAACTCATCACAGTAAAAACTTGATGGATCATGGTATCTTCCTCTATCACAGTTAAATCTCTTCCTTTATTATTCTAAATCTCAGTGTTCCAATCATCTTTCTAATCAGTCAGTCAAAAACATGGAAGTCATCACTAATTTTCCCTTCACCCTCCCTATCTCCCATACTAGATCCTATTCATTCTGTTGCCAGAAAATGGTCTGGATCCAGACCCCAAGAGAGGGTTCTTGGACCTCGCACAAGAAAGATTCAGGGCGAGTCCATAGAGTAAAGTGAAAGCAAGTTTATTAGAGAAGTAAAGAAACAAAAGAATGGCTATTCCATAGACAGAGCAGCCCCAAGGGCTGCTGGTTGGCTATATTTATGGTTATTTCTTGATCATAGGCTAAATAAGAAGTGGATTATTCATGAGTTTTCTGGGAAAAGGGAGGGCATTTCCTGGAACTAAGGGTTCCTCCCCATTTTAGACATACAGGGTAACTTCCCCATGTTTTCATGGCATTTGTAAACTGTCGTGGCACTGGCGGGAGTGTCTTTCAGCATGTGAATGGTTTAATATTAACATACAATGAGCAGTGAGGACAAACAGAGGTCACTTTCTTTGCCATCTTGGTTTTGGTGGGTTTTGGCTGACTTCTTTACCTCATCCTGCTTATCATCAGGGGCTTTGTGACCTGTGTTTTGTGCCACCCTTCTATATATCTCGTCCTGTGACTAAAACTGCCTAACCTCCTGGGAATGCCTCTGTTTAAGATGGAGCTGCTGTGGTTTGAGTGCCTCTGACAATTCTAATTGTATTTTAACTGTAACTAATTACCATAGGTTAGAAAGGGTAGCAGGGAGGTAAGATAAAGTGGGGGTGGTTAATGCGGTTGGGGGTCATGTTTTAAAAACTATCACACAGTTATTCCCTTAAGCTATGTACTCTATGAAATATAACAGCTGTTTCTTACAAATATTTATTAACCCATATACTCTTTTACAAATCTGTACCTTAACTCATTGTGTTTTCTTCACTAGAATGTGTTTTCTATTCTGATTCACCTGATTAATAGAGGACAAGGACCAGGTCTTCTTCTTCCTTATACACTCAGTAAAATTTAATAAATGGCAAAAGTCAATCATGACTTTAAATTTCTTGATAGCTGAGTATTTAGGACTTTGTTCACATTTCTGAGGTATTATTTTTATAGTAGGTAGGTAGTCAGGCATGAGCAGGGCAGGAGAGGGCTCCCCCCACCCCACCAGGAATGTCAGGTGACCATCAGTGAGTAGATGAATGGATGAACGAATAAAATATTTCGTTGTGATGAAGCAGCATCGTTGGTCTGGGGTAAATATCCAAGGTTCGTCGTCTCATGCCAAGGAAATCTAGTATGTGGACACACAAGAAATGGTTTTAGAAGTGGAGGTTTAATAGGCAAAAGAAAAAGGAGAACAGCTCTCTCCTAGGGGAGAGAGGGGTGCCCAAGTGAGACTTCTGGTCCCATGGTGAAGTGCACGGGGTTTTATAGACTGGCTTGAGGAGCTGCTGTCTGATTTACACAGGGCCCAAAGATTGGTTGGACCAGGCATGACGTTTACATAACACGGGAGGAAGCTGGCCACTCCACCCAATCTATTATGCAGATAGGGTCTTTGCCTGGCCAGGGTCATGTTGGCTGCTCCTTACTGTTTTACAAAGAAAAAGGAAGATGGAGCCACAATTTTGAGCATGGCTAGTCTCCAGGTAGCCCCTGACCTATTGGCACAGCTGTTGGCATTCACCCGTGCAAGCTTCTAGCTTGCCTTTCTATGTCTGCAGCTTGATTTTACAGGCTGCTCTTAGAAAAGAAAATGATTTGGGGGCTGCTTTTCATTAAAAGGAAAACCTTACCAAGGACCTCCTTGCCCTCACTATCTGCCTAAATAATTTCTTTTTAACTCTTGTATCAGTTACACAGTCTCTATAAAATGATAATTGGTTGCAGCTAGTGCCAGGGAAAGGCAGTCTCCTAATGGATGGAAATATCTGAAACTGGTGATCAGCGCTTCCTGATAAGATCTCAGGAGCTGCATGAGTGGACTCAAGCATGCAAATTAAGAGGCAAAATTGTGGAGTTTAACTGGTTTATCACCTTCCAGGGATATTTGGTAAGGAAACAACACCAGGTGAGCATGAGTACAACTCCAGTAAATACAGTGCACTTGCTCACCTCCCAGGTGCTAGCAGGCCATTGCGCATGCAGATAGCCTACCCCAAGGGAGAAGGGATGCAAAACTCTAGAAGTGTACTAATGTATAAAACCCAAGTCAAAAGGTCAAACAGTGCACTTGATCTCTCAAGTCGCCCGCTTGGCTCTCTTCCAAGTGTACTTTACTTCCTTTCATTCCTGCTGTAAAGCTTTTTAATAAACTTTCACTACTGCTCTACATCTTGCCTCAGTCTCTCACTCTGCCTTATGGCCCTCGTAAGAAAGAAAGTCAAATTCTTTCTTCTGAGGAGGCAAGAATTGAGGTTGCTGCAGACCCATATGGATTCGCTGCCGGTAACATTATGCTGAACATATTTCTAAAACATGTTGGTCCAGAGACTATTACTATATGGTATGCAAGCAGCCACTGTTCCTTCCTCTGCCCATGTAGATATTGTTAACTGTTCAGGACACTCTACCTACGTGGTTTGCACTTGACCTCACAATATTTTTTATTTTTTTCAAAGTCCAGTTTCCAGGCTTACAGAATATTTTTCAACACAAACTTCAGAAAGGTATTTCCGTGTGTTGAATCACACACTTTCTTGTTTTTATTGAAAAATTAATTTCTGGATGATTTGATTTTTATATCGATTGATGTACTTCTCTTTAATGTGTTACTGAAATAAATAGAGTTGGTAGGCAATACAAAGAAGGAAGCTGTAATTAATTGGATACTTACTACATGCCACACCATTTGCCAATATCACATTCTATAATTCTATGAACAGCTATCTCAGGTAAGTGATGCCTCCAAGATACAGATGAACTACCTGGAATTCAGAGGGTTTAAATCATCTGCCCAAGGTCATGCAGCTGGTAAACGTGGTGCATCCAGGAGGTAAACACAAGCAGTTCTATTTCCAGAGTTCCTTCTTTTGCATTTCTCTGGAACACCAACTGACTCAGTCGCTGTGCCTCTGTATAAAACACCCATCTCCCTTGCCTCTCACTTGATTGCTGGACACTGGTGCTTTCATCACGGTGTGTTAGCAAGAGTGAGAGTATTAAGAAGCAAGTAGTCCCTTGTCTATTCATCTACTTCCTCCTCTGGATTAGCCTGAATAAGAATTAATTTTCTAATTTTCTCAGAGGCAAAGCTAACAAACAATGAATAGAGTGGAAGTGAGCTTCAATGCCGCCTGTCATCCTCCTGTCTAGATCCTGATAAGATAAAAGGTGAAGGGAGTTAATCATTAGTTTCTCCTCCCTTCAGGTAGTGGCCAAGAAGGAGCTGTCCTTCTGTCAGCAGCAGCAGGGACCTTGTTTAGTCTTTGTTGCCTTTGGATTCTCCAGGGGGAGAGGGTCATTGGGTTTTCCCTTCATGAAATTCACTGACTATTATCCTGACTGTTGTCAGAAGAGCCAAGAAACAATGGCTAGGCTCATCCACTATATTAAATGTAATTAGAGAATCAGGAGCTGGGCCACTCAGGCACAAATTCTTTCTTAAAAAATGTATATTTAAATAAATATGTGTTTATATATTTTATATAGACTAAGCAAATCCTTCCACTTCAAAAATAGTACTGTTGCCTAAACTCAAATTGTGCTATTATAATCAATGGCACTGAGCAGATTTATATCTAAGGCTTATGGGTTTCAATTACTTCAGGGGACAATCTGGTAACTGAAGATAGAAATTCTTACCTCAAAGTGGCATTCAGTAAGAATTTCAGGCCCTACAGGGGATGGTTCAGAGGATCCCTACCAATATACTTCCCCTCTCCAAAATATGGGGCACACATATAGTCAGTGTGTGTGTGCGTGTATGTTGCTTCAGCGACAAAATATTAAAGATGCAGGCATTGTATATTCAGGCACTCTCAGCTGTGATCGTAGAGCATTATATACAAATATTTAAACAGCGCATTTAACTTACTGAATTGTTACGCTCTGCGTATAACTCCTCATTTTCTAGTTTCTAAACTTTTAGAGCACTTTAGTAGTCGTAGAAGTGGCAGTAATAATAATAAAATAATAATGATAGTAAGGAGAAGATCTAACTTACTGGTTCTACTATTAGCACCGTAACTACTATTATTAAGAACTACCTTGATAAGGGGCAATGTTGCATGTACAGCCTCATCTATGTAGTTATTCATTTATTTCATCCTTATGATTGATCCTTCAACATTGGTACTTTATTATTCCAGCAGTTGAGGAAATTACAAGAATAATGGTGATTCTAATAAACAGAAATGTGGATGGGCATAGAAGAGTAAGAAATTGATAGCCCTCCAGTTAAAAACACCCAAAACTAATTAGTGGTACACATAAGCCAAGAATTGAGAAGACCA
This sequence comes from Homo sapiens, assembly GCF_000001405.40. Taxonomy (NCBI): domain Eukaryota; kingdom Metazoa; phylum Chordata; class Mammalia; order Primates; family Hominidae; genus Homo; species Homo sapiens. Next base: position 59,155,566 of record NC_000016.10, read on the forward strand.
AGTCTAAAGCCAGGAGGTGTAAATAAAGAAGCAACATGTGTAGCTGAAAGAGTATGCTCATTAGAGTCAGAAAAGTATGGTTTTAAATTTTCTTTTGAAGGTCAAGAGTAAAACCAATCTGCAAAAGAGGATAAAATTGGAGCTAACTTGGAAAATTGTTGCAAGAATTAGAATGCCTGTCATTCTAGCTGTTACCAATGATTAGTGGGATAAGAATTTTTGTAAATTGTTTCTAGGAGTGAAGATGTAAGAGAACATAAGGGTTAAGGGTTCAGTTGTAAGGACTCTCCATTCTTGGGATGGGAGAAAGAAGAGGAGACTAAAGATGGGAACTGATGAAAGAAAAACCTCAGCTGAATTAAATTTAAAGGAGTTTAATTGAGCAATGAATGATTTGTGAATCGGACAGCCCCAGAATCACAGCAGATTCACAGAGAGTCTAGCGCAGCCACGTGGTGGAAGAAGATTTATAGACAAAAAAAAGGAAATGACGTACAGCAATTGGTAGTGAGGAATAGAAATGGCGGGATTAGTTACAGGTTGGCGTTTGCCTTATTTGAACACAGTTTGAACACTTACAGTCTATGAGTGGTTGAAGTATGGCTGCTGGGATTGGCCAAGACAGTTATTGTTACAGGTGCATACTCCTGAGTTAGGTTTTCAATCTTGTCTGACTATTAAGCTAGGTTATAGTTCATCCACAAGGACTTAAATATAGAAGTACAGAGTCCTTAGGCCATATTTAGTTTGCTTTAACAGAACTAAAGAATGATTAAAGAGGCAGGAAGAAAAGCATAACAGGGATCTGTTACGGAAGCCTAACCCTTTGATCAAGGGTAACAAGGTTGGGGAAGATACAGGCCAACCACCTTGTTAAGAATGAAGTCGTCTCTGACAGGCAGGACCATTCTCATAGGACTGGAACTTTAAACACAAACATGAAAAAATTATTTTGTGCTTATTTCCCACAAATCCAGTGAGATAAAAGTCCAGGCTCCCTAGGAACCAGCAACTTTAATTGCAGTGAGAAGTCGCATAGGGAGTAAATGGCCAAGGCAGAATTTGGGCCCAGATTTTCCTGGATCCAGGTCCACAGGAGTCAATACTTCCAAAGCCAGGGGCCAGTGGGGAGAGATGTGAAATGATGATTTTTTTTCCTTTTTCTTCAGTAGTTATGAATAGCAACTGAGATCAGCAGCCATTATGTAACTAACAGTTTGATAAACTCTTCGTTAGAACCTTAGGCATCTTTAAAAAGGCATAGATTTAACTGGGAAGAGGTGCCACAGATCAATACATTGACACGTCTTATAATTCCTGGGTCCTCCTCTGCCTCAGTGAACTCAAGTTCAGGAAATACTTGCTCGTGTATCACAATGACATAACCATAGCCTGACAATGTAAGGAGTATGACCATGACATGTTTTCAGTACCTTTTAAAATGAAATGCAAGTGAACTGGCCTTTTTTTGTTCCTCAACAGTGGTTATGTAAAACAAATATTTATGATAATTTTTAAAAGTTTGTTTCAGTGCAAAAATAAAGCAATTTATAAGACAAAAGAGACAAATGGCTAAATTAAGAGAGTTGAATGATTAAAATGCACCCACACACACGGTAAAAAACGTAGTTAAATTGCACACACTGAAACCACAATAAAAGAGGATCATTTTATTGTCAAACAAGTAAACCTCTCCTTAAGTGTACTTTTTCTATATAAGCAAAATTATAGTCTTACTGGGTCTTGTTTTTAAATTTTTTTAAATTGGCAAAAATTATACATATTTATTTATGGCATACAATATGATATTTTGATATATGTATACATTGTGGAATGCTAAATTAAGCTAATTAACATATATATTACCTCACATACTTGTCATTGTCTTTTTGTGGTGAGAACACTTAAAATCTACTCTTTTAGCAATTTTAAAATATACAGTATATTGTTATTCACTGTAGTCACCATGATGTACAATAGATCTCTTAAATTTATTCCTCCTGTCTAACTGCAATTTTGTATCTTTTGATGAGGTCCTTTTTTTTTTTTTTTACCCTCAGAAAAATATGTTGCCAGATTCGATCTTTATCATCAGCTTGCAGAGTCCTCAAGAGTGTTTGGCTAGTTTTGTTTATAAAAATGTCCCATGAGACATTTGCAGGTCTATTTTTCATTTAAATTGGGTGGGCAAGCAGGTAAAAGAAGTTCCTAAAGACATGAACTTCTATAGCTCAATGAATAATAACCACAATTAACATTTATTGAGCATTTACTAAGTGTCAGAGACTGTGTTAATGCCTTAAATGGATTGTCTACTTCAATTAACTCTATGAGTTAAATATGAGAAAATGGAAATGTAGAGAGATTAATTTCCCAGAATCAAATAATTTGGAAATGGGTAGGCTGATTTAAAGCAAGTAGATCTGGCTGGGCACAGTGGTTCATGCCTGTAATCCCAGCAGTTTGGGATGCTGAGGCAGGTGGATCACCTGAGGTCAGGAGTTCGAGACCAGCCTGGCCAACATGGTGAAAGCTCATCTCTACTAAAAATACAAAAATTAGCTGGACATGGTGGTGGGCACTTGTAGTCCCAGCTACTGTGGAGGCTGAGGCAGGAGAATCACTTGAATCTGAGAGACGGAGGTTACAGTGAGCTGAGATCGCGCCATTGCACTCCAGGCTGGGTGACACAAAGAGACTGCATTAAAAAAAAAAAAAAAAAGCAAGTAAATCCTATACTCCTAACCAAGGATTACATTCTTCATTTTCTTGTCAATTTGAAGAAAAAAATTCCACCCACTGTTTGCTAGACCAGTGCAAATTTAACATTGACAAAAATCCATTATCTCTAAAATTAGTGCCTATGACAGTCTTCCTGATTGATAGATCTGAATTTTCCAGCATGAAAAATATTTTTAATGAGCTCATGTTATCAATAGCAGACAGCTTGGTAACAAGATTTTTATTACTATTAACAATAACAATGACATTAAAGGATAAGATAGTAACTCCTAACAGGTACTGAGCATTTACATATACCAGGAGTGGTAATAAGAAAAATACCTTTGCTGTTGCTTTTTCATTGACCATTGGTGATTCTAATAAGTCCAAGTGCTTAGTATGATGCCTGCTCCTCTTCTGTCCCTGTCATACCACGTTGCCCAAAGGGAAGATACATGACTGAAGCTGAGCTAATCAACTTTCCCCTGCTGCGAATGTGAATCTTGAGCATAAAGACAGAAGGCAATTGGAGATGCATTATTCAAAACAACTCTAGAGATGGTCTATGAGTTCCCATGTCTTAGATCCCCAGAACTATTCTACTTCTGACTTTCCTGTGTTGATTATTTAACTATTTCTTAGAGTCTGTAAATTTCCCCAAACCCTTCCAGTACGTTTGTGTCTGTTTTATTTTGTATTGTTTTCTTGTTATCACAGTGCTGTGATAGATTCCAATTTATGATATTCAGCATAGTCCTCTCTGTCCTCAATTTGCCTCTACAAACTTCTGCTTTGTGGTACATATCATCATGATGATCAAATCCTTATTTATGTGGATATTTGCTGAATATCAGGCTTATTTGGTCGCAAGTGAATGAATACAATTCTGGCTTAGAGTACTTGTGGTTGGAATTGTGATCTCAGGGTTCAAAAGACAAAAGTAAAGCTCACAAAAGTTAAATGGACAGACAGACCTGGATATAGTAGATCCTAATGCCAAAATTGTTATCTCATGTCCAGAACAGTGAAAGTTTTCTGATAAAGTTTCTGATTCTACTCTACTTACATGCCAAAAAGTTAGCCTGCCACAGTATCATTGTTACTGGCTGAAGACATGCAATGTGTGGTCAGAGACAAGGGACAGCAGAAGCAATATCAAAGCTTCATGTTCATTTGTGTTAGCTCCCTTTGTACCCGGCCAAGTCTAAGGGGGTGACTCAAAGGGCCCATGGTAAATTCCTGCACACATAGTGAGGTGCATTACAGGAAAGAAAGTCTGAGTGGTGGGATTTACCACTTTCATAATAAATGGAAGAAAGGCTGTGCTTTGTTGGCAGGGGTGAGGGTGACGGGGTAGAGTGGGACAGGGAGAGGTTACCTCATCTCTCAAAGTAGTTTCTGCAAACATAGCCCTGAAAAAATGGTCCAGAAAAATAAAGGTCAGGGTTTTGCATTCATAGCAGATGCTGCAAGAATGTGCAAGGATGCTCAAAGTCCATGGCTGGTAGCCTCTCCCAATACTTAACGGTGATCTATCGCTTTTCATGTATTAAGGTGGAGGTGTTAGTATTCCAATACATTGTAAAATAAATCTCCTACTCCTCTTCTGCCTGCACCCCACTCCTGCTTGTCCAAATCAAATGAGACAGGCTCAATTAATAGGGGCACTAGCTTTGCTTGGGAATATTTCAGAACCTTTTCAGGACACTTAAGAGCAGGCATAGATTTGGTGGAGCATTCAGGAAGCACAAATATAGAGAGACTGTGAAATTATATCTGATTTGATATCGTTGCTGACATTTTGTGTTTTGATGCCTTGGACAGAAACAACACAGGATCCGAAATCAAGTAATGTATGTGTACACATCGTTGTACACACATTGAAAAATAAAAGCATAATCGATATTAATGGGTATTTTATTTCTAGATATTTATTAAGCATCTCTCTTTGTCCAGGTACTCTGTTAGATGCTAGGAATGCAGGGGGAAACAAAATAGATTTGACTTCTGTGCTCAAGGGTCTTGCTATCCAGTGATATTTATAGGGAAAAACTAACTCGTAGGAGACTTTACCAGTTTGTGTGCAGCACTTTACAAGACAAGTGCGTTCGTATTCATTATTTCATGCGATCCTAAAAATAATGTAGAGATGTCAGTATTATAAACAATAGTAGCCTACAAATAAGGAAAGTAAGGCCTAGACAAATTAAGTGATTTGCCAAAGACTGCACTGCTGGCGTGTGACTGAGCTAACACTCACAAAATACTTCTGATGGATTTCATTTTTTTCATTCAACAAATATTTATTGACATCTATGTGCTCGGCATGTGCTATGTACTGAGTATTCACAGGTGATTGGTATCTGAGGCCCTTATATCTCAGCTCTATCAGCTATTAGCTATGTGATCTCAGGGCTGCATTAAGGCCTGGGGCAAGGGTGTGTTAGAGGCTTTACCCGCCAAAGCAGAACTCACTTTGGGGAGTGACTTTCCATGTTGCTCAGTCCATGTGGAATGCTTTTTTTTCTCTTTTTCACCTGGCAAATTCTCTATCCTTCAGATTCCAGTTCATGATATTCAACATAGCCTTCTCTGTCCTCAATTTGCCTCTATAAACTTCTGCTTTGTGGTACATATCATCATTATGATCAAATCCTTATTTATGTGGATATTTGCTGGATATAAAAATTTCTAATTAGACTGGACATTCCAACGGCGGGGGAGGACTGGGGCTACTTTAGTTGTCCATGTTTTATTTGACATGTAGCAAAGTTTCTGGCACTCAAGTATTTGTTTGAATGAACAAATGCATGACTTCTAAAAGTACCCCAAATACAGTTTAGAATAGTTATTACTTTATTTTTATTTCTTGAGATAGGGTCTCACTGTGTCACCCAGGATGGAGTGCAGTGATGTGATCAGGGCTTGCTGCAGCCTCGACCTCCCGGACTCAGTTGATCCTCCTACTTCAGCCAAGTAGCGGACTACAATTGTGCGCCACCATGCCTGGCTAATTTTGGTATTTTTTGTAGAGACGGGTTCCGCCATGTTGCCCAGGCTGGTCTTGAACTCCTGGGTTCAAGTGATCCTCCCGCCTTGGCCTCCCAAAGTGCTGGGATTACAGGCATGAGCCACCACAGCCAGCAATAGAGTAGTTATATAATTTGGCATTGTAATAGGTTTTCTTAAGTCCATTTTTCAGAAGAGGAAAACTAGACTCACAGAACTTCACAGAGTTCCCTGAGGTCACACAGCTCACAGTTGGCTGAGCTGGGATTAGAACCCAGGTCAACACAGCACTCGAGCCAGTGTTCCTAACAACCACAACAAAGGTTTATTGTGTCCTCAAGGAAAGCATTTTGCTCCAAGCAACATTTTTTCTTTGTATGCCACAAGCAACTTGCGTGGACCTAGATTGTCTCTTTCACAGATCCCTAGCTTCATCTCCAGCTTTATATGTTCTTTCCTCCTGTTTTCAGCTAAAAGCCGAAGCAGCACACAGCAGGAATTGACCAGAAAGGAGAGCTGGCAGGGGAAGAATCTGTAATTAAGCAAACAAGCAACAGCAGACAGTATCCATGGGCAGCACCACCTGGACTGTCCTTCCAGCCAATGCAAATGTGACCTTCCAGAGGCCTGGGCAGGAGGGTGTTAGAGGCTTTAGCTGCCACAGCAGAAATCACTTGGGGGAGAAGTGAGGAGCACTGGAGAGAGATGACTTTGTTACCTGGACCGTTGTTCCCTGGGTAGAGACTGCAGGCCTGGTCTTCAAAGGCTTGCTGCTGTTTTGTGTGTTCAGAAGCAATTTAGAAAATGCTGTCATGTCAACTTTATTTCCTCGCTCTCTAGGGGTAACTCAGTGGTTGCCCAAAAATAATCCCCTATGAGGCTGAAACTTACTGTAAGGTGTTCACTTCACTGGGCTTAACTTCAAATGTACAGGAGCCAGAATTTTTAATGAACTTTATTTTATAAAGCCTATTGATTTTTTTTCTAATTATAAAAGAAATGCACACTCATGCTAAAAAAACCTTGAAATTTTAGACAAGTATCAAGCAAATAAAAAATCATCTGTAATGCAGGTTTTGTCTTATAGTCACTGCATAATTTACTCTGAGTTTCTCAAGAAATATGCTCCAGTCTCTCTGTGTTTATACTAAAATGTATTTAGGGGCGTGAGTATTTGAAGCATTAGGCATCTTGTGAGGCATCAGCACCCTAAAACTAACACATTGTTGCTTTTTGTCTTTTTTTAATGCCAATACATAAAGCAAAATTTTGGTGAATTTAAGTGCTGTGAATACTCTTCCCACAGTTCGTGAGTTCCTAAGACAGGGTTTCAGACTTACTTGATTTTTTATTTTATTTTATTTTTGAGACAAGTTCTCATTCTGTTGCCTAGGTTGGAGTGCAATGGCACAATTGTGGCTCACTGCAGCCTCAACCTCCCAGGTTCAATCGATCTTCCCACCTCAGCCTCCCACGTAGCTGGGACTACAAGTGCGTACTACTGTGCCCAGCTCATTTAAAATTTTTTTGGACAGACATCGTCTTGCTTTGTTGCTCAGGTTGCTCTCAAACTCCTGGGCTCAAACAGTACTCCTGCCCTAGCCTCCCAAAGTGCTGGGATTACAGGCGGGAGCCACTACACTCAGCCAGATTTACTTGGATTTTGCTCTCTCCTGGACTTACCAAATCCTTTCTAGGACTTAGTCCATAGTTACACCCCTCAAATAACTGTAAAACCAACTCTCTGTAAGAATGATATTTACCGGGAGGCAAGATCTACTGCTCAACCTGCAAGTGCTCAGAAAAGAATGACACAGTGAAAGAAAGAGCTGATGAATGAGTGAATAGATGGATGGAAATAAATTCTGTTGGGATCTTTAGAAGCTGTACCTTAACTTTTTTTTTTTTTCTTCACAATTTACTAAATGGGTATGGAGTGCTTTCATAGTGGTTCTCAACTTGGGTGGGGGCTGATTTGCCTCTCAGGGGACCTTTTGGAATATGACATTGGACATTTTTGATGTCACAACTAGGGGGTGGGTGTGCCCTTTACCTAGTGAATAAAGACCAGGGATGCTATTAAACATTCTGCAATACATGGGGCATCCCCCCACAACAAAGAATTATCAAACTGCCAATTACTAAAATGTTAATAGAGCCTAGGCTGAGAAACCCTGGTGTAGCACAAAGGTGGGTACATTTCACTGATTTTGTAGGGAGGAGTAGGGAACTAGACGACTATCACACTGAGCAGAGTGGATACCTACAGGTCAAACACGAAGGATTCCTGTGCAGATAAATAAGACCATAAAAGTGATGATAAAACAACGCCATCTCTTCTATTAAGAAAAGAAATCATCTTTTTTTCTTGGCACAGATGGTCTTAGGCCTGTAAATCTGCCATTCTTTCAGTAATCACATGAAGAAAAGGGATGATTTAAAGCAGTTATAAGGTTTATCTTGCAGAAGGAAAGTGTGGGTGTGTGAAGAAGAATAGTAAACATAAATTCTGTTTTACATCTGAGAAGCAAAGCCATTTAGACTATTACACAGCTTCCATCTGAGCTATGGCTGAAAGGGAGGTGTAAGATATGGTCAATGATTTTAAATGATTGATGAGGATTTCTGTAAAAGGAATACAAAGGCCTGGGTAAAGCCAGGACTTTCTGATGTGCCATAATAGAATTTTATACTGTTTTTCCCACAGTCAAAGTTCAGTAGTATAGATAAATTGTTACCTTGTATTAGTACTTTCTAGGCTGCCTGTCAGAATGCTTTATTCAAAGAGACAGATTTATATTTCACAAGGAAATGATTTCTAAAGCTCTTACAGTTAATAATTTTTCATCTAGAGAAAAGGCAGATTCAGCCATTCCACCCAGAGATTGGGAGATTAGCCCAGAATGAGCTCAGTACATGAAATACTTTTTTTTTGATATTTAAATCGGGAATCATATCTTAATGTTGTGAAAGAGAGCACAGAAAAATGACTGCTTTTTTATTACATAAAAATTCTACTTATGTCTTCCTTTGGTTTTTTTATGGCCCTTAAGTCAGATGATTGAGAGTATCCCTAATAATGCATGTTACCCAAGCATTTACCTATTGATACAACATACTTTATCGGCAAATATTTGCAGGGTATCCAATCAAAGTCATTTCTAGGGAGAAAAACTCATAAATAGGAAGAAATAATATACTGTTTTCCTGAAACAACCTTTTTCTTCCTTTTCTCTTTCTCTTCATTAAACAATTCTTTTATTTCTACAACTGTTATGAGGCACCTACAGTATTCTGGTACTGAGCTATTAATAGAGTCAGAGAACAAACAAAAATCATTCTGGTTCCTGGTGCCATGCACTGTCCAGGGTGCTGAATGGATGGAGTCAGCAAGCTCAGGTGGAATAATTTGTGTATAGAGAAGAATGGTTTATCGGAAAAAATCAACCAAACAAACAAAAACTGGATCAGAAACTGCGGACCCTTGTTTTTATCCAGTATCATGGCCCATCACTTCTGTGGCTTTGACTAAATTATTTAAACATTCCTATATAATTCTTTTCCAAATGGAAAGTTAAAGTCCTACCGAAGTGAGATTCATTGTTTGATAAAAGGGTAGGCTCTGATAAACACTTAATGCAATTCGCTTTAATAAGAATTCATAGAGCAACTACACTGAACTAAGCACACGTGGGATAGAAGTTAGAACTGAGATACAATAAGGAATGAGTCCTTGCCATCGGAGAATTAGCAACTAGAAAAATAAATATATGAACTCATATTTGACTGTCAAGCTAAAAGAAACATGTTCTCACAACACATGATGTAACAGAAGAAAACTGTATATCCAATTTGGTAGTGAACGTATATATTCCCATGTGTTCTATGCACATATACAGAGGCTAAGCTATTTAGATGACCCTGAGTGGAATATCTTCCACTTGTCTTCTCGTATCCACTTCCTACCCTTTTCCTCTTTGTCTTGTGCCATGAGAGGCTGACCTGTGTAGGCTACGTCCATAGGAAGAAAGAGAGTGGTGAGTGAGGTCTGGGTATTTAATCCCTTAGACGCTCACTGCACCTTGCTGCAGGCTTGCTCTCTCTTTTGGCTGAAGTTTTCAGCGGCCACAGGATGGACCTCTGCACACAGTCCTGCCCAATTTGTGCAAACTGTCCTCTCCTCTTACTCCATCAGCCCTAGGGATGGAAATAGAGCATCAGGGTACTGTAATATCTTCCATGAGTCCTACTGTAACACCTTCCATGGGTTTTATACCCTCTTTATCATGTTTTAAAAGAGGCCCTTTGTTAAACTCTCCTCAAATCATCCTAATTTCAAAGTGCCACATGTTTTCAGGTGGGATCCTACTTTTATAGACTTCATGTCACCTTATAGTAGTACCACGTTACCATTTATTGGACACTTGCTATATACTGGCCAATAAAAGTGTTATGCAAATGTTCTCTTCTAATATTTTAAGAAGAAATAGAGAGTCACCAACTTTATTGGACACCTGCTATATACTGGCCAATAAAAGTGCTATGCAAATTTTCTCTTTTAATATTCTAATAAGAAATAGAGAGTCACTAACTTTCTTTTTACCTACCTGGAATCAAAGAACAAAATATGGCCATTAAAAGAGGCCATCTGGGGCTAGGCACAGTGGCTCAGTCCTGTGATTACAGCACTTTGAGAAGCAGAGGTGGGCAGATCAGTTGAGGCCAGGAGTTTGAGGGAAATAATAATTTCCTTATTAGAGTCTATGTAATTTTACCAAGATCGTCAAAGTCCTTAGTAAATTTCTGCTTACAATAGAAATGATGTCACATTATAAGTCCCCAAATTCTAGAGCAATGGAGAGTGAGGTTTGGGAGGTAGGCAGGCACCTCATTATGATAAAGGCGATGATAATAACCTTGTCATTTGGGGGATTTTATTTTACTTTATTGCCTTAAAATTCAATGCAGAGAAGTTGTTGGCTATAGGGGAAATAAACTTAATTCAAATTTTCTGTTTTTTAAAAAGTGTATTAGTCAGTTTTCATGCTGCTAATAAAGACTTACCTGAGACTGGGTAATTTATGAAGAAAAAGGGGTTTAATGGACTCACAGTTCCACATGGCTGGAAAGACATTACAATCATAGTGGAAAGTGAAGGAGAAGGAAAGGCACATCTCACATGGTGGCAGGCAAGAGAGTGTGTGCAGTGGAAGTGCCCTTTATCAAACCATCAGCTCTTGTGAGACTTATTCACTATCACGAGAACAGCATGGGAAAAACCCACCCCCCATTATTCAATTACCTCCCACTGGGTCCCTCCCATGATACATGGGGATTGTGGGAGCTACAGTTCAAGATAAGATTTGGGTGGGAAGATAGCAAAACCGTATGAAAAATGAAAGAAAAGAGTGGACTTTAATCTTTATTTACAGGACACTGCAAGATATAAAATTCCACATAGAAATAAGAAACCCATTCAGAGGACAAGCTTCATATAGTATGTACAGTTTGAAACTGTTCAAGTATAGTTGCAGTGTAAGAAGTGCTACAGCAACAAACTACATTTAAAAAGAGTTCTTAGTAGAGAAACAGTAAGACAGACTTATATCAAACATAGTACACAACAACTTTATGCCTCAGCTACGTGATCTACAAGTTAAGGGTCCCAGGAGTCCCACCCTGCACTTGGAAGGTGCAGCCTTCAGAGGTAGTTTCTGGCACAACATTTTGATCTTCCTCTTCCTCTACAAGAAATACTTCTCAATTAAGCTTAATGAGCCTTATACACAGACTCATTTTCAAGGTTTTGTAGGGCTTCAATTTTGTCTAAACCTCCACATTCTTCAATCATTATACTAAGCTGCAGTATAATGATAACACTTATAATGATGATGATGATAGAGACTTTAAAACTTCAAATTTATACAGTATGTGCTGAGCTAAAGTGTTTTACATAGTTCATCTTTAATCTTCACAGCAAACCTATGGGTAAAGGTAGTATTGCTCTTCCCATTTTTTATATGGGGTTCCATAAACTCCATTTTGTACTTTTGCTTATGTCACCCTGTCCCACATCTTTCCACTACTCAATTTAAGTCCTACTCTTATCCAGTTCCAAATGAATTTCTGTCAGTCTTTTCCTGGAAGCTTTCTTCCAGTCCCTGGATATAACCTCCTTTAGGCTTCAATGAGTGTGTTAGGAAGGTCTTCCTGATATGTGGATTGATCATGAAACAAATTGAAATATCATCTTAGGGACATGTGCATAATATGAAGCAGTACAGGACATTGTTTGAGGGTACCAGTTTAGAATGGGACTTTTTGGATAATCTTGGGCAACTTGCTTAATTCTTCTGTGCCTCAGTTTTCTAATATACAAAATAAATGTTGTGATAGAGCTATAGCAGAGGGCCGAAGCGAAAATTAAACTAATAAATGCATGTAAATTGCTAAGATTAGAACATTGCCTAGATTTAGTAAATGCTCAATTAATATTAGCCCTATTATTGTTGTTATTATTTGTCCTTTTCTCCTAAGCTAATAGAATTCGAAAAGCTATGTTAAATAAATAAAAATGTCTACCTAAAGACATTGGGAAAAAAATAGCACATATATCTGTCAATAAGACTGTGGGTGGGAAAAGTGAAGAATGTGTGCTTAAGACTTAAAATGTCTTCTGTATCACTAAGGAAATGGGTCACTGATCTTTTCCAACTTAATAAAATTATTGCTTCATCTCCTATTGTCCATGTGGTCTTGGATAAATAACTTAAACTCACAGAGTGTAAGTTTCTTCATCAGTATAAAAGATAACCATGAGTTAGTAAATCTAGGCCTTGTATTAGGTAATGTTTTTCATTTGTTTGTAAGATACAAAAGCAACTGGATATCTGGAGCCCAAAGGGAATTTGCGTTACAGAAAACTTTGCATTTTAGGAAGGAGCCTGCAGCCCGAAGAGTTCTTGAACATCAGAAGCAGAAATTACGGGGTATCCCTTTAAGGCATCATGGTAAAAATGCCTCAGCTACAATTATTTCTGTCTCTGAGTCTCCAATAAAGTGTTATACACCAGTAGGGAAGACTGATCTAGCTGCAGATCCTTGTGCTTAGTGGCAGAGTCTTTTGTTTTAGCCCCAAAGAATACTAGAATTGGGAAAAGTCAGAACCCAAAGGTCAGGTTTATGAATAGATCTAATGCCTGACTCAGTTATAAATCTAGCATTCCTCTTTTATTGCTTTATGACCTTCAGCAAGTCACTTTTCCCTCTCCAGGGACCTCTGGGAGAAGGATGAATGCAACCAGATTAACTTTACATTTACTCCCAGCTATGAATTATTTTCAAAATATGGCCTGTAGCTTTGCTCTTGCTGGCCTGTAGCTTTGCTCTTTGCTAGATCACACGTATTCTAGTTTTAACATCTTTCTCTCTGCTTCAACAGTGATTTATGCCTGAATCTCCTGATGTCATTTTATTTGACTACTGAAAACACAACTAAAATGGCTACAATGGCTGCAGTTTAAAAATAAAAATTAAACATTACTGTATACACAAGTGGTGAGATGATTAACTAGAGGACAATCATGACTGTGTATACAGAATGGAAAAAAAATACATTCCAGGAATTAATAACGGAATGAATGAGCCTTGGCAGTTGCCACTGTCGTCTCAAGGGAAGAAAAAGCTATCATTTGTAAAGGAGGAGTTGTTAGTTGAGAAAGTCAATATTGTGGGGGTTACAGTTTTTAAATCAACTGTGCTTAACTGGCTTTTTCCAAACTATCCTAAAAGTTAGACCATCAGAATGCAGAACTGTAGTGTATCTTTTGCCCTCGACATTTGTTGAAAGTTAATGTGATAGTGAATTGAATAATGTGGAAACACCTGCTTGTAAAACCGTGGTTAAGTATATGACTTGACGCAATGTCTTCAAGAAAAGTCTGAGTCAATCACTGTGTTAATTAAAGAAGATAACAATGAAAGCCTCAGTTTCATTTGCTTTCAACATTTACTAAACAATTAACTACTTGCCAGAACTTGCCCCGTGATAACAGTGACTCCACTTTATCCGTTATCACTTTCCCTGAGTCAACCACACTGTTTGGCATCCCCATGAAAAGCACTTTCTTTCCTTTCCTTTTGGAGCCTTCCATTGTAGTAACTTTCTCCTTTTCTTTTCCTCCCTTCCTCTTGGTTCTTATAATCTCCCACATCTTCATCACATTCATTTCTTCTTTAGGTGGATTTATATGATGCTTCCTATTAAAAATTAAAGAAGAGGTGGAGATTTACATGACGAGTCAAAGTATTTGAGTCTTTTTCCCCTTTTTTAAAAAAGATAATAGCTAGAAAATATAGAACACCTATTTTTTTTTTTTTTTCCCAAAGCAGTACCTGCATTAAGTCTGGCTCTGAATGTGCTCATTCCTCCTGCTCTTTTTTGATTAAACTTGTGATGTGTTTATGTCTCACTTTATCTGTGCCTTCATCTGCAGACATTCTCATGCCCCTTTGAAGCCAGATGGGGCATAAATCTTAAATAAATAAATAAGTAAAAAATATGATAAAAGATCACTACTCGGGTGAGCTTATACCATAAAAATGAATTCCGTAAGCATATAAATATATATGTGAATTCTGAAATAAAATACCATCTGCTTTTATAGAAAAAATATCACGTTAATTTTATATCACAACATGTTATCCTGTGGAAATTCAATCCAGCAATATAAATAATGAAAATATCTAAATATGTGGAGCTGAAATGATCTTCTTGCTTCTGCCAAATTAAAAGAATTTTTTTTTTTTTTTTTTTTTTTTTTTTGCAACAATGTCACTTCACTGAGTTAGATTTTAAAGTCTGGAACTGGCAGATTTCCCCAGAGTTGCATCAGATATCAGAATCAAGGGTTATTAACATTACAAAGAGCACCACTGTCCTACAGCGTCCCCTTTATCATTTTGAGCAGCCGCCTCAAGGCAACACGTTTAACCTTGGGAAATGTGATAGAAATTCTGGGTAGTCAAAACCTGCCAGTAGATTCCCTCAGCTGGGATCTACTGTAAAGCTTTATTTAGCTGCAACACAGGAGGATGAAACCTTTCTCATTTGATGTTTATCATTTTCATTCATGGCTCCTAAATCCCCTGTATCCTGTTACTGTTGCTTATAAACAGCAATATTCCGTTTGCTGGTGGGACATTTTTTCCTCTACTGAGAATGCCGCTACAAAGAAAGGTCTCCACGAAGGGTGTGCTAAATAATTAAACGTAGATGCCCAGATGATTTTCTTCCGGGTATTTTAGACCAGGGGCCAAATTTGACTTTCTTTTTCTTTTTTTAAGAAAGTGGTCTGTTTTCCGTTTTGGCTGAAAAAAGCTGCTGCTTTCGTGGCTACTTGTTTAAGATTAGAAATCCATTAGAAAGAGATCTGGTGACTGAGTAGTGAACAGGTGTGCTTAAAAATGACTGGTGGCATTTACCATTGACAAAAGCAAAGTTGGTAAGATTTCTCAAGAGATTTAAGACTTTTTATACATGTGATCCAGTAATTTCAGTTCTAGGAATCTATCTTATGAGGATACTATTAATTCTGAAGACTGTGGGCTACTGTTTTTTGCTGGATACTAATCTCTTTTAATTCTTAAAACAACCCTATAAATTCAACATTATCAATGAGGAAACTGAAACACAGAGAGTTTTAGCAGCTTTCTGAGATCCCACAGATAGGAAATAGTAAAGTCAGGTCTTTAAGCCAGGAAATCAAACATCAGCGTTTGAGCATATAAACACTAAACCTCGACACTTTGTGCAAAATTTATCTCCTAAATTATATGTTACTATTATATTTCTGAATATCTAAAAGTTAAAAAAAATTAAAGGGAATGATTATGTGAAGTACATTACATCAAATGTTATAAACTGAGTTTTTATATTGACAGCTTTTAAAACATACTCCTGAATGTTAATGTAGAATAAATGTTAATGCAAAATAAAAACACATTTATTTAAGCTATGAGTAGCAGAAAGATAGAAAAAGCACCAAAATGCCGATAATGATTGTATTTAAGTTGTGCAAACATATTAGAATATTTCTCTATTCTACCTTTTTTCTGTTTTGTAATTATCTCTAATAAGTATATTATTGTAGAAATTATAAATACATTTATTTTGAAGTTGGACATTTAAAAAATATCTGTCAAGGACACTGGAAACATGTTTTTAACTTTTTAAAGTTAAAAATCTTCTACTTTCTTTTATAGGTCACTCTATAATCAGAAAAATAGAGAAAATATTGACTTTCATCCTCAGTTTTAGTTGGTATATAAAGATGTATAGGACTTTCTGATACCAAGGTCAATGTACTAATCTAGCTGAAAACTTAAAGCGAGAACAAATTTTGCCTCAGGTCACAAAGAGGTTCAGATTTACAAAACTTTCAGATTATGTATATGTAGGGACATCTGGTGTTATACCTTATGCTAAATCTAGAGTTTCAAAAATATTTTAACATTTCCATTTTAAAGCCATGGCTGTTTGTATCTGTGAACTACCTGCCTACTCAGATGGCTTCATTCAGGTATGATTGCTCATCTAAGAAAATTAAGAGAAAATGTATACTTGGCATGCTCTAGCATTTGCCCTATGAAACTGATCAAACAACCTGATCAATTAGCCAATTTACAGTATATTTTATACCAGTTCCATTGAAAAACAACAACTATTACTACGCTTTTTAAGCAGATGAAAACTCCTCACCTTGGGTGCCATATCTCTGATCCCCAAATTTGTGGATAAACTTTGACTCTGTATGTCACCTGGGCCCCAATACAGATTCCACTCTCTCCTTCCCATCTCTAATCTTACCTCTTACTTGTTTCTGGCATAGGAAGATTTATCCATTAAATGCTGATCTACATCTTTATTGGCTTTGTGACTATTTTTGTCCTTAAGCTCCTATTGATGTAACATACTTTCACCTGAATCCGTTTATTTTCTCTCTTTTTTTCAATCCAGAATTCTATGTTTCTTCCAGTATGGTTACTGTTTCTTATTATTTTGCTCACCAAATTAAAGCTTGGAAAAGCTCAAGTTGGTTCCTCTTTTTCACAGATCACTGCTATCCAATAAACCTGCGATGGTGGAGATGTTTTGTATTCACACAGTCCAATATGGTAATCAGCAGCCACATCTGGCCACTGAGCACCTTGAATATGGCTAGTGTAACTGAGAAGCTGAATTTTAAGTTTTGTTTAATTTTACTTAATGTAAATTGAAGTAACCACGTGGCTGGTGGCCACCATATCAGACAGTGCAGATTTAGTATATCCCTGTAGATTAATAAAATCCTAACCTATTGCTATGTTTAGAGAAAAACTGGAGTACACTGAAGCATTCATCTATTTTCACATTCCATTGATTATCTCCCCTGTCTGTTATAACCTTTCCATTGTTTCTCCTTTCTTCTCTTCCATTGTTCCTCCCTCTTGCAACAGGAGCCTTTGATACAGGGTCAGCAGTGTGCAGATAGAAAACGCTGAGACTATATGGAATAAATCGTAATTGTTTGCCCACAAAAACCGAGTGGAGAGAATTGACCATGGAGAAGCCTCAAGACTTTCCTCCTCTTTAATCAATTCTACCTTCTAAGAGGAAGATTTCTGTTCAAGGACAAAACAATAAAAATTTGACAGGAGCATCCTCTAGGGTTTCTAATATTCATGAATCCAGACCAGCCAATACATTCTCTTCTTTGTGTAAGCTAGTTTAAAATTAGTTTCTATCAACTAAAAAGTGCTCCCTAATTCTAAAAGTTAGGATGAAGATCATTTGAATGATATATGTGAAATAGCATGGCACTGTGATTACATAAAAAGTATTTTTCCCCCAGATTTCATCTGATACCATGCAGAATGAGACACTCTTTTAATGGACCTGTTCACCTAGCACATTCATGGAAATCCTGGGATTCTCTGGCTTTGGAGCACAGAATTGTATCTTAGAGTCCATGATTGTTTCAAATGTTCTGCCCTCTGGTTCCCTTAAAGACTCTGATAGGTGTGAGTTGTTTTTGGACCTTATTAAGTGTGTCATTGATATTTTCCCTTGGCTTGATGCCACATGATGGGCTACAAGGTCTGCTGCAGCTTGGCGGTTTCCATGCTGGGCACAGCTGCCAGCTCTTTGCCTTCATTTCAGAGAATCTGATGCAACTGGCAAGAGATCAGAAGGCGAGCCAGAGAATAATTGGGGTTTCTCTTTAGCAAAGGAGAAATGGAAAAATCATCTTCTAGACCTTTTCTCTGCCCCAGCTGTTTTTGGGCAGTTCCACCATTTCACTGATGAAATACCGGATTTCTTTCTTTATTTTTTTTTCCTATTCACATGCCCCAGCTCACAGTGGGGAAACAGAATTGTCCCATTTTTATTATATTACTTGCTGTTTTAGCACAACACTGTGCTTGAAGTTATAGCACAAAGAGACAGCTGTTACACAGAAGGATATGCCCTGCCTGCTGGGAACAGACTCTCCAAATTCATCCCTGAGCCATGGATTGTGAATCAACTTACTAGTCTTTTCTAAAAGGCAAATGGAAGTGGAAGGACTGTCCTCTTCAGTTACTCAGTTGACTAATGCTTGGCTCATTAATATGATTTGGAGTTGGAAGTGAGAGAATCAAGAAAAGCTGAAACGTGTATATCTAAAGGCAAAGGGGAAGATGTTGGAGGGTCACAAAAGGGAACAAGTAATGATACTATACAAGATGAAGAGAGAAGAAATGTAAAACTCTTTCAAGTTAGTAAAATAAAAAGAATTAGGATGGGGATATAAAATTTATAAGAGGCCAAAATGCCACTGGGATGCTTGATGAGTGTTCAATATGATAAATATTTAATACAAAGCCAAACGATCTAAATTGTCTTGGGAACATGTTCATATCTAAGTAAGGTCTAGAATATTGATGGTAGCAAGGCTATATTCACCTTCCTATGGTAATGCTAAAAGTTTAATATGAATTCTACACCATGCAAAGTGATTTGCTAACATCATTGTATTTACTCAGCATGATGCTTTCATGAAATAGATATTATTAATTCTATTTTACATATGAAGAAACTGAGACTAAAAGTAGATAAAACCTTGACCATACTCACAGGGAGTTGGATCCAAACTCATGGGTGTCTGAACCCAAGCCTATTACCTTATCTCTATACTGACGCCACTGCGCAATGGCAGCTGGTACTCAGGAGCAATGAACAATGACCAGCAATCCTACATAGCTGATCCTCTTCAGCCAACAAGCTCTAAGCTCTTGACTTCATAATCCCTGACACATTTCCTATCCCTCTTCTCTCCTTTTTGTCTATGGGCTTCACCTTTTCTTTGTCTCTTTGCTGCCAATGTCTCTATTGTGTTACACGGAGATGGGGAAGGACTTGGGTATTTGGTGTAAGGGGAGAAATACTTTAAGGAATGGAGGGTTGTGGGTGGGGTTAGAAAAATTGGCATGAAGTTGATTTATTTGAAAGTATTGAGAAAACCAAACTAGTTGAAGTGAGTAAATAATGATAATTTTTTAAAAAGTTATTTTAAGTAACAAATTCTTTTCCTTGGTTTGTTTGCTGTAAATACATACCAGTTATTTTTTAAGGCTTTAATCATTATCCAGAAATTTAAAATAATATTATTATGTCATCTAAAATTATTTTTCCTAAAAAATTTCAAGTTTCTATTATGAAAATCAAGATATATCATGTTATTCTTAAGTGTTAGAGCAGTACTGCTAAAAGCAGTTTGGGAAAAAGTGGCCTAAGATGATTTCTTCCTTATTGTGATTGGATCTTTTTTTGTTTTGTTTTGTTTTGTAGAAGACAGGTTAAATTCTTTTATTTCAGACACAAAGCATTAATTCTTCCCTACTTTCGTTTCTCCATCTCTGTAGGAGTAAATGTTGGCAACTTCCAGAGTGTATTTGATTTCAGGTGAATATCCTAAGGCTTTGGAAATGAAATTAAAAAGGACTTGTGGGCAAAAGATCCCATCCGTAGGTTTTTTTTTTTTTTTTTTTTTAAATTGAGGTTAAAATTTACATAACACAAGATTCACCATTTTAATAATTTTAAAGTGTACAATTCATTCACTTTTAGTACATTCACAATGCTGTGCAACCGTCACCGCTACCTAATTCCAGAACATTTTCATCACCCCAAAAAGAAACCCCATACTCATTAAGCAGCCATTCCTTATTCTGCCTTTTCCTCCAGGCCCTGCAAGTCACCAGTTGGTATAATTTGCCCTGAGCCCCCTATCTGGTTTTTCTGTGCTCACATAAGCTTTTCCATAGGTTGAGCGATTTTCATGACTGCTTTGTCCTTGCCAGGACACTATCCCAAATCATATCCTTGACCTTCTTGGGTTGATCACTCCCATCTTTTAGAGTTTGCTGGACTTGTAATAAGCAAGTTTGTTTCACTCAATTGTATTTTGCATGTTTACTACAGTGAACTTGACTTTGCTGTGGTTGAGGTAGCTGAGAAGGGGATACCCAGATCATGTGGTTGGGCGAGGAGGTGATAGTGAGAGATAGGAACATTTAAATAAACTATAACAGTGTATCATAGTGAAGGACCATAACACATGAAGGGTTAGGAGTCATGAATAATCAGAGCATGCTCTTTATAGAGGGTAGTCTGGCATCATTGTGGCTTAGTATCATTCCTTCGTATACACCAAGTCAGGGAGAAAAAGCAAAGCTGAGGCCAGGTGCGGTGGCTCACGCCTGTAATCCCAGCACTTTGGGAGGCCGAGGCAGGTGGATCACTTGAGGTCAGGAGTTCGAGACCAGCCTGACCAACATGGAGAAACCCCGTCTCTACTAAAAAAAATACAAAATTAGCCGGGCTTGCTGGTGCATGCCTGTGATCCCAGCTACTCGGGAGGCTGAGGCAGGAGAATTGCTTGAACCCAGGAGGCAAAGGTTGTAGTGAGCCGAGATCGCACCATTACCCTCCAACCTGGGCAACAAGAGCGAAACTCTGTCTCAGAAAAAAAAAAAAAAGCAAAGCTGAAGGCAGGCCATGGTGTTCACTGAGGACCACCTTTGTACTTGTTCCCCTGCCCTGTGATTGACTGCTTTCTTCCTTTCTCTCCAATCACTGGCTTTATAGTCCAACTTTTGATAATTTTTTATGACTTTTCTTGCTTTGCGAACTATTATATATGAAATGTATTCCTTGGCTTATACATTAAAATAACAAAACAAAACAGGAGAAATAAACTTATTTTGCTGCTTGAATCTAGGATTAAATATAACTACAGCACATGCAGTCCGTGACGCAGTGCCCCCTGAGCAAGACCATCTTTCTTAATGTTCTCGTTAAATGAGAAGGTGTAGGTTTTGTTTTCCCCAATTTGTATCTGTGATGGTGGCTCCAGACTTAGTATTTTCATATGTTAAAATGCTTTCTCCAACTACTCACTCTGGTAATTGTAGCTCTTCATGACATTCTGAATTCCATTTAACACCTCCTGATATTTTAAGAAACTCAGAATTTTATTCATTGATTTCTTAAATTTTATATTATTGCAAAAAAAGTAAAGATAATTTTATGAAATGCAAATGATGCAAAAAGCCTCCTGAATATATAAATGAGCGATAAAATAGGGGCAAAGAAAAAGAAAAAGTGAGAGAGCCAGGCGCAGTGGCTCACGCCTGTAATCCCGACACGTTGGGAGGCCGAGGCGGGCGGATCACCTGAGGTCAGGAGTTCGAGACCAGCCTGACCAACATGGAGAAACCCCGTCTCTACTAAAAATACAAAATTAGCCGGGTGTGGTGGTGCATGCCTGTAATCTCAGCTATTCGGGAGGCTGAGGCAGGAGAATCGCTTGAACCCAGGAGGCAGAGGTTGTGGTGAGCCCAGATGGCGCCATTGCACTCCAGCCAGGGCAACAAGAGCAAAACACTCTGTCAAAAAAAAAAAAAAAAAAAAGACAATCCAGGGTTGATTAAAGATGAAAAGAAGCACATTGTGAGTTAGAGATGAGCTACCTATTTGTCTGGCATCCTCCAGGGAGTTCACAAACTTCATCATTCATTACCCCTTTTAATTATTTGTAACTTCTTCTTCACTTTCATGAGATGGTGAGCTCATTATGAGCTTCTTAATAATACTCTGCATCCTGTCCAGTAAAACCCAATAATAGGTCCTTGGTCCAGAAAATTTCTAGAAAATGTTTGTATAAATTCCTTGCACTGTGAGAATTAGTATGAACTAATAAAAGAATCATTGAAAGAACAAATAACTGGCAAACATTTGCCTAATGTGGAATTTGGGGAGGTGCCAGGAGGTGAAAGTAAATGGGTAGAAATTCCTGCTTGGGACTAGTTCAGAAGATAAGACTTCAGTATTTCTTTATGGTCAAAGTTAAGAAGCCAGTGCCACACAGATGTGGCTCATATGATCTTTGGGAACATAGGATGTGATGAACTCTGAGCTTATACAAACTTGGAGAACATTATTGGTTCTCTAGCATTCTTTATGGGAGCTTAGTAATGTGGATCAAGCCCAACTGAGAGATACTTTTACAATGATTTATATGCCCCAATATTATGATATTATCTCTAGTCTCTTCCCAATTCCATCCCTGTCCGTTACTATGAAAACTGATATAATCAAAGGGACGGGGCAGAGGCGAAGGGTATCTGGTGTTTTATCTTGTCCGAGGGTCATGTTTCAGGCCTTGCTATTTTATCACGGACCCCACCATCAAATAGGCTGTGGCCAGGTAATTAAAGTCCTAATTACCTTAAAAAAAAAAAAAAAAAAAAAAAAGAAGCCAGTGCCCTAGACTCAAAATACCATGTCCCAAAGGGTGCTACAGATAGGAACAGATCTGACCATGGATTCAGTCAACTTTGGTGGAAACACTCTCATACTAATTAGGAACTCCGTGGCCCTGCACAGACCCCTTAGCTTTTCCCAGTTTGAATCAAATTTACAGTTCCCAAGATGTGAAATTGTGACACTGCAATCTGTGTTTCAGAGCATATAGCTTCTCTCAAGCTTCACTTTTACTAGCCCTTCTCAATTTCTCTTTGCCTTTATATTTTTACATTCTTTCAGTTTTAAAGAATTGTAGTGTAACATTAGCTTTAAGCCAAGTGTTTTTTATTTTTTTTCTTGAAATGGGTAGTGCTTCAGTTATCTATTGCTATATAACAAATCACTGAAACTTAGTCATGGGAAGAAGCAACAATGATTTTGTTATGTTCATGGATTCTGTGGGTCAGACATTCAACAGGACACACTGGGATAGATGGCTTCTTTCTGTTCCATGATATGGGGCCTGTGAGACTTGAATGGCTGGGATCATCTAGAGCAGAGGTGTCCAATCTTTTGGCCTCCCTGGGCCACACATAAAATACACTAACACTAATGATAGCTGGTGAGCTAAAAAAAATTGCAAAAAAATTCTCATAATGTTTTAAGAAAGTTTACGAATTTGTGTTGGGCCACATTCAAAGCCATCCTGGGCTACATATGGTCCGTAGGCCACAGGTTGGACAAACTTGATCTGGAGGTTTCTTCATTCACATGCCTGGGGTATGGGCTGAGATAACTCAAAGGCTAAGCTAAGCTGGGACTGTGGATAGGAGCACCCACGTGGGGACCTTCTCACTCGTATTTTCCCAGAAGGGGAAGCAACCTGAGAGCAGGTGTTTAAGAGAACTAGGCACAGTGCCTCTTCTGCCACATTTCCTCTGTTGAAGCAGTCACAAGCTTCCCCCTCTATCCCTCAGGTTTGAGGGAAGGAGACATATACTCAATCTCTCAATTGGGAGGAATGCCAAAGAATTTGTGACTATTTTTTTCTTGTGTTTCTACCATAACAAGGTAATTACCTGCTTGAGGTTCAGTGGTTCAGTGCCTGTCTGTATAATGAATGTGGCTTCCAGGGTTATCAGAAGGATTAGAAATAATCTTTGTCAGGATTCTGCACACTTTTTCCTTAAAGGACTAGATAGAAAATATTTTCAGCTTTGTAGTCACATGGCTTTTGTAGACACTACTCAATTCTGTTGTTGTGCACTTCAGCAGCCATAGACAATGCATACACGAATCCTTGTGGCTCTGTGCCACATTTTTATTTATGAATACTGCAATTTTGAATTTCATGTAATGTTCATCTGTCATGAAATATCATTCTTCTCTTGATATGTTTTAACTATTTGAAAATATAAAGAACATCCTCACCTTGTGGGCTATACAAAAGCAAGTACCAGGTTTGCAGTTGAGCCATAGCATGTGGATGTAAGAAAATAACCTTTCACAGTGCATGGTATGTGTTAGGTGGTGAATAATTATTACACATATAGTTATTATACTGGTACATTCATACAGTCATATCAGAAAGGCAGCTGACTTGGTTTAGTTTTCTCAAGGGCACGGAGGTTACATAATACAATGTATAGATAGGTTAAAATAAAATTGTCATAGATATTTTAGAGATGACACAAATACTTTGCAGTGTCATGGGTTAGTGGACAGCGAACAGATACTGTTATTGCAAGTAACTTTCCCCACTTACTGTTTACTTGAACTTCGTGAGTCATTGACCCTCAGTGGCAATTAGGACCTGATGCCAAAACATTGTGGAAATATCTCAATATGCATTACACTGTTTGGTATAGACATTTCTTCATATTTGTTACTAAGATGCCCACCCTTTCCTTTTATTTATTTTTCTATTGCAACTCTGTCATTTTTTCCTTGAAACCATTCCTCAACCACGTTTTTATTTACAGAGTACTCACACATGGCTTATTAAATGAACACATAGTGAAGTGGTTAAAGATTTGATCTTCAGAGTCTAATGTCTTTGTCTTCAGTACTTGGCTCTACCACTTGTCAGTTTTGTGAACTTGGGCAAGTTATTTCACTTTTTTGAGTTTCAAGGCTTTCATCTCTAAAGTAAAGAAATGAATCAATGTATCCTGTAGGGGCTCCACAAGCATTCAATAAGATTATGTATGACAAGTGCTGGTTTGTAGTAAATGCTTAGTAAATATTTGCTAAACCACACAGAGTACTGCAACTCACCTTGAAATTCCCTGGACTATGTGTTTACTTTATTGGGCCATTAGAGCTACTTCAGTGGCATAATTCATGAAGCCTGAGTCTGATGTGTTTGGTCAGCAGCAGAATTTAGTGTCTTGTCTTTAGTTAAATATTCATGTATAATTTTCTGGAATAATAGAATTTTAACATAGTTATTACAAAATAACTGTTAATAACCATGTTATTACAAAAATAAAATGAAAAAATATATTTAACAATTATGTATTGAGCCCCTATTATGTGTTAGACAATATTTAGTTACTGAAGATATCACCAGTAGAGCTTTTAAAAACAGAACTTGCTAGACTCTGCTCCCAGAATTTCTGATTTCATGGGTCTGGAGTGAGGGCCTAGAATTTGCATTTTTTAAAAATTATTTTTTTGTGGCAAAAATATTATTTATTTATTTATTTCCAATTTTTTATTTTAGGTTCAAGGGGTACATGTGTGGGTTTGTTACATGGGTAAATTGTGTGTCTCAGGGGTTTGGTGTACAGATTGTTTCATCACCCAGGTAATAAGCATAGTACCCAGTAGGTAGTATTTTGGTCCTCACCCTCCTCGCCTACCCTCCACCCTTGGGTAGGCCCCAGTGTCTATTGTTCCCTTCTTAGTGTTCATGTGTACTCAATGTTTAGCTCCTACTTATAAGTGAGAATATGTGGTATTTGGTTTTCTGTTCCTGTGTTAATTTGCTTAGGATAATGGCCTCAGTAGCAACCATGTTGTGGCAAAGGACATGATTTCATCTTTCTATGGTGCCATAGTCTTTCATGGTGTATATGTGCCACATTTTCTTCATCTAGTCTACCATTGATGGGCATCTAGGTAGATTCCACGTCTTTGCTATTGTTAATAAAGCTGCATGCATGTGTCTTTTGGTGCATGGTCTCTGTACATAATTCCGTATTTCTCAGAAGTTTTGTCCATTCCTTTTTGATCTTTTTTCTTTGATTTTGCCTGACTGAGCTGATTCTAAGAATTGATCTTTGAGCTCTGAGATTCTTTCCTCAGCTTGATCTAGTCTACTGTTAATACTTCTGATTGCATTACAAAATTTTTGTAATGAGTTTTTCAGTTTTACCAGATCAGTTTGGTTCTTTCTTAAGATAGCTATTTTGTCTTTGAGCTCCTATATCATTTTATTGAAATCCTTAGATTCCTTGGATTGAGTTTCAACTTTCTCCTAAATCTTGATGATCTTTGTTGCCATCCATATGCTGAATTCAGTGTCTGACATTTTAGCTGTTTCAGTCTGGCTAAGAACCATTGCTGGGGAGCTAGTGTGATTGTTTGGAGGTAAGAAAAATGCTGGCTTTTTGAGGTGTCAGAATTCTTGCACTGTTTTTTTTTTTGTTTTCTTTTGTTTTATTTTTATCTCTGTGGGCTGATGTTCCTTTTATCTTTGAAGTTGCTGTCTTTTGGCTTTTATGTTTTTTAATGCCCTTATGATTTTGACTGCAGTATAAGTTGGGTTTAGTCAACTAACTTCACTTCTGGATGGGGGTCAAGCGTTGCCTTAGCACTCCTGGGCTGTGTGCTCTAACCTTGAGGGGCTGGAACCAGGCCCATGGCTTTGTTCTCTGGCTCCTAGAGGTTAAGTACCTGCTGTGCTGAAGTGTTCCCAGTCTGCCAGCAACAACACTCTGATGACAGGTGCTGGCAGAGGCTCTTCGTTGGGGTGGTGGCAGTGGGATGTGCACTTGCATGTGCACGCTGGTGGTGGTGGGGCACTAGTGCAGTGGTTGTCCATGTGCACGCACATGCTGGTGGCAACGGGGTGGCTGAATGATGGCGTGATGTGGTCCGTATGCTCATGTATGCTGGTGGGGCTGGGCAGTGGTTGCACGGTCTGCGTGCATGCCTGTGCCAGTGGCAGTAGGGTGGTGAGGTCCACACATGTGCACTGTTGGTGGTGGGGTGGCTAGGTTTATGCATGCATGTGCAGCAGCAGTGTGGTAGGGGAGGCTACAGGCAAGTATGCACTGGCAAAATGGAGCAGGGAGGCTGCATGCAGGTGCATGTCGGCAGGGGCTCTTCTGCAGAAGCTCTCTGATGGTTAGACAGTATCTACTGGTGAAGGAGCTATGGCATTGACTACTGGGAAGTGCCCTGGTTGAGCATCTGAGGCTGTGTTGTGAGTGGGTGAGGCCAGGCAGAGACCCTGGGAAAGGCCATCAGACAGTAGGGTGCTCAGATCAAACTGGCCCCATCCCTCTAGCAGGATAGCTCTGTTATGTCCAGGTTCAACAGTCAACAAAGACCAAAGACACTTGGCTTATGCCTGTAATCCCAGCACTTTGGGAGGCCGAGGCGAGAGGATCACCTGAGGTCACAAGTTCAAGACCAGCCTGACAAACATGGTGAACTCCCATCTGTACTAAAAAATACAAAAAATTGGCGGGGCATGGTGGTGGGCACCTGTAATCCCAGTTACTTGGGAGGCTGAGGCAGGAGAATTGCTTGAACCTGGGAGGTGGAGGTTGTGATGAGCCAAGATTGCACCATTGCACTCCAGCCTGGGCAACAAGAGTGAAACTCCGTCTCAAAAAAGAAAAGAAAAGAAAAGTGTGGTGAACTTTGGGGGATGGGTGTCCCAGGCCATGCTCCATTGCAGGTATTCCTGAGCCAAACCCTCTGGGCTCTGCACAGGGTAAAGTCCTGTCACTGCCAACTCTCCAAGCATTTCTTGCTGCCAGCTCAAATGTCTGTAGGGGTCATGGGGTCTCCTTCAGCTAGGATTCTGGAGGTCTATGGTGAGAGTGAGCCACTCTACATCTATTTAACTCAGTACTTTCTTAGGAGCTGCTTGGGGCCAGGAATGAGTGCTGGTGCTCAGCCATGCAGGTTTCCCAGCTTCCTCCCACTTCAGCCCAGGGTCTGCGTGCTCTCTTTGTCCACTCTCGGTGCCTTCCTTCTGAAGATCTGCTCGGAGTGTGCTGGTCTTCTTGATGGTCTGGTCTCTTGGTGGCATAAGCCCTTCTTAGCTGCATCTAGTCGGCCATCTTGGCTCTTCTTGTTTAGAATTTGCATCTTACAAGTTCCCAGGAGAAGCTAATTGCCCCAAGGTTACTCCTTTGATAACCACTAGTCTAGGTGACCTATAATTTTCCTCCTATTCTCTCAGTGCAAATGCTTTTGTGCACAAGAGCTCTCATTCATTGCACTGGAACTGTATTAGGTATTACAGCCGCAATAGTGAAAAATGCAGACAAAAATTCCTGCCCTCTTCACTTTGACATCTCGGTACTTACAATGGATAACATACAAAAAGGACTTATTATGTGTCAGGAAACTTCCAAAGCATTTTATAAATATTACTCCACTTAAGCTTTTAAAAGACCCTGTGATGGAGATACTATTATTATCGCCATTTTACAAATAGGGAACTTTAAACTCAAAAAGGCTAAGCAATGTGTCCATACTCTTATTGTGACATGTGACAGAGCTGAGAATTTAACTCAAACGGATTTGTTCCAGAGCCCTGCTCTTAGGCTAACATTCTACATGAATGACTATTAGGTAGTGATAGTTTTAGTCTGTTCAGGCTGCCATAAACTGTGTGGCTTAAAAACAATAGAAATTTATTGCTCACAAGTCTACAGGCTGAAAAGTCAAGGTCAAGGGGCTAGCAGATATGGTGTTGGAAGAGGGCCTGCTTCCTGTTCATGTCTTTTCACTGTGTCCTCACATGGTGGAAGGGTGAGGGAGCTCTTCAGGGTCTCTTTCATAAGGCCACTAATGCTGCTTGTGAGGGTTCCACTCTCATGACCTGATCACCTTCCAGAGGCCCCATTTCCTAATACCATCATGTCGGAGCTTAAGATTTCAATATATGCATTTTGGGAAACACAAACATTCAATCTATAGTATTCCACTCTTGTACCCCCCAAATTCATGGTCTTATCACATAAAAATACATTCATTACATCCCAACAGCCTCCAAAGTCTTAACTTGTTCCAGCAACAACTCTAAAGTCTAAAATCCAAATGCTCACCTAAATATCATCTAAATCAAGTATGGATGAGACTCAAGGTATGATTTATTCTGAGGCAAATTGCCCTCCAGCTGTGAACCCATGAAGCCAATAAAGTTATGTGCTTCCAAAGTACAATAATGAGATGGGCATAAGCTAGACAATTTCATCCCAAAAGGGAGAAATAGAAAAGAAGGAGTAACAGATCACATGGAGTTTGTCTTGTAGTCCAAATTACAATCATGTGGAAATTGTCTTGTAGTTTGGACATGTGATCTTAAGGCTCAAGAATAATTCTCCTTTTCTTAGCTTTTACTGTGAGGGCAAGAAAAAAAAAAGAATAATTCTCTTTGGCTTAATGCTTTGACCTGAAGGCCCACTGGGTTAGTGATGTCACCTCCCATGGCTCCATGGGAAGGTCCTACAGTGCCTCTGTCTGGGCCCTGCTCTGGTTGTGGCTGTCTCCTGGGCCCCTACTCCTGTAGTTTCTTAGGAAGAGGTCACTATTCTATGGCTTCAGGTGGCTGTGTCTTTTGAAACCTAGGTGGAGGCATCTATGCCCTCTGGCCTGTGCACTGTGTGCACCAGCACTATGCAGACACTGCCAAAGATTGAATTTGCTGCTTGTGCCCTCGGAGGGGCTGCCACTGTAGCTTGCACCACACTGTGGCCTGCTGAAGCTGCCCCTGGGACAACTGAGGAGCACAGCACCAGAGTATGGGCAGTGGTGCTCCTGATGTTAGGCAGTGCTGAGCCAGCATATGCCAGGGTCCTACAGGTGATGGCAGCCCCTCCTTTGAAACTACTGTGGCCCTTGAGCCCTCACACTCTGGGTCTATGATGGGAGTGGCAGCTCTGGTGGTCTCTGAATTGTCTTCAGAGTTATTTTCCTATTGTCTTGGAGAATTGTTTCTGGCTTTTATTGAGATGGCTAATCCAAATGAATCTCATTATCAACACTTGGCCACATCCTTATCATTCTCATTTTTTGCAATATGGATAGACTGGAATATTTTTCATTCTTTTAGTTCTGATTCATTTTTGCATAATAATTTAGTCTAAGTGATTTCTCTTTTCTCACTTTTTGCTATATATATATTCATGAGGAACCAAGCCATACCTTCAACACTTTGCTGAGAAATAGCTTCAGCTAAATACCTTCTACAAAATACTAGGACATAAAGACAAGGTCTTTGCTACTTTATAAAAAGGATCACCTTTTCTCCAGTTTCCAATAGTGTGTTCCTAGTTTCTGTGCAAGATTTAATTACCATGGGCTTTACTGTCTATTTCCTTTTTTTTTTTTTTTTTTTTTTGAGACGGAGTCTCACTCTGTCCCCCAGGCTGGAGTGCAGTGGCGCTATCTCGGCTCACTGCAAGCTCCACCTCCCGGATTCACACCATTCTCCTGCCTCAGCCTCCCGAGTAACTGGGACTACAGGCGCCTGCCACCTCGCCCGGCTAATTTTTTGTATTTTTAGTAGAGATGGGGTTTCACCGTGTTAGCCGGGATGGTCTCGATCTCCTGACCTTGTGATCCGCCTGTCTTGGCCTCCCATAGTGCTGGGATTACAGGCGTGAGCCACCGCCCCTGGCCTTTACTGTCTATTTCTATCAACATTCTGTTCATGATTACTTAGATATTCTTTTAAGAAGATTGAGGTTTTCTTCATAGGTCTCCTCTTTTCTTCCTAAGCTGTCATTGGAATATCCTTTAATGGTCTGTTCAAGGCAATGCAAGGCAATGTAGGCTTTTTCTAGCTTGCACCTCCAAATTCTTCCAGCCTCTACCCATTACCCAGTTCCATAGTCACTTCCACATTTTAGGTATTTGTTACAGCAGCACCCCCACTTCTCAGCACCAATTTCTCTCTTAATCAGTTCAGGCTGCTGTAACAAAATGTCATACAATGGCTGGCTTTTAAATAGCAGAATTTTATTTCTCATTGTTTTGGACACCATAAGTCCAAGGTGAGGGTGACGACATATTGAGTTCTGGTGAGGCTTCTCTTCTGGATTGCAGACTTCTGACTTTTTGCCATTGTTCTCACATAGTGGAAAAGTGAGGTAGCTCTCTGGAATTTATTTTAGAAGGGCACTAATCCCATTCATAAGAGCGCCACTCTCATAAGTTAGTCACCCACGAAGGACCCACTTCCTAATACCATCACACTGGAGTTAGAATTTCAACATATAAATTTGGGGAGTGTGAGACACAAACATTCAGTCTATAGCAGTGAAAATACAGCTGAAAGGCAAATGGCAGACAGCAGAACAAATTTTTGCTTAATTGATGGTGGTCATCATAAATTTGATACCAAAGAGTAAGTTAGAATAAAGAATTGAAAGAAAAAAAAAACAACCTTATAATCAACACAGCTAGGGAGTACTTGGGTTTTTTAAAAAGTTGAAAGCTGTAAACATCTAGGTCCTTTCTTCAATGCCCCTGAAATACAGTTAAAATTACAATAATGTTATTTTTTAAGTGTAGAAAAGCTCTCCAGAAAGTACTAAGTGGTATGGGAGAGTGGAGGGGGGCATTAAGGTAACTGCTCCAGGCATCAATTTGCATTTGAGAAAGAGTCTTCCATAAGTAATTATCTTTTTAAGACTTCATTTCTGCTAGGTTTACATCATCTGTCTTGTGATGGGAAAAAGCCTCCAAGGTACAAAGATTGGATTTAGCCTGTCCTGCCATTTAGCTTGCCTTGGAGTCTCCATCTTTTAGCTAGCATTTCTATCCAAAGCCTATTAGTTATCAATATGAATCATATATAAATACACAGAAAAATGCCTGGGGCAGCGTATATGCCTGATATAAGTCTATCTTTTTTTTTCCCCCTTTGGAGATGGAGTCTTGCTCTGTTGGCCAGGCTGGAGTGCAGTGGCATGATCTTGGCTCACTGCAACCTCTGTCTCCTGGGTTCAAATGATTCTCCTGCCTCAGCCTCCTGAGTAGCTGAGACTACAGGTGCACACCATCACACCTGGCTAATTTTTTGTATTTTAGTAGAGGCAGGGTTTCACCATGTTGTCCAAGCTGGTCTCGAACTCCTGAGCTCAGGCAATCTGCTCACCTCAGTGTCCCAAAGTGTTAGGATTACAGGCATGAGCCACCACTTCCGGCAAGTCTATCTTTTATTTTAAATTTTAGGTAAAAACACCTATTACTGAAAAATAAGAAATGTGAATTTTATGATAGTTTCACCTTCAACCCCTTAATGAAATTATATTCTTTCTACATTTCTTGATGATCTAAGTCATCCCTCCATTTTTAACGTCATGCTCAAGGCCTGCTTAATCATGGAAAACAACTCTGACAAATTCAGGCCCACATACAGTTTTCTCTCTGAACACTTTTAGTATGATTGGCTAGGTTCCTTAACAATCAAATAGGCAAGTCTAAGGGAGGGAAAATAGTTTGAAAGCGTGGATGAATGTGAATATAAAGTAGACTTCTCAGGCTTAGTTCTTATCAAGGAATCAAGACAAATGTGTGCAAGGTTTTTAAAAAGACTACTTGGTTTGGTTACACATGTGTGGCTTGGAGGCAGGTTGGAGGCCACAAAGACAGCACGTATAAAGATGGCCTCAGGAATTAAGCAGAGACGATGATAGGAATTCAAGCTGTAATTCAACTCAAAGACAGGAAAAGAACCAAAGGCTTCAGAAAATCAAGTGATGTAGGGAATGTGAAGGCAAGTTAGCGTGGATATACTTATGGGTTTTGTTGTTGTGTGGGGGGGGGGGTGTTCATTAATTCTTATTAATTCTGTATTTTGAGATATCATGAGTCTTCAGTTTCTACTGTATTGCACAATAAGTAGAAAGTGTGATTCTAAATTGACAGGCTCCAAAACCAAACTCGACTCTTGTGTGACTTTGAGCAAATCA
Source organism: Homo sapiens (assembly GCF_000001405.40). Classification (NCBI taxonomy): domain Eukaryota; kingdom Metazoa; phylum Chordata; class Mammalia; order Primates; family Hominidae; genus Homo; species Homo sapiens. The sequence goes on from NC_000016.10 coordinate 59,188,290, forward strand.
CCTTACCTCTTCAATCTTGTCTTGTTACTTGCAATGAGAAAAATAATTATCCCACAGTTTTGCTACAAAAACGCTGCCTTGGGCCTTCAAATGTTAAACTACTTCTCTTATATCTCCTTGTTTTTATGATGCCTGAGGTTCTTGGTGGAAGTGCATGTACTTAAGCAAAAAGTAAGTTAATTGTGCCATCATTTCACGTATTTCACATATGCGTTTCTTATCCCTAGGGGGCTTGCTAAAACTCCTAGGGTAAAAATTAAATGCTGTTCCTTTTTCTCCCCAATCTCAGGATTCTTTGTTCACCATGGATAATATATCTTTTCTGATGATGATTGACAAGAACAAATTCAATTGCACGCTTCATCCTTATGAGAGATGCTTGCCTCCAGTAGATTTCTGCATTCACTAACTGTCTGATCCCTTCTGTGAGTTGTGCTAAGGCTAAAATCTAAACAACTGTCCATTTTTCAAGTACTTGCCTTATTTTATTTCTGAGAGACAGAGGATATTTCTGGGAAGTGGGGATAAAGTAGAAACCTTTATTCTGGTACATTTTTGTCTCCTAAGTAACCACTAAATCACAAGAACTGATCCAGATTCCTGTTCCTCCAAGACCCCTTTTATGCTTTTGGTTTGGCTTAGTGGCTTACTGAATGTTATGTCTCAACATCCTACCTATTACTTTCTTTTACCTTAGTTCCACCTTAGTCTTGATTGGGTTTACCTATTTAACCACTCAATTCACTAAAAGAAAGGTGATTTGAAAACCATGTGTTCTCTCCACCAAAACTCCCATTGTGAACAATGAGAAAAATAATAACCCTGGATTAGACCCTCCCAGTTCCAAATCCTATCTTGATGATATGTTGCATATCCCAGTTATTATTGTTCCAAATCTTAGTGGCTTAAAGCAGGTGTTTTATTTTGTCATGATTTTCAGAAATTCTTAAATTTTAAAGGGCCAGGCTGGAAAGTCCTCATTTGGGGTCTCTCATGTAGTTAGAGCTAGATGTTGCCTAGGGCTACAGTCATCCGACGGCTCAGCTGGGCTAGATGTCCAACCTAGGGCACTCACATGGCTGGCAGTTGATGTTGGCTGTTGGCTAGAAGCTCAGCAAGGGCTATTGACTGGAACACTTGCATGTGATTTCCCAAGGTACTTGGACTTCTTACGTGGTACCTAGCTTTCCCCAGAGTGAGCATCCCAAAAGGGCAAAGCAGAAGCTGCATGGCCTTTTGTGACCTAGCCTTGGAAGTGAAATAGCACCACATTCACTGCTTCTGCCATACTTAGTGGGTTACAGTACTCACAAGGTTACCCAGAATAAAGGGAAAGAGAGCCATAGACTTCACCACCAGGTCACATTGTAAAGGAGCATGTGGGATAAGAGATTTTGTTGCAATTATTTTTGCAAAATATAATTTGCTACATCATATGACTTTTATCAAGTTACTGATGCTCTTGGAGCCTCAGTTTCCATTCCTAAAATGGTGATAGCAGTGTTCAACTTGAAGGGAATTTTATGACAATTGGAAAAATAAGGAAATATTTGCCAAACTTTTTTCTCTTAAGAGTTTTATCTGTTACAGAATTATTTGGGATTCCAAAATCCAGTTTATCTGTGGACACTTTGGACCTTCCACGAATGCATGGCTCTGCAAAGATAATTTTAAGTTTATATCTGCATTTCATACAAGAAAGGGCCTTAAGATCTACTGTGATTGTAATCTATACAAATACTTCAGGAACATTCCCTAACACACTGTCATATACTATGTAGTTAGCCAGCCAAATTTATTTTTTTTTCAAGCAATGAGACCTAATATTAATTTTCTTACAAAGAAGTTGGCTTTGGGTTCCTACTGGTATATGCCAGGCAATAGGTTATTATTGAAATAGGAAAGAAGCCCTGACTTCCATCCTGGTTCCAGAATAGAGCATTTATAGGGTAGGATCATGGTTGCCGGATGCATTAACAGTGTTTAAGTCCATGCTGACCAATCCCAGGAATTACATAAGACTTAAAAATGAGCTCCGCACTCTCATTTCCACCCCAATCAGCAATTCACAAGACCAATTGTCTTCTTCAATTATAATTAAGAGGAAAGCAAACAGTACACATTTGCAATGATCTTTTATGTCATATTTATTTCCTTATAAATTATTAAATGATTTATCATGCAAATTTAGTTAATGTACCTTCTAATTTGAAGGTGGAAAAGACCCAAATCACATTCCTTTATTGAAAGTAAAAGGTTATTTGCACATAGCACTAACTTTACTATCAGTTGCTTGGTGGAAAGCTCAAAAATTGACATGAAATGAATGGCATATTAAATAACAATGCCAACTGTAATCGTGTGTGTGGGTGTGTATGCATGAACATTGTGTTATTGTCATAAAACTAACATGTCATGATTTTTTGGACTTTTAATAAGATAGGAAAGATCTCATCTTTTAGTTGGATTACATGCCTTCTGGGATTACAAATCCCAAATGGAAAGCTTGGGAATGCTTTCTAGATATAAAATTGTTTTTGGTTAACTCAGATCATTTTTACAAATTGGGCTCTGTGCCATGGGATGCATCTTATCCTGACAATCTGAGTCCAGAGGCAGAAACAAGTCCTTAGACTGGCATATTTTATTCTCCCTAAAACAAAAAATCTTAAATTTAAATCATTGAAAATGAATGTTTGGGAATATTTCCCTGCTGTTCAATTTCAAGACAGAAGGCAAATGCAGTTTGTGGAGAAAAAAGTGAAGAAGACACTTAAAATTCTGCTTCTCTATGAATGATGTCTCTGGATCTTAAATGCATAAGGAAATGTTACATAATTAATATCTCTAATATATAATATTAGGGTAAAATAATATATGTCATCCAAATTATCTTGTATGATGATATAGCAAGAATAGTAATGCAATTTTATGTTCTTTTTTTTATTAAGCCATACTTATTTGAGTGCTTTTTGTGCCAACTAGTGTGCTAGGTATTTTAATTGCATTATCTCATGTAATCTTTGGAATAATATAATAGTTATTAATTACAGCTGGAAATTTAGTAGGCTAAATTCTAAAACATAAATTCCAAAACAATAATAATTTAAATTTAGTTTTCTTTCTAAATTAGTGACATTTTGAACTTTATTAAATTGTTAGGCTTATCTTAAAATTGTATTTCCTTTCTGTGGAATCCCATCACTTAGAGAAACAGGCACCTTTAATTCTGAGCTGCCCATGCAAAGTTTTATTTGTTTGTTGACTTGATTGAAATTGTAAGCATGTGAAAGCCTTGACCAAAACTAGTCCTATGTGAACTGAGAGAAACATGGCATGCAAAGCTTTCCCAAAGAAGCATGATCAATTTCAGAGGCAATTGACACAATTGGGCTAGAAATTAGCCTGGAAAGATGGAGCAATACCAAAACAAAAATTATAACTCTGAGCACTTGCTATATGCAGGCAACATTAGATATTTTATTTCTAATTTTCATAAAACCCCTGAAAATTAGAAATTATTATTTCCATTACAGATGAAAAACATGGGCTCAGAGGGATTAGGTGCTTTCTTCAAAGTCACAGAGTTGGTAATAAATCTAATTAGCAGTATGTGCCTTCAAGGATCCTTTACTTTATTATCTCTTGTGTTTGCCCCTCTGCCCTTTCATTGATTATTAATGGAAGCATCTGCTTTTAACATAGAGTTGTCTGGTCTTAATATTTGACATAATTCAAAATGCTGAGATGGACTGAGAAAAATCAATGCAATTGATTAAAACTCTGTTGATTGTGAAAATGGTAAAAAGAAAATCAAATGACATTGCAGTCAGTTCCATTAATGGAGGCAAAGATTCAGGAGAGATTAAAGTGGTAATTCGGAATTTGTATCATCAACACAGGTGCAATCTAGTCCTTATGTAACTTTATGCCTTGTATTATTAGATTGGCCATCTATTTTGATTGAATTATACCAAATAATTACCAGATTTTTTCTTCAGTCTGTGTTGCACAGACAGCTCAAGGGATAAGATTGAACTGGAAAAGCATTGAAGATAAATTATTGGCTATAGTTTTTTCCTGTCCATGAAGCAATCTGATTAACTGTGTAGATCCTTTTTACTTTTGTGATCACTGCTTTAGTCCCAGAGCAGATGCTGTAAATGCAACACAAACACCTACAGAAGGTCTACAGTTAACAGACATGCCTGAAAACGTCAGTGTAATGCAAAGAGGTGTTAAGCTGCAGGCGCTGGAACTGAGTATTACAGCTGCCTGGTTGCATTGCCTTTTAAAACATGGCATGGCAAAGGATGCCATGCACCATCTTTTTTTTTTTTTTTTTAGCATCCTGAGTAATGTTGACAAACAACGTGTCTTGATTTGGGTTTCCCTAGATGCTGACCTACGACAAGAAGTACAACTAGTATATGTGGAAGGTGATTCCAAGAGGCACCAGTAGGGGGAGGCAAAAGTGAGACAGGGAAGGGAAGGAAGAAAACATAGACTGTAATAATGAGACGGTTAGTGCTGCGAGCCCCTGGGATCAATTCCTCTACGAAGCTCTGGTGGGCTTTGCAGACTATCCCTCAGAGTTTTCCCACCCAAGATCTGAGGATGCTGAGATATTTCTCCACTAACTCCTGCTGTCAATCAATGAAGGCTGTATCTAGTCATATGATAGTAAACACCTGGCCAAGACTGCTTGGGTGACCAGAAAAATCTTTAGGCAGACAGTTGCATCTGTTTGCCATTAAATGCCATTGGTGAGTACAGAGCTCAGAAGTGAGAGCTCAGGACTTAAGAATGAAGCACTAATTATACTTGCTACACGAAGATAATGTTAGGCAATTCATTTCATTCAATTTCATTTTCATTTTCTACACCTCAAACTTTACTAAACACCTACCTAGCTCCTCTGCCTGAAGAACTGGGTTGGGTGCTGGGACATGCAAAAATGAAGAAACATTACCTGTGTATAAAGATTCCCAATTTTTAACAGTCCAGAATTCACCTAAAATGGTTGCTTATGGTTTCTCCAGGGTTCTGCCACATGGTCTGAATTCGTCTGAAGCAAGTAAGTGGTAGGTGGTGTTTCAGGTGCCATCAGCATGACAGATCGCTGATATTCCCTCTTGATTCAAGGATAAAGAGCTATGTGCCATTCCTTATATTCACTGCTACTGTTCCCACTGAATATCACATTACATTCTATCATTCCCTTCTTTTTCTTTTCTTCTTTTTTTTGAAGTGCACTCAGGAAAATATTTTCTCTTTAACTCTAAACTCCTATGCAATTATTGCCCCCTTGTTGACATTTCATGGTTACATCCATATACCCAAAAGAATAGTTACAAAAATATAATGTGAAAAAAGAGAAACATCATCATTTTAATTGGTGAGAATTAATCAAAGCATAAAACCACTACATATTAACCTCAATGAACTATTTCAGACTCTCACCTCCAAAGTTGATATAAAGGTAAGCTGAGCACTCCTGTGAGGGCTATTCATATCCATTAATTGTTACAATACAAGATACATTGGGTCTCAGCTGGTTGCCATTTCTTCTGTATTTGAAATGTGCTTCTCAGCAGAGATAGATCGGAGGACACCATTGGGACTCATTTGAGTCTGACTTTCACATTAATTTTGCTGTGCTGTGAAGAGCAAAGACAAAATCAATGTCCATCGGTGATTATTCAAGGCAAAATATCTAGTGATTGAATACCAATGGCAGCACCAGGCATAAAATTTACTTAAGGTTTGTTGAGTTGACAGCCATTTATTCCAGCCCTGCTTCATTTTCCTTGTTGTACTTATTTTTTGGGGAAATAAAACAATTACAAGGAAAAATAAATTCTACTTACTGACTCAATTTGCCAGAAACGGGATCTATTTCAAAATGGTAGAGAGGAATGAAAGAGGTAGAATTTTATAAACCTAGCTAAGAATAATATCTTTCCAATTGCCAGAAGGAAAATATTTTATAGTGCATATTGACACAAAACCACGTGGCTCAATTAAATTTTCATAATGAAGGCTCTTTGCGACTCACGGCTGAACTAGAAAAAAAGAAAATCCTGGAGCTATATCTTGTGTCCTGAGTAAATATTCTTAAAACGAACAGATGCTCATGGCAAAAGAGTACTAATACACCTGGTTTTAAAAGTTTCTTTGTTTCAACTGTTACTATGATAAAATTCAAGTATGCTCTCAATGATGTGTTTTAAAGAAATTGTAAGTAAAAAACTAAAGAGCAATAGCAAGAAAATGTTAAAACCGTCTTCATTTTATCATGCCTGAGGCTCCATGTAGCAGCATCTAACTTTTTCGTTAAATAACATTAGAAGAGGTGGGATGGAAGGAGAGTCTCCAATCAGTCAGTGGTTGGACCATAAGTATATTGACAGATATTCTCTCCCATCAAATTAAGTGAGGTGGTTGTGCTAGGTAGACTCACGCACCATTTTTGTTCTTTCCATTTGAATTACTGTCTACAGTGCAACGTTGTTGAGCAGAAAGGAAAGGAAAAAATATGTAAAGTGCTGGGCTTTTCTTTGTCTTTCTGACAGCAATCAGTTTGGGTTGTCTATTTCTTCATTAACTATTTTGTCGCGGTGTAGTCACTCCTCATCATCATATACAAGAATGATTTTCCAAGGAAAATTATTTTTTACTCTGCTGTGTTTTGTAATTTCACAAGAGAACTTTAGAATATAGCCCTGAGGGCTGTTCACTCCTTGTTTGTTCAGATGACTGCTTCCAGGAGGGCAAGGGCAATGTGCTGAATCAGGTAAAGCCTCATCCTTTCCACATTCCTTTCAAGAGTCCTAGATTTGACTTGATCTCTACATTGGATGAGGAAGGGCTAATGATGAAATAAAATGGATGATCCTACGGCCATGGAAGGACATCTGATGTTTGGGGACTCTGGCTTAACTCAAGATCAACCCATACATGTCTTATATTGGATAATGTGGCCATTATCCCTCCAGAGCATAAGACACATGGGGCTATAGAACCTGGAGTAAGAATTCAGCACTGGATGATGGAAAGGGTCCAGATTGCCAGGCGGGTGTATGGTCCAGCCAATAGGCACAGGGAGGTGTAGGCATCATTTTTGGCTCAGTGGATGTTGAGATGAATGACGTCATTCTCTCTCCTCAAGTAATTCACAATATTGTTAGGGAAGCAGGGAGAGGCTAAAAAACTACAGTTTGGAATATGTGCTTTAATAAAGAGAAGAGAAATAAATTCTTAGCTTTCACAAAGGAGATGAAACTGGGGAGGAATTTGAAGATATAGCAGGAAATGGTGGACTCATTTCCTATGGCTGCATTTAAGAACAGACCTCCAGCTTCTGTATCCTCCTGAGAGAAGATCAGTACCCAAGGACTAAAGTTGTTACCTAGAAAATTCCTCTCTTGGGTATGGGTAAGGGTTTAAAGATGTGAGATGAACAATCTATACCCTGATAAGAAGTTTTCTTTTACATGTGATCAACTCAATATATTTGCTTTGCAGTAAATATGTTCTTGCCCTCTATGCTTTATTGCCAATTAGGGCATAGGCCAACTTTATTTTTACTATTTGATTTTCATGCTTGGCACGGTACCTGGAAAAGGGTAGGCTCCACAAACGTGTTCACTGCATAAATAAGAGGTGGGAGAAGGCAGCCTTTGTCTGGAAATTCACATCTCAGTTTCATTACCAATTATCCTCATAACCTTGCCAATTGACTTCAGCAGCATCAGTTTTCATTATGTGTAGAATGAGAGGTGGAACTATTTGTACATCAAGTGGGATCAATAAAAATATTTGGCATTAGTTTTGCCTGTTCTTGGAGTTCAATATAAATGGAATCTCAATATGTCTATTTTATATGGGACATATTAAACCCCCTTCATTCCCCCCCGCCACAATGTCTATTTCCTTTTTAGATTTGTCCTTATAAAATTTGAATAAATGAACTCCCTATTAAACAGGTGGACATTATTACTTTTCACTCAGAAGATATATTTTAAAAGAGAAACATATGTAGTTCTTTGTTTCTGACTTCTCTGAAAACAAAGTTTTTAAGATTTATTTGTGTTGCTGTGTGTATCAATAGTTTGCTAGTTTTTTTTTTTTTTTTTTTTTTTTTTCCGAGACAGAGTCTTGCTCTGTTGCCCAGGCTGGAGTGCAGTGGCGTGCTCTCGGCTCACTGCAAGCTCCGCTTCCCAGGTTCACACCATTCTCCTGCCTCAGCCTCCTGAGTAGCTGGGACTACAGGCGCCCACCACCACGCCCAGCTAATTTTTGTGTTTTTTTTAGTAGAGACAGGGTTTCGCCATGTTAGCCAGGGTGGTCTCGAACTCCTGACCTCGTGATCCGCCCGCCTCGGCCTCCCAAAGTGCTGGGATTACAGGTGTGAGCCACTGTGCCCGGCTGTTTGCTAGTTTTTAAAATTGCAGAATAGTGTTCCATTATATCAAAAAACATAGTGGCCTGGCAAGGTGACTCATGCCTATAATCCCAGCACTTTGGTAAGCCAAGGTGGGAGGATCGCTTGAGCCCAGGAGTTTGAGACCAGCCTGGGCAACATAGTGAGACCTCGTCTCTACCAAACAAACAAGCAAATAAACAACAGCAACAAAAAAATCCCACCACAGTATATCAATTTGTAAGAATATACCATTCTCCTGTTGATGACCATTTGGATTGTCTCTATATGTTAGCTATTAGGAGTATTAGGAGTAAAGCTATTCTGAATATTTTTGTACAAGTCTTTTAAAGTGTATCCTCCCTTACTCCTCACATACTTACTGTACGGCTCCTAATAATTGAGTCTATTTTATATGGGACATATTAAACCCCTCTCCATTCCCCCCCCCCACAATGTCTATTTCCTTTTTAGCTTTGTCCATATAAAATTTGAATAAATGAACTCCCTATTAAACAGGTGGACATTATTACTTTTCACTCAGAAGATATATTTTAAAAGAGAAACATTGCAGGTGTTCAGCAAAGATAAGCTCTTTCCAGTGGTAGATTCCATCGAGTTCTCATCAGATAGCTCCATCTTCTTGTCACTGTTGCCAGTTATTGATGGTTCAGCATCCGACCTTCTTGGAAGTGCCAAAAGTAGGCTCCCTGGCTGGTGTCTGACAGTGACATGCAAATTGATGTTAAAGTTTCTGATACTAGAAACTCTTACAGTTTCTTTGTTAGGGTCTTACTATGGAATAGAAAAACTATGTCACAGAAAATGGCCTCTGTTCATGTACTTCTGGACCAGTCCAAGCATGAAATACAATTGCTCCTCCAATAGCTATCAAAGAAAGAGGGAACTGAAACGTAAACTATTGGCTAGAATTCAAATGGCTTTACAGTAGGCTGCTGTCTGAAATGCCGATGGGTAGAAGAGGGCAGATAATTGGGATTTAAAAATTAAGGTGTCTGAAAACCAGAATAATCGTTCTTGATTAACAATATTCCCTAGTTCTTGATATTTTTTTTTCTTGAAGTAATTCTTTAATGTCTTCTACATAAGAAACTCATCCACATACTTGGCTGCAAAGAAGTTGATTGGAGCAAAGAGTAGAGTGGAAGTGCTAAGTGCTTTATGCATAGAAGTGTTTAGCACATAAATCAACATACCTCCCATACCACACACAGAAAATCATACATAAGCAGCGGTCCCCAACAGTTTTGGCACCAGGGACCGGTTTTGTGAAATTTTTCCACGGATGGGGCGGGGGTGGTGGGGATGGTTGCAGGATGAAACTGTTCCCCCTCAGATCATCAGGCATTAGATTCTTGTGAGGATTACACAACCTAGATCTCTTGCTTGTGCAGTTCACAATGGGGTTAGCACTACTATGAGAATCTAATGCAGCAGCTGATCTGACAGGAGTTCAGGTGGTAATGCTCTTTTGCCTTTTGCTCCCCTTCTGCTGTGTGGTCTGGTTCCTAACAGGCCACAGATTAGTACTGGTCTGCAGCCCGGGAATTGGGAACCCCTGTACATAAGTGTAACATTTTCTCTCTCTTTGTCCTTAGATGTGCAAAGTCGAAGAAAATCATGTGGGAAAACCCTTATAGTTGACTCTCACTAGTGTGTTTAGATAGGGGCCTGTCTTCTCACTAACGTACGGGCTCCTGCAAAGCAGGAACTTGAGCATAGTAGGCCCAGAAGGAATAGTGGTATAATGATAGTGTTTGTATGGATATTATTATTTTCATTCTCTTCATCACCCCCCATTACCTATACCCACATCTTTTCAAAGCTGTAGAAGCAGAACAGTCACCATCTGTGAAATGAATAAGCTCCAAGCAGAGACCTGTAATGCCAAGACAAACTTCCTAGTCTCCACTTAGAAAAACAGAAAATGGCATTGTTAATTGGGGAACGGATATCTGGAGAGTTGTGCCAATATTCTCTTATCTAACTGGCCTTTCAAAATTGAATGCATTCGCTGGAACTGCTGGATCAGATACTGTCACTCTTCACATTCTGGGGGAGATAATTTCAGGACTTTTCAGTCAGTTTCTGTTCAGCTCAGATTATATCAAATTTGAAAGAAGGTGAAACTAACCACGTTAGTGTCATTTCCACTTCATGGGAGATATGTGAACCCCATTATGACAATCTCCTTTATGTTTCATCTAGAAATTTTCATCAGACTTGGTGCAGAGTTAATCAGCTCGTAGACACAACAGTTAGTTACCGCAAGTCTCTAAGATGAAACATGCTATAAAAATGTATAATGGTAATAATTAGAATCATAATATTAATGATTGCAAAATTAACATTTTGACCTTCATCTTCTTCCACAGGTAAAAACATCAAAATCTGAGCAACATCCCTGAAGATATAGCTGAAAAAAGCTTTTCTACACCTTGTCCTTCTTAAAAGCAATTCATTTCCACATAAGAAAGTATTATTAGACTTCACAATAGTTTTGAAATATAATATTAATTTGCAAGGTTATTATGGCCAATAGCTCAAAATAACTCTTGAAACTTACTAATGACATCATCCTGTTTATTATTCCATGGAGCTAGGTGGCAAATGGTAGGCATTTCATTTTAGTGCTCTTGATGAATAAATGAACAAACAATTATATTTTTTGTTGAGTGTTCTTTATCTACTGGTATTTAAAAATATTTTAGTATACTTATTGTAGCAAATTTGGAATATAAATATTAAAACATGTTACCAAAGATAAATAATCATACCTAATCCCACTATGTGGAAGAAACCATTTGTGACATGACATGATGGATCATTTACTTTTAGTATTTTTTCTGTGTGTAATAAAAGTAATAATATGCAAATGCAATGCAATTTACACATATGAGGAGTCTTTAATTTATAAACAAATTCATATAAAATTATTTACATTTAAATTTTATTTTATTTTATCTATTTTTGAGACAGAGTCTTGCTCTGTTGCCCAGGCTGGAGTGCAATGGTGTGATCATTAGTCACTGCAGCCTCCGACTCCTGGGCTTAAGGGATTCTTTCACCTCAGCCTCCTGAGTAGCTCAGACTACAGGCACGTGCCACCATGCCTAGCTAATTAAAAAAAAGAATTTTGTAGAGACAGGGTCCCACTATCCTTCCCAAGCTGGTCTCAAACTCCTGGGCTCAAGTGACCTTCCCACCTTGGCCTCCAAAGTGCTGGGATGACAGGTGTGAGCCACCGTGCCTGGTCCATAATTTTTTAAATGTTAGGCATTTCTTAGGTAAGATGATCTTGGAAAATAAAAATAAATTAAAAAGTCAAAAAAGTAACAATAAAGGTAGCTGTGATTATATTCAGTGTGTAATTTTGTATATTAATCCATTTTCAGTTTTTAATTGAGCTCTTTGGATCGTAAGGACTTGAAACTAATTCACTCAAAGGAAACTAGTTCACTCAAAGGAAACAAACCAGCCCACAAAAAACAAGCAACAATGGAGGATGTGATTCTTGAATGGATTTGGAACTGAGAGCTGTTTGGAGTTGAGGCAGCTCTGGTCAGTTTCTTTCTCTCCTTTTTGACTTTGTTTTACCTCCTTCCTTCCAGGAGTCTTTTCTTTTCTCTTTTCTTCTTCAGGCAAAGTTTCTGTCTGTCTCCAGGCTGGAGTGAAGTGGTGCAATCACAGCTCACTGCAGCCTCGACCTCCTGGGCTCAAATGATCCTCCTGCCTCAGCCTCCTGAATATCTGGGACTATAGGCATGCAGCACCACCCTCAGCTAATGAATCTTTTGTCTTCACCTTAACACTTGGCTCATACTTGCTAGAATATCTAGAAAAAGCTCCATAAAAAGCAAGTCTGATTGGCGTGATTATTTACCATTTCCCTTATTCAGTAAGAGAGAGACCACTTGTGCTTTACTGCTTCACCCACTTGATGGTCATGGCCCCTCTTGGGTCAGTGTCCCTCTCTAGTTAAATCAGTGGCTGCACAGGTACAACGACCTGATATGGCTTCACTAAGTGGGTATTTTTGGTTAAGGCACTTACTACTAAAAGCACAAGCTGAAGGGACTTGTCCAGTATATGCCATATATTGTTATCACAAACTCTTTATTAACATTCATTAATTTATCAGACATTTATTGAGTGTCCACTATACACCAACACTGCTCTTGGTGTTGAGGATACAGCAATAAAAAAGCAGACAAAAAATCCCTCTTTTCATGGGACTGATATTCTACTGGGCAGAGGCAAACAGTAAACAGAATAAATAAATACATTACATAGAATGTTCGATGGTAGTGAGTGCTAAGGAGGAAAATAAAATAGAGAAAGACATTCTGAAGAAAAAAGTGAGGAGAGAGAGTACCTATGGTGAGGGATGTGGGCTGAATGGGAAAACTTGTTGCGCTTTTAGGTTGGCCAGGGAAATGCTCTATGAGATGAAATTTGATTTAGAACTTGAAGAGGGTAAAGGAGTAAGCCACACAGTTTAAATTATATAATTTACATTGCTTTTGTTAAATAATCATTGTAGCAATTGTAACTGCCTGATGGGTTCTTCCTGCCCTCTGCACAAATAAAGACCAGAGCATAGCAGTGAAGAAAGAGTTAACTGCATGGGAGGCTGGCCACACCACGCAGGAGATAGAATTGTTACTCAAATCAATCTCCCTGAAGGCTTGGAGGTTAGAGGTTTTTTTTGTTTTTTTGTTTGTTTGTTGTTTTCTGTTTTTTTTTTTTTTTTTTTTTTTTTTTAAGATAATTTGGTAGGCTGGGGGCTAGGGTAGGCAGCGTGCTAATTGGTAGGGTCAAAGATGAAATCATAGGGAATCAAAACTGTCCTCTTGTGCTGAGTCGGTTCCTGGGTGGGGGCCACAGAACTGGTTGTGGGTCCAGGTGGGGCTATCCAGTTGTCAGAAATGCAAAAACCTGAAAGGATATCTGGAAAGGCCAATCGTAGTTTTTACAATAGTGATGTTATCTCCAAGAGTAATTGGGAAAGTTGCAAATCTTATGACCTCTGGAATAACGAGTGGTAATTATTTAGAATTCAGACCCCTCTCATCCTTTTAACTTGGCGGCCTTTCATTAGTTTTACAAGGGCAGTTTAGTTTTGGGGAAGGGCTATTGTCATTTAAATTATAAACTAAATTTCTCCCAAAGCTGGCTTGGCCCATGCCTAGGAATGGGCAAAGACAGCCAGCCTGTAAGGCTAGAAGCAAGATGGAGTCAGTCATGTCAGATATCTCTTACTGTTGTAATTTTGCAAAGGTGGTTTCACAATTATTAAAATTGTGTGCCAGGGACAATTCTAAGCATTTTGTCCCTATTTCTCAATACTTAGACCATCTACTTGAGTTAGTTACTGTTATTCTTCCCATTTCACAGATGAGAAACTGAAGCACAAAGTGATTTGGCAGCTTGCTGATGGGTTGTAAATTAGTAAACAGAAGAGCTTGGATTCAACAGTCAGACTCTGGAGCCCTGCTCTCAAATGATACTGCTGCTTTTTGAATGACACACTAATTTTAAAAAGTCAAACCCACAACTCTACAAAGAGGAAAGATAACTGCAACACAAATTCCCTATTCAGAGAAGTAAATAATAATGCATTTTGATTAATATTCTGCCTAGATGCTTCTCTATGTCCCTTGGGGCACATCAGTGATTATGCACATTTCCCTTAAGTAAAACAGGGCTATATATTATATATACGCTATGCTGTGAACTGCCTTTCCACTAAAAAAATATGTCATGGACATATTCCCAAGTCAATAAATATAGATCTATGCCATTATTTTTATTGGATTTCTAATATTTCATCTTATTCCATTGCTTATTCTATTTCATCATCTTCCATTGCTATGTAGTTAGGCAGCTTTTCAATGGTTGAACATTTTAAGTCTTTCACAATATTTAGTTATGGAAATCAGTCTGTGCTCATATCTACCTTCTCGCTCCCTCTTGCCGCTCCTAACAGCTGGTGTGGATTACTAGAAGATCAAAACCGCCCTTCAGCAGTTAGTACCCATTGTAAAGATGACTAGAACGAAAAGACACAGCTATCATAGGCTCCTACAGGATGGAAGATACTTATGACTTTCATAACCAGTGGTTCAGGGATATGTTCACTCAGGGTATAGAAGTAGACATTTCCTTAATGTTCCATTTGTAGAATATTAATCCTAGTTATGGGGTTTGGGTAAGTCAATTTGTGGTAAGATATTTAAACAGGATCAAGCATCACCTCCTCTGGGAAGCATTCCAAGCTCTTCTTGTTAGGGTAGATGTCTTGTCTCTGTGCTCCTGTGGTGCTCTATCCCTATTCCCACATTTACAATACTTTATTTTGGTGATTGGTTCACTTGCCTGTTTTTTTCCAGTAAATGATAAGATCTTTACATAAATAGAATGCTTTCTTAATTTCTGTGTCTCCAACACAAAATTCACTATCACTGGCATCTAATGTACAGCTTTAAAATGTTTTTGAAGAAGAGAAAGGAATACATTAAGGGGATAAAGAGAAGTTTAGTGACCAAAGAAGGGCAATGGATAGAAGTTGAAGGATGGAGGAAGGAATAAAAATCAAGGAGAAGAAAGAAGAAAAGCTGCAAGGTAAGACAAGTGAACAAAAATATTGATACTGTCAAATAAACAATATTGCTTCTGATAATGAGCAATAGTAAATACTAATATAATTTGAGAAGAATAAAATATTTATGCTGGGCATAATAAATTCATTTATTCAATGACAATATCTGGAAAAGATCTACTCTGTATATTTTACTAGATTCTATAGAAGAGCTATTGTCTCTGGCTTGAAATGCTTTATAGTCAATTTTGAATTACTGTGGTTATATTGGATTCATTTAAAGTATTTTATTGAGGGTCTACTCTGTGCATGGCACTCTATCAGGTAATGGACATTCAAGCTCTGCTCTCATGAAATATGTGTGGAATAGGACATTCAGAGGGTAGTGTGATAAGCACAATTATGGAAACATGTTTATTGTGCAAACCTGTATACTTTGCAAGAATCTCAGAGAAGAGAAGAGACTTCTAAAGGAGGTGGCACCTTGGCAGGGTGATGATAGGAGAGTATGGAGAGAGAAAAGCAGATGAGCCTGAATTGGTAAGCATATGCCAGATCATAGAAAGCTTCGTGTACCAAGCGTGAGCAAGAAAAATTTGACAGAGCAGCTACTTCTTCTTTACGCCAAATGGCTATAGTCTTTGCGGCAAGAGAATCTTAAAGTAAAAAGAACAGAAATGCCCAACCCTTGCATCTTTGGGCTTCTTTGAATAAGGTTTACAAATTTTAACGGTCTTTCTGAAATCAAGACTGGTTGAGACAAGCTGGACCTTAGGGGAAAATTTAATGAAATCACTAACTTTTAGGGCTGAAGGAGTCTGTAGGAGGCCCACTCCAACTCCCTTACAAGACTCTTTCCTAGAAAAGACCAGAGAATGGCCTCTTCTTGCACAGGTAGCTCAGCTGCTCCTGAGAGTACATCTCAATACAAGATATTTTTAGAATTTAGAAAGGTCTATAGGTTGAGCCAAAATCTTGTTCCATCTGATGTCATACTCACTGGCCTTAGTTATTTCTTCTTGAATGCCACAGATTTTAACATATTTTATTTTCTAGGATAGATATCGCTACATCCTTTAGTCATTATGGCATTCTATGATTTTACTTCCTCCTTCTACCACCTTTCTATGATCTTATTTATTACCTTTCTCCAATTGTGTCCTCTTTTGGTGATACGCCTTTTAAATTGTGCAATCCAGAAATGAAGTCCAAGATGAAAATTCTCACTATTGTTGGTGTAAAAATGATATACTCATCTACAACCTTCTGGAATTAAGGAAGAAAAACAAAACGCCACTACATTTGCATGTTGAATATAGATCTAAGGAGAGAGGAACTTTTCAGAGGCGATTTTCTGTGCAATATTAGCATTTATTCAATTCTGACCTTTGAGTTATGGGCAATGAGAGGCAGCTTTTATGTTTCCCTTCCCTAATGCTGATTTTCCAGGCATGAAGATGCCAGCAGGGGCCGGTAAATAACCCAGCCAAGCTTTTCTGCCATTCCCTTCACTCTCCCTGACATCTCGTGAAACACTCTCTCGTTTGATCAATACTTTCTCACCAAGTAAGGGAGAAGCCTACAGAGCCTGCCTCAGCAAGACTTCCCAGAGCCTCCAAATGAATATTGAGTGGCTCCCTACAAGCTCACAAATCTGGTGAGATGTAACATGAGTCAAAAAGTTCTGAGATGCTTAATGGCAAAAGAAAAAAGAAGGATCTTAACAAGAGTTTGGGGCAGCTTTCCTTCGGGGCCACATTTTAAAATTGCATCCTGGTGGGACAAACTCATAACAAACAGGAAGGATAGTGTTTCTGGAAGAACCATGTTCAAGTCCCTGAGTTAGTGTGGAGGTAGGGGAGTTGGAGAAACAGAAGGCTGGTGACTTGAATAGAGAGGGCAGGGAGCAGAGTGGCAAGAGGAGAGCAAGAAGGGGAACCTTCTGATAGTTACATAAGCATCAACATGGATATTCATTCATTTTTGATACAAACAGCGGGTACAGTGTCTTTTGGGGGACACACAGAGATTGCAAAGATAGTTTTGTCTTTTCCTCTCTGTAGTCCACGGAGTTTAGCTAGGGATAGGAGGCCCCCAAACCATCACAGTGGCTGCCAACTTAGAAAAATTAATTTTTCTTGCAAGTCAGATTGCCACTTTTCCATCCCCTGGCTGCAGCAGGAACCACGGGAGCCATCCTGTGAATCATCTCCAAATAAAACTGTGAAAGACAGCAGGACATGGACTTTACACCATGTTAGAGTCAGGTGCCAAGTGGTTTCCTCTGGGAATCACACCACTATGTTGCCTGCTAGGTTTGCATCAAGAAGGCTGGGTATTAAGTGCAGAGGGAGAGGACACAGAAGTCGTGAAAATGAACATTGCGGAATTATGATCTCACTTCAACTAAATTCCCTTGGACTCAGTATGTGTAAGAAACTGAATTTTAGGCCATTTATGTCTTCAGTTTGGCCACCACTATCCCCAGGGCCTTTCATATGAAAAATGTATTTGGATTGATCTGTGTTTATCTTCTTGATCTTATTTCTATTTCCTTTACCTTGTCTTAATTACTGTCAAGTATAGAGGTTTCTATTTCTTCTTTTATTTCACACTTAAGCCCTGAGCCAGATTTACTCTCGTTATAGTGATTAATGATAATTATTTTTAGTTTTTATTTTTTGAATTTCATGTATAGATTGTCGTTTTAATCCTTAAAAATCTTTGCAAGGTAAGTGCCTTAACTGCATTTTAAAGATAAGGAAGCTGGGGACCGGGCACGGTGGCTCACACCTGTAATCCCAGCACTTTGGGAGGCCGAGGTGGGTGGACCACCTGATGTCAGGAGTTCGAGACCAGCCAGACCAACGTGGAGAAACCCCGTCTCTACTAAAAATACAAAATTAGCCGGGCGTGGTGGTGGCGCATGCCTGTAATCCCAGCTACTTGGGAGGCTGAGGCAAGAGAATCGCTTGAACCCAGGAGGCGGAGGTTGCAGTGAGCCGAGATGGTGCCACTGCACTCCAGCCTGGGCAACAAGAGTGAACCTCTGTCTCAAAAAAAAAAAAAAAAAAAAAAAAAAAAATATATATATATATATATATATATATATATATGTATATGGAAGCTGAATTGTGGCTAATTTAAGTGGTAGGAAGAGACTTGCTAGCATTAGAGTCATGAACTGGGAACCACCTGCCTAGATTCAACCCCAGCTCTACCATTTATTTGTGGTGTGACCATAAGCTAGTTATTTAGTAATCTCTTTGAGTCTCATTTTCCTTATCCCTAAAATGAAGGTGGCAATAAGACTTAACTGACAGAGCTGATATAAATATTTGATGAGTAACTAGGTATAAAGGACTTAGTGCAGTGTCTGGTATGCAGTAAGTACTAACCGCTAGTTGTTGTTAAAAACCAGGTGTGAATTTCAGTTGCAGAACTTACTAGCTTTGCATACTTGGGCAAGTTCATTAACATTATTAAATTCATATGTTGGCTGGGCATTATGGCTCATGCTTGTAATCCCAGGGACTTTGGGAGGCTGAAGTAAAAGGATCGCTAGAACCCAGGAGTTTGAGACCAGCCTGGGCAATATAATGAGACCCCATCTCTACCAAAATAATAATAATAATAATAATAATAATAATAATAATAATAACAATAATTAGCAAGATGTGATGGTGCATGTCTGCGGTCCAAGCTACTTGGGAGGCAGAGGTGGGAGGATCACTTGAACCCAGGAGGTCAAGGCTGTGGTGAGCCGTGATCACACCACTGCACTACAGCTGGGGTGACAGAGTGAGACCCTGTCTCAAAAATAACTAACTAACTAAATAAATAAATAAATCTATATCTTTCGTATTCTTTCTACCAGGCAATCTACCAAAGCATTATTGTGATGATTAAAGGAGACTATCTTTGGTGGGTATGTTGTATTTTGCATCATACCTGGCCTAAATGAGCATTGTATGAGATGAAGTCAGGAAGGAAAATGTTGTGCATGGTTTTATAAATCTGAGTAAAGTTTTGGATTTTATTTTAAACATACTAGGCAAGCACTGGAGGGTTTTAAGGCGAGAAGTACTGTGAAATGTTTTCAATTTTAAAATGATCTCTTGGGATACTTTAATGGAGAGGTTGTTATTGGGAGGTGAAATGGAACAGCCAGAAGGCTATTTCAGACATCGGTCGAAAAGTGTGGTGCCCAGGACTACAGAAGACATAGAGGCTGTGAGAAGTGTTCCGATTTAGAATGTATTTTTGAAGCAACATTGAACACATTTGCTCATAGATTGGGTGTGGGAAGTGAAGAAAGGTTAGAAGCTGGTGCTAACTCCTGGAGGATGATGGCGCCATTTACTGGGAAAGACAAGAAGGGAGAGGCTGAGGGGGTGACATCAGGACATCTGATGAGGCATTTTAAGTTTGAGGTACTTTGCTTGATATGAGATGCTACCTGATTAATAAATAAGTGTTTGATATGCTCCATCGGATTTATTTATGTCACAATCACCACTCCCTCATACCCCTCAGAAAGTTGAGGAGCTTTACATTGATATTAACATTGACAGTGCTTCAGCTGAACTAGTAATAAGAGATCAATGTCCATGGAAGGAGGAAGACAGCAAGCACTCTAACAATAAAGTTAATAGAGCTGTGATAAAATATGGGTTTACATTTCAGCTATTCATAAAGAAATATGTGAGCATTCACAACATCCAAGCATCTGAAAGTCAGATGCCTAGAAACCATTTGCATAAGGAAGAGTATGATTTTTCCTCTCAAGAAACTGAAATAAGTAGCATAATTAACAATGTTTGTACCAAGCAAATCACAAGCAAATGTCACATGGCCATGAATTTTAACCATCTTATCTTAAATGAGGATAATCACATTGAAGCACAGCCTCTCAATGTACATGAGAGGGATCACAGTGGTGTTTTTACCATCTTTAAGTCATTGGTAGTTAGCATGGCTCTGGCAAAGAGCTTGTGCTTTAAAACATTGCATATAGAATGGAAGAGGGAGGAGAAGAGGAAAGAGGTAGTGGCAGGAGCTAAGCCATAATCTATGCTCCTCTCCCCATGATACCCATCTTGAGGGTACAATAAAGTCTATCAAAACTCTCCAAAAAAGTGGCATCATAAGAATTCACAGGCTGGGCATGGTGGCTCACGCCTGTAATCCCAGCACTTTGGGAGGCCGAGGTGGGCGGATCACGAGGTCAGGAGATCGAGACCATCCTGGCTAACATGGTGAAACCCCGTCTCTACTAAACAAAATACAAAAAATTAGCCGGGCGTGGTGGCTGGCGCCTGTAGTCCCAGCTACTCGGGAGGCTGAGGCAGGAGAATGGCGTGAACCCAGGAGGCGGAGCTTGCAGTGAGCCGAGATTGCGCCACTGCACTCCAGTCTGGGCGACAGAGAGAGACTCCGTCTCAAAAAAAAAAAAAAAAAAAAAAAAAAAAATTCACATGGGAACCAAAGATTAGTGTCATACCCAGGGTGCTACAAGAGTGAGTGTGATAGCAAAAGCTACATATTAGCCTAATGCTTGATATTTGGAAGATCATAACAGATACAGTTTGTTTGTCCTCTCCAAATCTCATGTTCAAATGTAATCCCCGGTGTTGGAGCAGGGGCCTGATAGGAGGTAATTGAATCTTGCGGGTGGATCCTTCATGAATGGCTTAGCACTATCCCCTTGGTGATAAGTGAGTAGTTAGTTAATGTGAGATCTGGTTGTTTAAAAGAATATGGAACCACCCTTTTCACTCCCTTGCTCCCTATATTACCACGTGGCATGCCTGCTCCCTCTTCACTTTTTGCCATGAGTAAAAGCTCCTCTTCTTGTGAGGCCTCATGAGAAGCCAAGAAAATGCCAACCCCACCCCATGCTTGCTTTATAGCCTGCAGAACCATGAGCCAGTCTCATGTATTTACCCAGTCTCAGGTAATTCTTTAAAATAAGTTACCCAGTCTCAGGTATTTCTTTATAGGAACACAAAAACAGACTAACATACTGATATGGTTAGGCTTTATCTCCCCACCCAAATCTAATCTTGAATTGTAATTCCCAAAATCCCCATGTGTCGAGGGAGAGACCAGGCGGAGGTAATTGAACCATGGGGGCGGTTTCTCCCATACTGTTCTCGTGATAGCGAGTGAAGTATCACGAGATCTGATGGTTTTATAAGGGGCTGTTCCCCGCTTTGCTCGGCGCTTCTCCTTCCTGCCACCTTGTGACGAAGATGCTTTGCTTCCTCTTCACCTTCCATCACGATTGTAAGTTTCCTGAGTTCTCCCCAGCCATGCTGAACTGTGAGTCAATTAAACCTCTTTCCTTTATGAATTACCCATTCTCAGGAAGTTCTTTATAGCAGTATGAAAACAGACTAATACACACATATACTGAAACATAGGAAATTCCGCAGTGTTATGGGTTGAATTGTATTCCCCCAAATTTGTATGTTGGAGTCCTATAATGCCCAGTGCTACGGAATGTGACCTTATTTGGAGATAGGGTATTTACAGAGCTAATCAAGTTAGAATGAGGTCATTATAGTGGACCCTAATCCAATATGGCTGACAGGTGTATTAAAAGAGAACAGAGACACACATAGAGGGAAGATGATTTGAGGAAACATACGGAGAAGACAGCTATTCACAAGCCAAGGAGAGAGACTTGAAAAAGATCCTTCCTTCTGAGTCCTCAGAAAGAATCAACACTGCTGACACCTGATTTCAAACTTCTAGCCTCCAGAGCTGTGAGCTGTTTAAGCTCTCTATTCTGGGGTGCTTTTTTATGGCAGCCCTAGCAAACTAATACACTCAGGCCATGGAATCCAGGTTTCAACAATTGTATTTAGATCTCAAGAGCCAGATAGTTTTCTGAGTGGCATTTAGCTATGTATAGCCTAGCACA
The DNA here is from genome assembly GCF_000001405.40 of Homo sapiens. Classification (NCBI taxonomy): domain Eukaryota; kingdom Metazoa; phylum Chordata; class Mammalia; order Primates; family Hominidae; genus Homo; species Homo sapiens. The sequence goes on from NC_000016.10 coordinate 59,210,265, forward strand.
GTGCTTCTCAAACCCTGTGAGAGTCACCTGCAGAGCTCATTAAACCAGAGAATCCCAGGTCCCTGCCACTGGAGATTCCAATTCAGCAGCTATTGGTGGTGCCCCAAAATTAGCATTCCTAGCGAGTCTCAGGTGCCGCTGACACTGCCAAAGTGCAGACTGCACTTTGAGGAGCACTGTTTTAGCACGATACCAGGACCTAATAGATGCTCAATAAAAATCAAACATGATGATGGATATTCCAATTACCCTGAATTGATCATACACATTGTATGTTTCTATCAAAATATCTCATGTACCACATAAATATGTACAACTATCATGTATCTATAAAAATTAAAAAAAAACCATGAGTTAATTTAGGAACTCTGCTTAAGCTGTGAATTAAATAGACAAGTGATCGCTCTTGTCATTCAATGATTCTTAATGGAGGGTATGCATAAGATTTACAGAATTTAAATTGTGGAGAAGTGTGTTTAGAATATGTGTATTTTGATTTAGACTATGTCAAAGACAGCAGCTCCAAGCAAGGCATCATTTGAAGCAGAGTGCTTTAACAAACTTATTCTGATGTTGAGGAGGAAAGTGTTTTGAAGGATAGGAGTAATTGCTGCAGCCAGAAGTCTATGGTTGCAAGTGATTGGAAATGGTGGCTGGGTCAGAGAATGCTAATCAGCCATGAAGTGGGCTTGCCATGACTCTGACACTGTATCTCCTGGTGCACTCTGCGGTAGGTGCATCTTTGCTGAGTAAATACAAAGTGAACTTGACGGGAAAGGAGACCTTAGCAGTCCTACAAAGGCAATTTTGCAAGCTGTCTGGCTGTGGAATTAGTGGAATGTTTTCTCAGGAAGAAACAGCTGACGTCAACTTTGCTCCCTTTGTAATTCAAGGGCAGTGTTAGCCATGCCTCTGGCCTGCACAGACACCCACAGAGGGAAGAACAGCTTCCAGAGGGAAAGGTTAAAGAACAGGTCAGCTGGGCATCCACGCTCCCTTTTCCTCCCTCCCCGTTTGTCATCTTTCTGGCAAGGTGAATTCAATGCTCAGTAATTCCTTCTGACTTTCTAAGAGCTGTGGGACACACAAGTGTGAGAGAAGTCATTGCGGCACTAACAGGATTAGCTCAGCTTCATAGCCTAATTACTCTGGCCAAAGAAAATAAAGAGGAGGGCAATGGCAGGAGGCAAGAGATGTAAGAATGAATGGGAAAGTTTCTTTGAATACCAAAGGGTGTGTGTGTGTATGTGTGTGTTTTGTTCGACTCACAGAGGCTGACCTCTTTTCCATTTAAGAATCTGTGAAGTATGAATGGAACGCATATTTTATCTCTGTAAGATCTGGAACATAAGGTGCTAAAAAGGCTTTGTTGAATTATTAAATCAAGACCATTCTGATATTACCTTAATAATAGAAGCAGCAATTAATTAAGAGAAGCAGACTAGTGTATCAGAATGAAGACTGGACTTGGGGACAGACACCAGGCTCTATTTCTATTTCTAGCATCATTTGCCAGAGGGACTTGAGGACATTACTTGATCTCTAGGGAAACATTTCTATCTGGGTAAAACACACAAAAAGATTGGACTAGTTGTTCTCTCTGATAATTCTATGTCTACATAAATATTTACAGCACGATGATGTTCTTTTGGGGACATGCCAATGAGTAGCATATAGTAAGTTAACTTTTGACTGTGTGTCTTCTATATCAATCAATAAGTTATACTCCTAAGGCTAGGGTTTGTCTGTGTTTTGATATGCAATTTTAAGCAACATAAATGTCTTCTATGAGTGCTTCAGATAATGAACCAAAATAGCATAATAATTAAATCATATGAATTATGGAATTCAGATATAACTGGTGATTGACTTTTTGTCACATACTATCTGAGTGACATTAGGCAAGTTGCTTAACGTCTCTGATTTTCAGCTTTCTTGTCTAAAAAATGGAGAAACTGATAATACATGACTGTAACTTTAGACATCATAGTTCTTCATATTCCTTGAAGAAGGTGATGGGAGGATAAAGTCTTTAGGTGGACAGATTAGGAAAGTCCTGTGCTGTCTACTTAAAGACTTTTTGTCATTCACTTAACAGGTACATTTTGCTCATTCACTTAACAGACATGAATGGGTTAAGTGACATGTGATAAGTGTATCTTTGACACAAAGATAAATAAGACATAGCCCCTTGCATTCAAGGAGCTTATGGTCTCATAGACGCAGATAAGTTTTCAAAGCTATATTCTCTGGAAATCAAGAGGACAGATTGCTGAGTCCCTCATGGATGAATAAAATGGCCTACTTTCTCCACATTTTAATATCATCACATGCAGAGGTAGGGGTGATACTGCCTACTTTGTGGACTGGACACACAGTGAAAGCCACAAGTAATTTCATGTCATGCAGCTGTTTTGCCTTTCTCTTTCCTTCCTCTGATTCACAGATTTTGTCTCCTGATTTCACCACAGGCTTTGAGAAGTAGTATGAAGAAAGACTGAACTTAGCAAAATGAAGACAGGTGGATTGCATGTCTGGGAAGGGAGTAATACCACAAACTTTTTGACTAGGTGATGAGCAAATGATGTGGGAGGAAAGGATACTACCTAACTAAGATGGGTAAAGTCTAGCTTTTCTAGAGGTATACATGATACTTATGGATGTGACACGGATGGGTGGAACAGGCTGCCTGTTAATACTATTGAACTTATCCAGGTTACACATTAAAGAAATAGAAAAGTAGAAAGCATAGATTTTGAGCATGAGGAGAAATTAAGATTTTCATGTTAAATCAAAGAGATTGACCTGTGACTCATTGGCAGAAATGACAGAAGTTCACTTCTGATAATTTTGTGTTAGATTCTCATGAACAATTGTTCATTTAATCAAAATTTTATTTGATGTCCTTTCTGTGTTAGGTACAATCTGAGTCATGGATAAGAAGTAGAAAGAAATATATTAAAATGTGTTTGGTAACACATGGTTGTAAGACATGACAATAAGCAACACGATTCAATACTAATTACTAGAGTGGGGGCATATGCAGGTATTGCAGTAAGTAGACATAATGCATGAATTGAGGTATTAAAGACCCAGTTTCTCAGAAGATGTAACGTTTGAATGAAGACATCTGTCTCTAAATGGATTATCAGTTATTCTCATCTCCTTATCTTAAAGGTAAGATAAGGTGTGATTTCCTTTAATCAAATACAATTGATCAAATAATCCACATGTTCAAAAACTTGATCATATATATAGATGGATATTAATATGAGTCAAGCTTCAATCATTAGAAATCCATTCCTCTGTCTCTATGTGTATATGTGTCTATTTCTACTCCCCGTCTCTCTTCCTTACTCCCTCTCTCTTTCTCGCCCTCTTTCTTTCTCTGAGATCGGAGAGTCCTTTTCTAGGAATGTGTTTGCAGAATTCATATCAAATACATTTCATCAAAATAGAATCTTTAGAGTAATCTCTTCCAAATCTATTTTTGCAGGGGATGAGAGAAGGATAATGTGCAGCTTTTAGAATGACTGTGAATGAATCATGGATTCTGATTTTTGCCTAGTTTTTTTTTGTTGTTATGAACATTTTATGGCTATTAAAAAAACAAAAAAGAAACATTGTACTGTTGTAAGCCATAATGAAAGAATATATAATTTAAGCAAAACCCAAATGAAAACATTGTAGGCATATATCTAAGTTTTTCATTACTAAGAAATGTAAACTCTTTTAAATTTTTCTTTCTAAATGGAAGATACCAGATGTTCATTTGTTACCATGAAAGTCTACTTTAATTGGCAGTTGTGGTCTCAGAGTAATTTTAAATTGCTACCGGGCTGTCACTTCTGCTTTTGCTGACTTGCAAGGAGGTTTAATGCTTCCCCCACTGGGCTAGACTTTATCTCTCTATTTGGAACTGTTGGATCACCTCAATTTATGACAAACTTAGAAAACATTTAAATAGTCCACAGAATTGCAATGAAAATGCTTCTAGAGTGGAAGTAGGATGTTTTAAAAGTGCTCTGAGATCTAGAGATAAAACTCATTATGAGAAAACTTGTGCAGCAAATAGAGGCATCTAGGATAAGGAAGTATAAGTCTCCGAGGTCAGATTGAATTATTGTAGTGTACTCATAATAACTTTTGGTTAACAAGAGATTGCTCCCTTCCATACCAAATCTATCAAATTTGGTCTTTAGTGTAGCTGATGGGACTAGAACACTACATTGACTTTCTGTCAGTTTCCTTGCTTTGTTCATCTTGATGAATGCATAGGTAATTTTTTATGACAATTTTGGGTGACTAGGTGTTTAATCAAGTGTGGATGTTGGGAGAAACTGGGATGGGAAGATTGTAGAGGAAAGGCAAATATTTACAGCTGGGAATTGCAAGATCTGGAATTTAGCCTAGCTCTTCTAGGTGGCCATGTGATGACTTGTTTGTTGACTTGTGAAGTGGGGGGATTAGGCCATACGATTCTAGAGATTTTCGCCACTTAAAAGAATTTATTATAATTTATATTCTCACTTCATACACTGTAAATGTTTCTGGCTTTTCCTCTAATGACTTTGGGGCTTTTATCTTTTCTCCAGATATGTAGCCCCAATGTTTCATGTGTTTTCTGAGAAATAATCTTGTGCATAGTACAGAAACTTTGGAGCATAATAGACCTGGGCATGAATTTTAGATCTTGGACAGATTGTTTTACTTTTTCTGAACTCCCTTTTGTCCTCACTTATAACATGGAGATTTATGCCTAGTGAAATGCTTTGTAGCGTAGAAGTCCGGAGTGATAGGGCCAGTGTATCTTAAGCATTAGTCCGTATTGCTCAGCTGTTTTCCAAAGCAGTGGTGCCCCTTTCTACTCCCAACACCACCAATTTCTGAGAGTTTCCTTTCCTCCCTCCACATCCTTGCCAACACTCTGCAATGCCCATCTTTCTCATTTGTGCCATTCTGTCACATTTCTATTTTAGTTATCCTCATGACAAAAGAAGTTGAGCATCTTTTCATATACTTACTGGCTACATGCATACCCTCTTATGTGAATTTATTTTTTCTTTCTTTATAGTGCAACAGATGCTGACAGCTTATAACAAATTTATAGATTTGTTCAACTGTAAAATAAAATGTCTGTTCACGTACATAACAGTCAATGATTTTATCTTTTTATTTAAAATTTTTTTATTTAAATAGCTTTGGGGCTACAAGTGGTTTTTAGGTACATGGATGGATTATATAGTGTTGAATTCTGATTTTAGTACACCCATCACCTGAGTAGTGTACATTGTACCCAATATGCAGGTTTTTTTAAAAAAATCTCACATTCCCCTCCCAATCTCCCACTTCTGAGTTTCCAAAGTCCTTTATATCACTCTCTATGCCTTTGCCTACTCATAGCTTAGCTCCCACTTATAAATGAGACCATACGATATTTGGTTTTCCATTCCTGAGTTACTTCACTTAGAATAATGGCTTCCAGCTCCCCCAAGTTGCTGCAAAAGACATTATTTTGTTCCTTTTTGTGGCTGTGTAGTGTTCCATGGTGTACATGTATTACATTTTCTTTATCCATTCGTTGGTTGATGGGCACTTAGGTTGGTTCCATATCTTTGCAATTATGAATTGGGCTGCAATAAACATACATGTGCATGTGTATATTTTCATATAATGACTTCTTTCCCTTTGGGTAGATACCCAATAGTGGGATTGCTGGATCAAATGGTAGATCTACTTTTAGTTCTTTAAGGGATCTCCATACTGTTTTCCATAGAGGTTGTGCTAATTCACATTCCCATCAGCAGTGTATAAGCGTTCCCCTTTTACCACATCCACACCAACATCTACTATTTTTTGACTTTTTAATAATGGCCATTCTTACTGGCGTAAGGTGGTATCTCATTGTGGTTTTAATTGCATTTCCCTGATGATTACTGATGATGAGTATTTTTTGAATTTCTTGTTTAAGTATTGTGTCCATTTTTCTACTGGTTTTCTATTTCATATTGATATATGTAAAAGAACTTGTATTTTGAATGTAAGCCTTTGCTATTTGCATGTTGTATTAATTTCCTAGTGCTATGGTAAAAACTTTGTATAAACTTGTGGTTTAAAACAACAGAAATTTATTTTCTCACAGTTGTGGAGGCTGGAAGTTTACCAAATGTCAGCAGGGCTACATTCCCTCTAGAAGTTCTAGGGAGAGTTTCCTTCCTTGTTTTCTCCAGTTTTTGGTGGGTGGAGGCATTCCATGGCTTGTGGCTGCATGACTAGAATCTCGGTCTCCACCCTCATGAGGATCTTCATGTGGCCTTCTCCCTGTGTCTCTGTCTGAAACGGCTCTCCCTTTTCTCCTGTATGGACACTGGCCATTGGATTCGGGGCTCACTCTAAATCCAGGATGATCTTATATTAAAACTCTTGCCTAATTACACCTTCAAAAACTGTATTTCCAAATAAGATCACATTTACACATACCATGGGTTAGGATTTGGACTATATTTTGGGGAGACACTAGTCAACCTTTTACATAGGTATTACAAATATTCTTCAATTTGTGGCTTGCCTTTACATGCTGCTAATTGTATCTTTTGATGAGTTGAACTTCTTAATTTTAACGTGGCACAATTTATAATTTTTTTCCCTTCATGGTTAGAAGTTCTGAGGTTCTGTTTAAGAAAAATATGCCTGAGTATATACCCAAAGGAAAATAGGTCATTCTACCAAAAAAGACACATGAACTCATATGTTCATTACAGCATTATTCACAATAGCGAAGGCATGGAATCAACCTAGATGCCCATCAAATTATGGTGGATTGGACATGGAATCAACCTAGATGCCCATCAGATCAACTGGTGGCACACATACACTATGAAATACTATGCAGCCATAAAAAAGAACAAAATCATGTCTTCTGCAGCAACATAGATGCAGCTGAGGCTGTTATCCTAAGTGAATTAACGCAGGAACAAAAAACCAAATATTGCATGGTCTCACTTACAAGTGGGAGCTAAACATTGAGTACACATGGACATAAAGATGGGAGCAATGGACACTGGGGACTGCTGGAGTGGGGAGGAAGGGAGGGGTATGAAGGGTGAAGGACTACTTATTAGGTGCTGTACTCACTGCCTGGATGATGGGATCATCTGGACTCCAAACAGAGTGTTCCCACATGACAGACCTACATGTACCCTCTGAATCTAAAAGTTAAAATTATTGAAAATAAAAAGACATATATGCCTATCCCAAATAAATATATGCCTATCTCAAGATTTCTCATATGTTTCCTACTCAATGTTTAGTAAACTTTTTTCTTGTACACTTAGGTCTACAATCCATTTGGAATCAACTTTTGTGTATGATAGAAGCTAAGTTGTTTCCTCCTATTGGATATCTAAGTGACCCAGCACTAATGATTGTAAAGACTATTCTTTTCCTGGCATACTGCATAAACATACACAGAAAACAAATTACTCTGTGTGGGTGTTTTTTTTTGTTGTTGTTTTTTGTTTTTGAGATGGAGTCTCACTCTGTTGCCCAGGCTGGAGTGCAGTGGTGCGATCTTGGCTCACTTCAGCCTCCGCCTCCCAGATTCAAGTGATTCTCCTGCCTCAGCCTCCTGAGTAGCTGGGATTATAAGTGCCTGCCACAATCCTCGGCTAATTTTTGTATTTTTAGTAGAGACGGGGTTTACCATGTTTTTTGATATTCTAGTCCATTGGTCAGTTTGTCTAACTTTCACCAATACTGCACTGCATTCAGTATTGTAACTTTATTATTAGTTTTGCAATCTGGCAAAATAAACCCTCCACCATTGTCCTTCTTTAAGATAGTCTTAGCTTTTTTTGACCTTTATGCATTTCTACATAAATTTTAGTATTAACTTAAAAAGTCACACACACACACACACACATATACATACGCACACTCCTGCTGGGATTTTGATTAGAGCTGGATTTAACTTACAGGTCTTTTTAGGGGAGAATTGACATCTTAATAGTACTGAATTTTCTAGTCTAGGAACATTACCTCTCCACAATTTCTTTGTTTTCTTTAATTTCTCTCAATATTGTTTCATTATTTTCAGTGTAGCAGTTTTGCACATCTTTCATTGGATTTATCTTTAAGTATTTTTGAAGCAATTATAAATGGTGTTATTGTAGAAATTTAATTTTTGTTGCTGTATAATTTTTATGTATTGACTTTATATTGAGTCACCTTGTTACAGTGACTGATTTTTAATTGTTTGCCTATTGGTGCCAGTCCTGTCACCTAAGAAAAATGATGGTTTTATTTCGTCATTTCTAACCCTTATGCTTTTTGTTTTTCTTGCCTTATTTCATTAGCTAGACTCTCCAACGTGGTTGAACTTCTGGTACTTCAATCTCTTCTTTGAAATGTTATAGTCAATTTTTATGTAGTATTTTCATTTCACTGTATGATGTCCTACTAGAACTTCCACCTCAACTACATTTATTATATTTTATCCTGCTTACTTCCCCAGTTGTTTTCCTTTGGAAGCATGTAACTGTATCACCTCCTTCCACTCACCCTAACCCAAACCTGGAAAGCTCTCTAGATTCTACTCTGTGTCTCACACCTCAGATCAGTTTTGTCCATTATATTATGTCTCTCTTCTTTCTTCTTCCATCTCATCACTGCCTTTGATTAGTACCTTCTTTTGTCTTTCAATGATCTCCTGAAATATTCTGATATCTGTAGCCTCTCCACTCACCAATGCTTCTTCAACTTTGGCATGACTTATTTCAGTTTCCTCAAAGTAACATCAATGTCCTCTCATTGAAGAAAAAATAAAATTGATGTTTATTAACATGACATTGTTGGCCATCGAGCTCTAAAGAGACCACAGAGCCTGTGACCAAACCCTGGCTTCAGGAGCACATTGCCTTGGTTTGAATTCTGACTACCACTTACTAATCAGATAATCTTGGGCATGCTATTTCCCTTCTATTTACCTTGGTTTCCTTATCTGACATAGTAATAATGTCTACCTTATAGGGTAGTATGTGGATTAGATGGATTAATATATGTAGAGCACTCTGCATAGTCACCTAATAAGCTTTATAAACACTGAATTTACTAGTGCATTGTCAAAACCTTTCTCTCCAACAATAACATTGACAGCAAATTATAACCAACATTTACTAAACACTTCGTATGTACCGAGAACTGTGTGAAATACTTTACTTGCATTATCCAGCTGAATCTATAACTGTGTGTTATAAGTGTCAGAATGTTGTAGGAAAATACAGTGATCAGTGGCTTCTTTTCTGACTCTTTCCATGTATACTTTTCTCAAACTTATGTTTCACTCTCCTGTATCCATAACTTTGCTTACAATTTCCCTAATTCCTTTGAGCCCATTGCATTTTATTATCCTGGGAGAATCCTATTCTTCTTTTTGTGCTCTGTGCAAACTTCTATTATGCCAAGGTAAAATAAAATAGAATGAACAACAACAACAAAAAATAAGATTCAGTGTTACTAAACAGATTTACTGTAAAATAAAAGTATTAATTCCTTTCTCCTGTAGGATCAAAAGACAGCCTTACACCAGTGAGTTGGACTTCTCTGGCCCCTTCATTAGCCAGGTTGATTCTTTACAAACTGACTACACTGACCCTCTGGCTCTTTTTGCAGTTTCAAGACAGCCTCAACTTGGTTCTTCCAAGTGCCTCATCAGACTGAGCTGAGTTAGTGCTGAGCTTCCAACCAAGTAAGGCATCTCAGCACGAGGTGTCAAACATAAGACAGCTAATGCTGGGAGCCAGAGGAAGAAGGCTCTTCTTGACCCTGCTCTGAGACTAGTGCATTCACAGAGAAGTGTCTGGCAGCCTCCCTTTGATGCAGTGAACAATGAACAGCAGGGATTAAGTCTCCCCATATCCACATCATGCCTGTATGTGTGTGTGTGTATGTGTGTATACATTCACACACACATTTGATTCCTAGCAAAAGACAGTGTGGATAATTTGTGATGTGTTACTTGAAAATAACCCATCTGGGATCACAGCTGGGGAAAAAGATACCACAGGCAGGATGATGATAGTGGTAGAGCTAAGATTCCTTAGAGACCATTTTACATGTCAGGAAATTGAGGACAAATGAAGGGTAATCAGTTGCTTATGTGTTTGTTCAGTATTCTCATCATCCCCAATATGGCTAGTTGGATACAAGGTTCACAAACATAGTTGCATTTAGTCTCCATTGGGTCCTTCTTGAATGAAACAGTAATGATGCCTATGCAAAACTAGATGATGATGATGTGGACGTAATCCTCCCCTTACAATTTCTATAACTCAGAGTTCTTGCTGGACGAAGTTTCTCATTCTAGTGATTTGTAGACTGGGAGTCACATGTTTGGAGCTGTAGACTTGTTTGTAAGCACAGTGTTAAAGACAAATATGTAGAGTTTAAATTTTTAAGTAGAACACATACTCTTTTTCTTCCCCTTTTTAAAAACTTGTATAAATTTAAAAGGTACAAGTGTGTTTTTGTTACCCCGATACATTGAGAAGTGGTGAAGTCTGGGGTTTTGGTGTAATCATTACCCAAATAATGTACATTGTGCCCATTAAGTAATTTCTCATCCCTCACCTCCTTCCTGCCCTCCTACCTTTCCAAGTCTCTAGTGTCTATTATTTCATTCTCTATATCTACATGCACACATTATTTAGATTCCACTCACAAGCGAGAACATGCAGCGTTTGACTTTGTTTCTAAGTCGTTTCACTTAAGATAACAACCTCCATTTCCATCGATGTTGCGCAAAAGATGTAATTTCATTCTTTTTTATGTCTGAATATATTTCATTGTGTATATATATGTTTACCACATTTTCTTTGTAGGACATGCCCCCTTAAGTTGCCACAAATTAATATTACCTATATAGTCTCAAACCAGTTTATTTTCAAACAAAATTATTGATCGCATCTGGCCCCAGAAAGCATACGCACTTGTAATTTCTACTCTAGACACACTACTACTTATATGAACCTTCACAATCATCGAATCAGAAGACTATAAAAATTACAGTCATGTGGCTATCAAACTTGATTTTAAAAATTTATTGTAAAAGTTGGAATATTTTCTTTAAAGATAACTTTGACTAGAAATCCAAGATATATAACTGATAGAAATGCAGCATTCTGTTTGAAGGTGTGTTGTGGGGGGTGGGTGGATGAGATGGGAGTGCTAGGAGCAGTGCTGCGTCACTTGCCTTTCTCCTGGGCCTCTGGGGTACCTCTATAGAAAGCAGAGCTCTGAGGTACCCAGTTTGAAAACCACTGATGGAGCCTGCTTTTTCAGACTAGAAGACTGGGGCCTGGAGGTTGCTTGGACATAATATCAAGGAAAGATTCTCTTTCTTTTCAGTGCATCTAAAATCTTGACTACTATATTAAATCTACTCTATTTTTATTTTTTATTTTTTTTTGAGAGGGTCTTGCTCTGTTGCCCAGGCTGGAGTGCAGAGGCATGATCATAGCTCACTGCAACCTGAAACTCTTGGGCTCAAGCCATCCCCCTGCCTCAGCTTCTTGAGTAGCTGTGACTATGGTTGTGCCACCATGCCCTGCTAATTTTTTAATTTTTTGGTTGAGACAGGGTCTGACTATGTTGCCCAGGCTGGTTTCAAACTCCTGGGCTCAAGTGATCCTCCTGCTTTGGCATCCTGAAGTGCTGTGATTACAGGCGTGAGCCACTGCACCTGGCTAAATCTACTTTAATGATAGCTTTATAAATCACCAAAGCGAAGAGGTTTAATTACCTAAGGACCAATTTAAAATTTTTCAACATCTTAATAATTTATAAATGTATAATATATTTTAAAACTAAAACTAATTTAAAATGTATATTTCATTTATTTTATAATTTATTTTGGTTATATATTTTGTTTAATTTAAATTTGATTTATAAATTTTCCTTTTGTTTTTCCTGTAGTATATTATGCCATAGTACTTGTATTGGAGGTTGTAGACCTGTGGTATGTGTATGTACCTTTTTGGAGTTCTCAAGTTTGAATATCTGTTATCATAGAAAGAGCATAAGGGTCGTGGGCAAAAAGATAAGCTTGAAATCAGAGTCTGTGGTGTTCTATCTATGTGACCTTTGGAAAGCTATTTAATTTTACCACGTCTCATTTATCTTTTTAAAAAGTTTTTGAATTGATGAATAATAATTGTGTATATTTATGGGGTACAATTTGATGTCTTGGTTTAGGTGCACATTGTAGAACAATTCAGTCGATATCATCACAAAAATGCTCTTGATGAAGTCTTTCTACAATGTATACATAGAACTCACTAATATCATTTTTGTGATAAAAATGTTAAAAATCTACTCTTTTTACTGCCTATTTTTGGGGGTGTTCTCAATATTAAATTATGTAATATCAGTACAGGGCTTACTCAAGGTTTGGAATGTAGAAGGCAGGCAGTAAAAGTTATTTCCACCATACATATAGTTTAATCATAAGAGACAAGTCATTGTTGTAGCTGTGTTAGGCACCCAGAAAATGTTTGTGGGTAATGAATAAATATTATTGAAACATGAGGAATGTGTCTTGTCTTCATATTCAAGCAAGATATACAGTTAAAAGTTTTCCTATGCTCAAAATAAAGGGTAATGGTGGGGAGACAATCTGTGAATTTCTGCCTGCCATAGTATAGGCATATTGCAGACCAAAGGAAGCTATCTCAGAGGAAGGAAACCTTCCTAAATAGAAAAAGAAGAAAAAAAAAGATGAAAGATTTTTCTTTTAACAAAGAACTGCTAGTACTTAACTTGTCAGGACAGGATTTTGAAAAAACAGCATTCCCAAGTATACCTTTGTAAAAAGCCCTAAAAAGAAGCAATGCAAACCTGGTTCCTACTAGCCTTTTATTATCTCTCATTGATAATAGCTTGCAAGAGCCTCATTTTATAAAACTCAATACACTACTGTGAACATGAAAAGCAAACCCGCTTTTATAAAGCTGATGTTCCATTGGGTAAGTGAGGGCTCAATGATAGCTGGGCCAATTATAGATTCCGGCTGTGTCTGCATGGTACCCAAACAACAGAGGAAAACACAAAAAATTCACCCCAAACACAAATGTTTTTTTAAAAAGAAACACTAAACTCTTGCTTATGTTGAAGGCATCATAAAGCACACATAGCTGAAACACTTATTCCCATATATATGCCACTTTAATGAGAAAGAGAAACATATCTGATCAGAATTCTAAAATCCTTGAACTGTGCAGTAATTACTAACATTCCCAAAGATAATCTGGCAAGATTCTTAAGTAACTTGTAAATCATCAAAAGATGTTTACATAGTCTGAAAATCGATGGTTCATTAACTTATTCTTCAAATAATTCATCAAATATTCAGTTACCAGGTATTGCTCAATTTTCTGGTGTTACAGAACTGAACAGAACAAAATCCTTCTCTCATGGGGTTTATGTTTTACTCAGAATAATTGAAAACTAGTTTTTAGGTATATTGGAAAGAGCACTAAATTGGGTACTAGAAGATGATTATAATCCTAGTCCTTGTCACATACTAGGTACTTGTTAAAATTTGTTTACAGAATTACTTTGGCCACTCCCTGTCTCTGTGACCCTGAACAACTCAATTCACATTAAGTTACCCACTGAAAATTGGACTAAGTATTCTATAAGGAAATGTTCAGTTTTAAAATCCCATAATAACATAGATATGATTACTTTGTTTTCCAGAATCTTTAATTTTGTTCTAGAAATATCTATTAAACAAATCATGCATGACAGCTGTAAGTTTCATAGGAAATATACAAATAGAGGAGTGATGATGTTTATTTTAAAAGGCATTTGTAAGATTACAGAAGTTGTTAGGATGACTAGAGGAGAGTGAAGGGTGAAAGGACAACAGGAAAGCCTTAGAATGCAACAAAATATTCTATTTCCCCAATTAAACTGTGTGTGCATGCATGTGTATGCATGTTTTAAATATATATATATAATTTATTATGTCACAAAGTCAACTAATAAAAATTATATAATATTCTAATCGTTCTTGCATTATAAACAGAAAGGTATATGGTAAAATTTATTTTGAAGGCAGACAGAGATTTCTTCTCAACATTCAGTGTTTATTTAGATAAGTTGCTTATTTTCTTTGAGCATCAAATTCTTCATCTTCAAATGAGTAGTAATGATGATTTCCTTGTAGGTTTGTTTTATGGATTCAGTGGGATAATAGAAGCCAAGTCCTTGCGTAGGTTCTAACACATAATCAGTGCTTTGTTGTCAGTCTGGAATGTTAGGAACTTTGCTTTTCCATTGAAATCTTTATCAAAAAGCTTAAATCACTGAATGTAAACATTGATTCTTTTCATAGAATCCTCTTTGCAAGTAGGAAAACATCACATTTGTTGTGCATCTCAAAAAAACTTTCTACAGCTTGATTGTCATTAAAAACGGCCCTATTTTATCTCATTAGGACTTCATTGATTATGAGATGCAGCTGTTCATAAGGGAGACTCCGTATAGCTATTGGTCAGAAACTGAGCCACTGGTATGATCCTGGGAGGTACAGGCCCTCTACCAGGACCTAGAAGCATGCCAGGATATTTTTTTCCCCTAAAAGGCATGTAATTATTTGCTTTAGATGGCATGGTCCTGATCCAGAAAGTTAAAGGTCTTCATTGTAATTTTTCACTTTGGGGCTTGTCATAAACACCAAACAGCAATTTTTTTTTTTTTAACCACAATACTTCCTAAAACTGTATGTTCTCCTGGCTAAAAAATCCCAAGGAGTAGAGCTGTTTGCACTGTATCCTGGGCCTTCTACAGTATCCTTTTGTGCTCTGGTCCCCACTCAAAGATGCTAGTCTTTTGTGGCACCTGGTGTATGGTGTATGGCTAAGAGTAGAATTCCCAAATAAAGAATATGTGGTGTCCAGAACCCGAAGAGGCCCACCAGGTGTTGCACTTCATTCTTCGTGGAGTAAGGTATAAGATGTAATAATTTATTCTTTACTTAGGCAGGCAAATCCCTGGATGCTCCTGAACACTGGATCCCTAAAATTTAACTCATATAGCAACTCCTGAAACTTTGTAGAATTTATCTTTCTCCTCTAGAGCACACTAAACTTGCCCAGGCCTTCAACCTGATAGACACTTACTGTTTATGTCTTTTATATGTAATTGTTGCAGTGGAGCAAGACTCCAAAGGATCAGACTGTTTTCAGCTAATTTAACTATGTCTCAGAACAAAGCTTCAGAATATACATAGGAATATTAAAAATATCCAGCGTCAATAAGGTAAAATCCACAATGTTTTGACATCCAATTAAAAATTATCAAACATGCAAAACCCAGGAAATTTCTACCCATGATTGTTGTAGATGAGAACATAATCAGTAGACAAGGACATTAAAACAGTTTTTATAACTGTATTCTAAATGTTCAAGAAACTAGAGGAAAGATTGACCATGTTAGTAGACATGGATGATATTAAAATGCAAATAAAACATTTAAAAATGGAAACTACAGTGTCTGAAATAAACTGGATGGGAGTAGTGGCAAATTGTGAAAGAAAATATATTAATGAAATTAAAGACACAGCAATACGCAACTACGCAAAATGAAACACAGAAAAAAATACCAAAGAAGAGTACATCATTGAGCTGTGAGGAGATTTTAAAAAGTTTTATATATTTTCTGTCTACCACTAGTTATGGGTAAAATTTTCCCATTTTGCATGCCTGGCAATTTTAATTGGATGTCAAATATTGTGAATTTTACCTTGTTTGGTGTTAGATTTGTGTGTGTGTGTGTGTGTGTGTGTGTGTGTGTGTGTGTGTGTGTTTGTGTGTGTGTAGATAGATAGATAGTAGATAGATTATAGATATATATTTGAAATTCCAAAAAGTGAGGAGGGACAAAAAATATTTGAAGACATAGCCATCATCATCATCTACATATATATAATATATATTATATATATTATATGTATATTATATATATATATTATATATATAATATATAATATATATAATATATATATAATATATATTATATATTATATATATATAATATATATATATAATATACATATTATATATATAAACTATTATAAGATATATATACACTATTATTATATATATATAATTTGACAGACATTCTAAAGCCATAGTACCAAGAAGATCAATGAAACCAACCACTGGAAACATGAAGAATACTAAGCTGAGTGCAGTGGCTCATGCCTATAATCCCAGCAATTTGGGAGGCTGAAACAGGAGGATCACTTGAGCCCAGGAATTCAAGACCAGCCTGGCAACATAGCAAGACCCTGCCTCTACAAAAAGTGAAAAAACTAGAAATTAGCCAGCTACTTGGGAGGCTGAGGTGGGAGAATTGCTTGGACTTGGGAGGTTGAGGCCGCAGTGTTGCTGTACTTGTGCCACTGAACTCTAGCCTGGGCAACAGAGTGAGACATTGTTTCAAAAAAAGAAAAAAAAATGCTACACCAAGACACTGCTTAAAATTAGTAACAAAGAGAAACATGTTAAAAGAAGCCAGTCAAAAAAATACCGTAATATACACAGAAACAAAAATAAGGATGAAAATAGATTTCTCACTGGGAACAAGGCAAACTATAAGACAAAAAATGCAGTGTCTTTAAAGTACTGATGGAAAAATAAACATAAAAGGCCTTGCCAACCTAGCATTCTTACCTAGCCAAAACATCTTTCAGAAACAAAGGTGAAATAAAGTCTTTTGAACATGAGAAAGCTGGAAGATTTTGCCACCAGTGTACCTGCTTTATAAGAAATATTACAGAAAGTCTTTCAAGTAAAAATGGTAACTAAGTGGGTAAATATAAAAAGAATTATTATTATCACCTAAAATGACTTGGAAGATAATTCAATCAGCTTGTCTTTAAAGCAATATGGTAATGTATTATTAGGTTTATGACATACATAGATGTATGACAATAAAAACACAAAAGCCTGGAGGGGATAAATGAAAGGATGTTGTCAGGTTTTTATGTTATTCATGAAGTGGTATAAAATCAATTGAATGTAGGCTGTGATAAGTTAAAGATATTATAAACACTAAAGTAACCACTAAAATACACAGAAAAAAGTTATATCTAGCAAATCAACAAAGGAGGTAAAAGAAAATCATAAGGAAAACTTGATACAAAATAAGGCAGAAAAAGAGAAAAAGGGAACAAAAAGCAAATGAGAAAAATAGAAAACAAAAGGCAAGAGGGTAGATGTAATGCAGATCATGCTAATAATCACAGTAAACGTAAATGATATGAACAGTATCCCCTCTAGCAGCCTGGGCAACATACTGAGACCTTGCCTCTACAAAAAAAAAAAAAAAAAAAAAAAAAAATGAGCCAGGTGTGGTGATGCGTGCCTGTAGTCTCAACTACTTGGGAGTCTGAGGTGGGAGGATAGCTTGAACCCAGAAGTTTGAGGCTGCCGTGAGCTATGATTGCACTGCTGCATTCCAGTCTGGGTGACAGAGTAAGACCCTCTTTAAAATCAACAGAAATTTAGAAGCATTAAACAATACTATCTACCATTTTTTTTTAAAAGAACAATTAAAAAAGAACAGTGTCCCCTCCCAATAAAATGAAGTGATTATCAGATTGGTTAAAAAAAGACTATATAGTAACTACTATATGTTGCCTGGAAGAAACCCACATTACATATAAAAACACAAACAGGTTTAAAGTAAAAGTATAGAAAGACATAACATGTTAACACTAAGCAAAAAAAAAACTGGAATGGCTTTATTAATATTAAAGAAGTATGTTTCAGAACAAAAAGAATTATCAAGAATAAAGAGGATCATTTCATAATGATAATAACATCAGCTTATCAAGAAGAAACACCATATTTATGCACCTAATAAGAGAGCTTCAAAATACACAAAGCAAATCTAATAGAACTGCAAGGAGAAATAAGCATGCTCACAATTGTGGTTGGAGATTTTAATATGCTTGTTTCGAAAATTGATTAAGTAGACAGAAAATCAGTAAACATTCAGAAGCATTAAACAACACTATCTACCAATTTAACCTAATTAACAATTATAAACCACTCTTCCCAACAATATCAGAATATGCATTCCTTTTTAAGTGTACATGGAACATTGACCAAGATTGATTGTATTTTAGTCCACTGAAAAAATTCAAAAAGATTAGATACATTAAGTCATAGAAAGTATGGTCTTTGATTGCAGTGAAAATAATTTGAAATCAATAACAGAATGTTATCTACACATTGGTATAGTATAGGAAGTTAAGAAAAAATAAATTTAAAATGTTATAAAAATCTTCCAATATCTGGAAACTAAAAAACAGCCTTCTAAAATAGGCCAAAGAAGAATAAAAGACAAAAATAAAAAGTAGTTTGAACAGAAGGAATATGAAAATATAACATCAATATTTGTAAGAAGAAGCTAAAGTATGTTGAGAGAATTTTATTTTTATTTTTTTTTTGAAGTGGAGTTTCTCTCTTGTTGCCCAGGCTGGAGTGCAATGGCATGATCTCGGCTCACTGCAATATCTGCCTCCTGGGTTCAAGCGATTCTCCTGTCTCAGCCTCCTGAGTAGCTGGGATTACAGGCATGCACCACCGTGCCTGGCTAATTTTGTATTTTTATGGGGTTTCTCCCTGTTGGTCAGGTTGGTCTTGAACTCCTGACCTCAGGTGATCTGCCCACCTCAGCCTCCCAAAGTGCTGGGATTAGAGGCATGAGCCACCATGCCCAGCTTGTTGAGAGAGTTTTTATAGGACTAAATGCCTACAAAGGAAAATGAAAACAAGGACTGACCAAGTCACTTTAAGGAGCTAGAAAAAGAAGAGCAAATAAAATCCAAGGTGGCCAGGTATGGTGGCTCACTCCTGAAATTCCAGCACATTGGGAGGCCAAGGCGGGTGGATCATGAGGTCAGGAGATCGAGACCATCCTGGCTAACACGGTGAAACCCCATCTCTACTAAAAATACAAAAAAACATATTAGCTGGGTGTGATGGCGGGTGCCTGTAGTCCCAGCCACTTGGGAGGCTGAGGCAGGAGAATGGCGTGAACCTAGGAGGCGGAGCTTGAAGTGAGCCAAGATCGTGCCACTGCATTCCAGCCTGGGTGACAGAGCAAGACTCCATCTCAAAAAAAAAAAAAAAAAAAAAAAAAATCCAAGGTAAGCAGTAGAAAGGAAATAATAAAAATTACATTAGACATCAATAAAGTAAGAAAGTAGAAGAAACAATAATGGAAATCAAGAATACTATAAGCTGGTATTTTAAGAAGATTAATGAAATAAATAAACTTCTAGCCAGACTGATCAGGAAAAAAAGAGAGAACACTCAAAATTAGCAATGTCGATTATCTGCAAGATGGCTGAATAGGAAAAGCTCCAGTCTACAGCTCCCAGCATGAGTGGTACAGAAGACAGGTGATTTCTGCATTTCCAACTGAGGTACTGGGTTCATCTCACTGGGGCCTGTCGGACAGTGGGTGCAGCCCATGGAGTGTGAGCCGAAGCAAGGCGGGGCATCGCCTCACCAAGGAAGCACAAGGGGTCGGGGAATTCCCTTTCCTAGCCAAGGGAAGCCATGAGAGATGGTACCTGGAAAATTGGGACACTCCCACCCTAATACTGCACTTTTCCAATGGTCTTAGAAAACGGCACACCAGGATATTATATCCTGCTCATGGCTTGGAGGGTCCCACGACCATGGAACCTTGCTCACTGACAGCACAGCAGTCTGAGATCAAACTGCAAGGTGGCAGCAAGGCTGGGGGAGGGGCGCCTGCCATTGCTGAGGCTTGAGTAGGTAACAAAGCAACCAGGAAGCTTGAACTGGGTGGAGCTCAATGCAGCTCAAGAAGGCCAGCCTGCCTCTGTAGATGCCACCTCTGGGGGCAGGGCATAGCTGAACAAAAGGCATCAGAAACTTCTGCAGACTTAAAAGTCCCTGTCTGACAGCTTTGAAGAGAGTAGTGGTTCTCCCAGCACGGAGTTTGAGATCTGAGAACGGACAGCCTGCCTCCTCAAGTGGGTCCCTGACCCCCGAGTAGCCTAACTGGGAGACACCTCCCAGTAGGGGCCAACTGACACCTCATATGGCCGGGTTCCCCTCTTAGATGAAGCTTCCAGAGGAAGGATCAGGCAGCAACATTTGCCATTCTGCAATATTTGCTGTTCTGCAGCCTCCGCTGGTGATACCCAGGCAAACAGGGTCTGGAGTGGACCTCCAGCAAACTCCAACAGACCTGCAGCTGAGGGTCCTGACTGTTAGAAGGAAAACTAACAAACAGAAAGGACATCCACACAAAAACCCCATGTGTACATAACCATCATCAAAGACCAAAGGTAGATAACACCACAAAGATGGGGAGAAACCAGAGCAAAAAAGCTGAAAATTCTAAAAATCAGAGCACCTCTTCTCCTCCAAAGGAATGCAGCTCCTCACCAGCAATGGAACAAAGCTGAACGCAGAATGACTTTGACGAGTTGAGAGAAGAAGGCTTCAGACAGTCGGTAATAACAAACTTCTCGGAGCTAAAGGAGGATGTTCCAACCCATTGCAAAGAAGCTAAAAACCTTGAAAAAAGATTAGATGAATGGCTAACTAGAATAAACAGCATAGAGAAGACCTTAAATGACCTGATGGAGCTGAAAACATTGGCACGAGAACTATGTGATGCATGCACAAGCTTCAGTAGCTGATTTGATCAACTTGAAGAAAGGGTATCAGTGATTGAAGATCAAATGAATGAAATGAAGTGAGAAGAGAAGTTTAGAGAAAAAAGAGTTAAAAGAAACTCACAAAGCCTCCAAGAAATATGGGACTATGTGAAAAGACCAAATCTACGTCTGATTGGTGTACCTGAAAGTGATGGGGAGAATGGAACCAAGTTGGAAAACACTCTGCAGGATATTATCCAGGAGAACTTCCCCAACCTAGCAAGGCAGGCCAACATTCAAATTCAGGAAATACAGAGAATGCCACAAAGATACTCCTCGAGAAGAGCAACTCCAAGACACATAATTGTCAGATTCACCAAAGTTGAAATGAAGGAAAAAATGCTAAGGGCAGCCAGAGAGAAAGGTCGGCTTACCCACAAAGGGAAGCCCATCAGACTAACAGCAGATCTCTCAGCACAAACTCTACAAGCCAGAAGAGAGTGGGGGCCAATAATCAACATTCTTAAAGAAAAGAATTTTCAACCCAGAATTTCATATCCAGCCACATTAAGCTTCATAAGTGAAGGAGAAATAAAATACTTTACAGACAAGCAAATGCTGAGAGATTTTGTCACCACCAAGCCTGCCTTACGGGAGCTCCTGAAGGAAGCACTAAACATGGAAAGGAACAACTGGTACCAGCCACTACAAAAACATGCCAAATTGTAAAGACCTTCGATGTTAAAGAAACTGCATCAACTAATGAGCAAAATAAACAGCTAACGTCACAATGACAGGATCAAATTCACACATAACAATATTAACCTTAAATGTAAATGGGCTAAATGCTCCAATTAAAAGACACAGACTGGCGAATTGGATAAAGAGTCAAGACCTATCAGTGTGCTGTATTCAGGAGACCCATCTCACATGCAGAGGCACACATAGGCTCAAAATAAAGGGATGGAGGAAGATCTACCCAGCAAATGGAAAACAGAAAAAAGCAGGGGTTGCAATCCTAGTCAGACTTTAAACCAACAAAGATCAAAAGAGACAAAGAAGGCCATTACATAATCATAAAGAGATCAATTCAACAAGAAGAGCTAACTATCCTAAATATATATGCACTCAATACAGGAGCACCCAGCTTCATAAAGCAAGTCCTTAGAGACCTACAAAGAGACTTAGACTCCCACACAATAATAAGGGGAGACTTTAACACCCCACTGTCAACATTAGACAGATCAATGAGACAGAAAGTTAATAAGGATATCCAGGAATTGAACTCAGCTCTGCACCAAGCAGACCTAATAGACATCTACAGAACTCTCCACCCCAAATCAACAGAATATACATGCTTCTTAGCACCACATCACAGTTATTCCAAAATTGACCACATAGTTGGAAGTAAAGCACTCCTCAGCAAATGTAAAAGAGCAGAAATTATAACAAACTGTCTGTCAGACCACAGTGCAATCAAACTAGAACTCAGGATTAAGAAACTCACTCAAAACTTCTCAACTACGTAGAAACTGAACAACCTGCTCCTGAATGACTACTGGGTACATAACGAAATGAAGGCAGAAATAAAGATGTTCTTTGAAACCAATGAGAACAAAGACACAACATACCAGAATCTCTGGGACACATTTAAAGCAGTGTGTAGAGGGAAATTTACAGCACTAAATGCTCACAAGAGAAAGCAGGAAAGATCTAAAATTGACACCCTAACATCACAATTAAAAGAACTAGGGAAGGAAGAGCAAACACATTCAAAAGCTAGCAGAAGGCAAGAAATAACTAAGATCAGAGCAGAACTGAAGGAAATAGAGACACAAAAAAACCCTTCAAAAAAAATCAATGAATCCAGGAGCTGGTTTTTTGAAAAGTTAGACTGCTAGCAAGACTAATAAAGAGGAGAAGAGAGAAGAATCAAATAGATGCAATAAAAAATGATAAAGGGGATATCACCACCGATCCCACAGAGATACAAACTACCATCAGAGAATACTATAAACAGCTCTAAGCAAATGAACTAGAAAATCTAGAAGAAATGGAACTGGATCCCTTCCTTACACCTTATACAAAATTAATTCAAGATGGATTAAAGACTTAAATGTTAGACCTAAAACCATAAAAACCCTAGAAGAAAACCTAGCCATTACCATTCAGGCCATAGGCATGGGCAAGGACTTCATGACTAAAACACCAAAAGCAATGGCAACAAAAGACAAAATTGACAAATGGGATCTAATTAAGCTAAAGAGCTTCTGCACAGCAAAAGAAACTACCATCAGAGTGAACAGGCAACCTACAGAATGGGAGAAAATTTTTACAATCTACCCATCTGACAAAGGGCTAATATCCAGAATCTACAAAGAACTTAAACAAATTTACAAGAAAAAATCAAATAACCCCATCAAAAAGTGGGCAAAGGATATGAACAGACACTCCTCAAAAGAAGATGTTTATGCAGCCAACAGACACATGAAAAAATGCTCATCATCACTGGCCATCAGAGAAATGCAAATCAAAACCACAATGAGATACCATCTCACACCAGTTAGAATGGCGATCATTAAAAAGTCAGGAAACAACTGCTGGAGAGGATGTGGAAAAATAGAACACTTTTACACTGTTGGTGGGACTCTAAACTAGTTCAACCATTGTGGAAGACAGTGTGGCAATTCCTCAAGGATCTAGAACTGGAAGTACCATTTGACCCAGCCATCGCATTACTGGGTATATACCCAAAGGATTATAAATCATGCTTCTATAAAGACACATGCACATGTATGTTTATTGTGGCACTATTCACAATAGCAAAGACTTGGAACCAACCCAAATGTCCATCAATGATAGAGTGGATTAAGAAAATGTGGCACATATACACCATGGAATACTATGCAGCCATAAAAGAGGATGAGTTCATGTGCTTTGTAGGGACATGGATGACGCTGGAAACCATCATTCTGAGCAAACTGTTGCAAGGACAGAAAACAAAAAAACGCATGTTCTCACTCATAGGTGGGAATTGAACAACAAGAACACTTGGACACAGGGTGGGGAACATCACACACTGGGGCCTGTCATGGGGTAGGGGAGGGGGCAGAGATAGCATTAGGAGATATACCTAATGTCAATGACGAGTTAATGGGTGCAGTACACCAACATGGCACATGTATACATATGTAACAAACCTGCATGTTGTGCACATGTACCCTAGAACTTAATGTATTAAAAAAAAAAAGAACAACTATATGTTGGGCATAAGACAATGCCCTATCATCAGAAACTTATAATTAAGTTAAATAAAACTTAATTATGACAAAAAAATTAAAATAATCTTAGCTAATTTGTCCTAGCTTATATTTCACGTGCCGTATTGGAACGTAAGATACACAACTAATGGGTTCTTGTATTTTGAGAAAAAATAATTTTTAGAGTTTCTTATAACTCCTGAACCAGCCACAAGTGCCCTTATTTGGATTTCATTAAGACAAAGGCCTACTTGGGCTACTTTTAATTTGCTTCTATTCTGTAATATGATACTAAATGCAGATGTCTTTCCAGCATTAATTTCTATCTACATGGCAGAATTTCATTAAGTTCGGCCAGCCCCATTTTAATTAAGCATCCTTACATTGGTTGTGCACTGTCTGTGCTTTTGACCCACCAGAACAAGCACTTAGTCAATTAACTCTTTTATTAACCAATTGATTTTTGCTGTAGGTCCCTACCTTCTGTTACCAGTTAGAAATGAACATGAAAGGCAAAGAAATTGGTTCCTTTCATCTCTAAAAGGCAACAATAAATAATAAAACATTTCAAAAATTTCAGTGGGGAACCTAAACACAAATAAAAAATACCTGCCATTTATTCTGGGATGTAAAAATGGACTGTTTGCGGTAGCATTGTATTTGAATAAATCATATTGTCACACTGACCTTTATTGATGTACTGTTTCCCAACTTAAAGCATCAATCCTGCTGCTTAAAAGATCTTTTGTTGTACAAGACCTGCAGATCCATCAGGTAACGAAATAATGATTTGCCAACTGTGGACTACCTAAATCAATAATTTAACAAGATCCTCAGTAGCTTCCTCCCAGCCGCTCACCCCACTCTATTGCCTATGTTTGCAATTTCAGTTATGCAATTTAATGCTGTCATTAGGGACAAAAAAATTCTATATAACTGAAGGAAAATACAGTGCATAGCATTTGGCGTCTCCAGGTTTTGTGTATTTCTAGAACATACTGTATGGCTTAATTTGAGTGAAACGACCATGGCTAGTAAAGAATCTAATTTTTGTTTGTTTGTTTGTTTGAGACAGGGTCTCATTCTATCGCCCAGGCTCACTGCAACCTCCATCTCCTGGGCTCAAGGGATCCTCCTACCTCAACCTCCCAAGTAGCTGGGACTACAGGTGCCCGTCACCTCACCCAGCTAATTTTTTTTGCATTTTTTGTAGAGATGGGGTTTTGCCATGTTGCCCAGGCTGGTCTCAAACTCTTGGGCTCAAGTGATCCACCCGCCTTGGCCTCCCACAGTGCTGGCATATAAATCTATTTTAATATAATTATTTTAGGCAAATAAAATTGTTCCCAGAGGAATCAAAGGGCTTAAACTCAATATACCCTTCCCCCAATTTTGTTTTGGGTCAGAATGATTTATGCAAATATAAAAAATGTATTCTTCTAAAGCCATCATTGGGATAGATATGTGTGTATGCTAATTCATGAAAGTTGGACCTAATTTGGAATATGTAGTATGCTTGTTTACCCTAATTACTTACAAAATACATATTTAAAAAAGTAAAAGATGGATGAAAGGCTTTCTACGTCCTCATTCTCTTATAACAACTATTCTTATTGTCAGTATTCTCCCAGTGGAAAAGGGTATTTAACATACAGGTTTTCTAAGAACTCAAGAGAAGGACGTGGAAATCTGATACTTTTACTAGCTGGCTGTGTTATCTTAAGCAAGTACTATTAACTGATTGAGTCCAGTTTCCTCATATTTCTTCCTGAGTGTTTTATATATGCCCTGTTTAACTTTAGAGTTAGCTTTGAGGTTCTGATGATACTAGTGTGTTGGGGCTCAGAAACTGACACTCCAAAATACGACATTGTGACATGTTGAGCTGAAGAAACCTCAAGATCTCTCTAATCTTCCCCCTGCTACTCACCATCTCTTCCAAAGAGACTGAAGTTCCTTCATCTGCCTAATATCCAGCCTCACCAAGGAGAATAATTGTTTTTTCTTCCTCTCCCTGTTATTTCCTTATTTATTGTGGAAAAGAAGACCAAAATGTGACCACACCTGAACAGATTTTTTTTATGAGTATAATGACAGTCTTCAAAGATCATTTAAATTCCAAAGAGAGCTGTTTCCAAGTTTCCTGCTCCAATCATTCTCCCCAGTAATTATTTATTACCCATCAATAGAATTTTTTTCTCCTACTCTCATAACCTGTTTTACCAGGATCCAAGCTCCCCTTCTTTCTATAGCCTCAAGACAATATGTAAGTTTCTGTAACTCATTGGGAAGTTGAGTCTTCATACTGAAGGCTCTGGGGTATACATGCTAAATAAATTCATATGTCTTCTCCTATTAATCAATCTGCCTCATGTCAGTGATTTCTTAGAGAACCTTTAGAGGGCCAAGTGTCTAAGGCCCCACAATAGTAATACCAATGGTCATTCGTCACTGAGCATCTACTGTGTTACAGGTACCTTATAAACATTACCTATAACCTTCACTATAGCCCATTAAGATCAGTATTATTATCCTCATTTTCCAGCCAAGGAGCCAGAGGTGTTAAGCAATCTGTTTAGGGTTGGCTGGACTTACCTGGCAGAAGTGAAATTAAAATCAAGGCCTGCCACACACTGTCTTATGCTTCTCCTGCTCTGCCATACTGCCTCTCCATGATATAATGTCTATGAAAGTGCCATGGAAAAGCTAAAGGATTAGATTAGACAGATGCACAGTGGTATTCTATCCATTATAGTGATTAATAGGCTTCATGAAACGTAGGACCTGACACTCAGAGGTGATGTTGCCTTTTCCTTGAATGGGAGTTGCACTATGCTGTTAGACATATAATTATAGTGCAGTTTTTCAAAGGCAAATTTTTGTCACCATCTTTCTGCATGGCCTTGCTAGCTCTCCAGGAGAAGCAAAAAATAACAACGCTGATTGATTTCCCTTTGCCACTTGCTTCAAGTGGTTTCCATTTTAATGCCCGTCCCAATTGGGCTTTCATTGTCATTCGGAGCTGCTGGTATTTCAGCCTCCACATAGGCTAAACAGTTGGGCTCCTCAGCAAGTTCAAAATGTCTGCACAGCAGGGAAAAAAAACATGCTATCTTTTCTAAAAGCTGTTTTGGTGGTTCTATTAGAAGGCATAACTCTTTCTCTTTTATATAGTAGTAGGGAACAGTCTTGTCATTCCCTTCACCCCTGACCACCCCTCCAAAAAAGAAAAGCTTTTAATTGATGAAATTTTCAGAGATTTCTGTGACCAAACTCAAATGTCACAATAATACAAGGTCAACTGATTTGAATTGTTATGTTCTTTATTAAATAGCATATCTGTGGATTCCAAAACCTAGATGAGAAAAAAAGATCCATTTTATAAAGTGCACTCATGCTATTTCATGACAAAGTAGAAAGGTTACACAGAAGTTTTACAAAATGGCTTACATAGTGCAATGTTATTACCTAAGGCTGGGAAATTATACAATCCTGGTTTGCATCCCAACTCTGGACACAATTTCCTGTGTCCTTGACTGAGTGCAGCCTTGGATCCTAAGGATGGTGGGAATATTTGTTTCTTTAACAAGTAGGTTGCCTCTTTTGAATATCTTTCAGTTGACTCTGGGTACTTTAGACATTTTCTGTTTTTTATCTTACTTCTTCCTCTAGTGATGTCAATCAGGCACACAAACTTTATCGAGTATATACTATGATGTAGGCATTAGACATCAAAAGAAAATGACTAGGCAGCATGTAGACGTGGGCAGCTCTCTCTGTATCTGCATTACTTACTGTGTCATGTACTGGATTAATATATGTTAGACTGAGTTGGTAGGTTACATCTCACTGAAACCTCCTTTGCAAAATTATGACAGTAAGAGAAATATGACATAACTGACTCCATCTCGTTTCTGACCTCCAAGCTGCCCTTGGTCATTCCTGGGCATAAGCCAAGTAACTTTAGGTAGAATTTAGTTTATAATTTTACTTAAAAGCAAGGACAATAATAGTCCCTCCCTAAAACTAACCCCGCTCCTTGCTCAGGGACCAAAAACTGCCTTTATAGGACTAATGAAAGGCCACAAGAATAAGATTATGTGAGAGGCCTGAATTCTGCTAAGTATGAAGGCATAGTTTCTATAACCCATTACTGCTCAGGAGTCATGTGGCCAGAGGTCACAAGATTTGAGACTTCCCTAATTTCTCCTATAGATAACATCACAATTGTGGAAGCTAAGATTGCTTTTTTTGAGATATTTTTTAGACTGACCCCATCCAGACTTGTGACTCAATTGCCCCTATAGCCCCACCCAGAGACCGACTCAGTGCACGAGGAAGGTTTCCCACACCCCTGTGATTTCATCTCCACCCAATCAGCAGTACCCATTACCTAGCTCCTTGCCCATCAAATTGTCCATAAAAAGCCTAACTTTTAAGCCCCTAGGGAGACTGATTTGAGTAATAACTCCAGTTCTCCTGCATGGGCCAGTCTTGTGTCAATTAAACTCTTTCTGTACTGCAACGCTGAGATCTCAGTGAATTGATTTTGTTTGTGCAACAGGCAGGAAGAATCCATTGGATGGTTACACTACCTGGGACAAAAGAGGAACCATGCACTAGACAAAGCTACATTTAGGTTAAAAAAAGAAACCTGACTATTTGAGGGGTGGACGGGAGGCTTGTCTGCTTCCCATTTGTCCTCCCCTAACAGGTAAAACTACTGGCAGTCTAATTTATAAATTGTAAACGAATTGGGTTCTTAAAGCTGTCTTTGTAATAGGAAGAACAAAGAATTTATGCTTTATTAACTACCAGCAAATAAAGCAAAAAGGCAAAAAAAAAAAAGTCCAAGTTGAGAAGGAGGAGAAAAAGTATGTGTTCTATTTTTTTCTACATCAAATCCAGGCAATATTTTGTAACAGAAGTTTAATTAGCTATCAGATTTCTCTGAGTTCAGTCCCCTTGCTCAATTTCTTGTGATCCTCTATTCCAGTGCTTAGAAATACAGGTTCATTATTAACTGTTGGATCATCACTAAAACACCCTACTGTGCTCTACCTAAACTTCAAAGTGCTTAATGGCACCAAATAATTATTTCCTAATTCCAATCAAATTTATTATTCTATCACTATCAGTTAATATTTAACAGATAGATTTTTATTAAGTTAATTTATACCAATATATAAATGATTAATATCCCTTTAATGTTCCTGTGATAGTTTCTGTTTTGAAGATGAATGCCTGTTATCACAGAGGGTATCCTAGAGATATGCAATTAATGAAGTCTGAGACAAAACTGCAGAAAGTATTATATAAAGGGAATTTTATCAAAACATTTTTTAGTAACTCATTTATTTATTTAACTGCAACTTTCTATGTATGAGACTGTGTTGGAAACAATATACAAGACAAATTTCGCCTATTTGTAACTTCAATTTAAAGAATTTCTCCTTCCAATAGAGGAAATAGATCATTAAAATAGTGATAAGTGCAATTGTAAAGATATAAGAAGTCATTTGGCACATATTTCAAACGTTTTTCCTTCCAGATAATCTTTTCTGGATTTTCAGGTTCAGGTGAGTCTCAAAGGATGAATATGAGCCAGCCATAGAAAGAAAAATGGGAATAAGGAAGTGGGAAACATGTTTTGGTCAAAGGCATTGTACAGGTCAGAGTCTCAGCAGGTAGCACACACCATAGGGATGATCAAGGAGACTTTAACAGAGAGACCACTTATGAACCTACATGCAGGGTCAAGAGAAATCAGCAAGGGAAAAGCTAGGAGCTGTAACCACCCTTAGGCTTGAAGGGGCAAGAGGACGGAACAATTACCTACACTGAGCAAGACCTGTAGCCGTGGCCCTGAAGCAGAAATATGCCCTTCATCAGAGAAACAATAGCCGTTGCCAAATCATGGCCTGGTAGGAAAGAAGCCAGGGAACAAATATCCTGACTTATCCTTCTTCTAGCCCTCTGATATTCTAGAGTTTCCTATAAGCCGAAGCAACACAAAGCCAAAGGGTGTGAGAATCGTGTTCTTCTGAAGCTAGAGAAAGAAGAAGAGTGAAACTGGAGGGAAAAAATTAGGACAACCTGCTGGGCATTGTGGCTGACGCCTGTAATCCCAGCACTTCAGGAGGCTGATGTGAGTGGATCATTTGAGCCGGAAGTTCAAAACCAGCCTGGACAACATAGGGAGAACTTGTCTCCATAAAAAAAAAAAAAAAAAGCCAAGCCTGGTGGTATGCACCTGTGGTCCTAGCTACTCGGGAGGCTGAGGCAGGAGAATTGCTTAAGTCTGGGAGGTCGAGGTTGCAGTGAGCCGAGATTGTGTCAGTGCACTCCAGCCTGGATGACGAAGTGAGACCCTGTCTCCAACAACAACAACAACAACAACAATAATAACAACAAAAGCAAAAAAAAAAAAAACCCGGCACAGACATGGAGAGTTTTAGTAAATCAAAATCATTATGAATTTTCTCTTGCTGGAGCATAAGTTCTGAAGAGGAAAGTGGCAAGAATAAAAACAAGTGTGATCCTATGCCTTACATGCCTGGAAACTTTCCATAGTTTTTCATCACCATTTGAATAAAGCTTGTAACATGTCATAAAAACCCATCAGGTTCTAGCCTGCTCTGTGAAGCTCCAGACTTACAGGTGATTCTAGAAGCCCTGATGAGGGGGAAGTGGAGCTGGCCTGGAGGTGAACACAACAATTTGTGATCTAGGAGAAAAATGATGACTACTTGAACTAAGGCAATTGAACTAATGGAAATTAAGATGGTAAGGAAGATCAAGCTTTGAGAATGTGTTGAAAATAAAATCATTAAGACTTAGTGGTTGAAGTGTAGGAAATTATAGCCAGGTGGCAACGGGGACTATCAGATTTCTGGTTGTTCACCAGAGGGATGGAACTGCCAAAAATCAAATGAAAACATAATTAAAAAGTTCGAATGTTCCTTTGCACATATACAGCAAATAACTGATGCTCAAGTATAGTATGATGTGTTCAGTAGAGATTTGGGTTGGGATATAGATTTCAGAGGACTCGCCATAGGAAATGTGCAACATGCATATTCCTAGAACTGCCAATAACTTGGAGATGGTGTAGTAGAAGACCATATGGCAAACAGAAAGGAAAAATAGTCTCCTAGTATAAGAAGAATGAGGAGAGGGAGTGGTTAAAAACTCTGTTGGACATATCAGTTAGAAAGCCATTGGTGACTTTTGGAAAATGCGGCTTTACTGGAATGGTCAAATACATGATCATGGAAGTTTGAGGAGTAAAAGAGAGGTTCAGACATGGAGGCAATGGGTACAGACAATTCCTCTGAGAGGGGAGATACAATATGGGTGATTAAGGAAGACTCAGAGTCAAGGAAGAGGATTGATAGATGAGCAAGGGAGACCTGCTTAATTGTTGCTGAGAAAAAACAACAGTGGAAGAAGATTTGAAGATACAGGGTACAGAATGTATAATAGATGAAGAGCTGAATTAAGAGTTGACTCGACAAAGTTTGGGTATTTAAAATTTCAATGGATATTGATATTTCCACATTAGGTATATGAAATGTTTTTAAATTGATTTTTGGGACTGCAATACAGTTACAACTGAATGATAAAATTGTTCCCATAGTCTGTCTATATAAGTAGAAATCCAAAACCATTGTCAGAAGCAATTAGAACATATTTATAGAACAAGTAATTTATTATTGTATTAAATTATAATAATATAATAAGTAATAATTTATCATTATTATTGCTAGTAAGCAGCCAGAGGATGGAAATGACTTGCCAGAAATTGTAAATGCCAAGTAGGGTCTAGAACTGAGCATCACCACTTCTGATTGTGCTCATAATTCCCACTCATTCTTAGCCTTTATTTTAAAATCAACTTAGGTTTTACTGGTTAAATCACTTCTCTTTCTCTCTTTGTCTCTTTCTCTCTGTGTATTGGTGTGTGTTCTTTACTTTTCTTATATATAGACTTTTACTTATTTTACTTTTCACAAGTTTGCTCATTAAAAATATGAAGCCATTCTACTCCATCCTACCCTGGCCACTAAATTAATGAACAACATTAAAATGCATATTATTAAAATCAAGTAGTGGCTAAGAGTGTGGGTTCTGAACTTATGCTACATGGGTTCAAATCCTATCTCAGCCACTTAATGGCTATTTAACGTTAGACAGTACTTAAATGCTGTATGTCTCAGTTTCACCATCTGCATATTAAATCAACATATTAAATCATAGCCATGGGAGGATGAAAGAGCAAATGCATGTAATTAACACAAAACAATGCCTGACTTTAAAAAAATAAACTGATGTTTATTTTTTTTTCTGAGTAGTAGCATGGGTGGTGGTACCAGTAGTTACACTGTGACTAGATCAAATAATAAGTCAAGTAATAATTTGCTCAGGAAAATAATCCACTTTCATTAAATAAACTCTTGTCGTGCCATATGGTTCATATTCCAAGCAGACAATCCTTCCCAAACTGGGCAAACATCCAGCCAGCCATAGTTGTAAGACGAAATAAAAAAAGATATAGATCCAGGCAAACAAAACTGAGTTTCTATTAGCATCAGTATTAGAAGAGTCTTTTCCTGGAATCGCGTGATGACAGCTATCATCTTCTGCACTCTGCCTCAACCAGGGAGGAGAAATCCATTGGGCAGGGTAAATGACCTGGGGCTCACCACAAAGTACATTGTCTCTAAATGTGAAGCTCTGTGTTCATAGGGGATAAGTTTTTCTGACTCGGTGTGTGGTTCTCGTTCATGCTGGCTAAGACTGAAAACTTGGGCAGCTAAAATGTGGTTATCCTCTTTTCAAATAGAAAGTCTGGTCTGCCTTGAGCTCTAAATTCTATATTCATGCCTTCCTATGCCCTTATCATTCATATCAATGAAGATAGAATGTAAGTAGCAATGGGTATTAAATCATTTGAATGCGTTAAAAAATAAATCCTCATATCTTTTCACTTGGCAAGATATATTTGATAGCTTATCTGCTCTGGCCAAAGATTTCCTTTGACTAATATTGAATCTCCCCATATCTTGTGGGTAGATGGGGGTAGGGTTTCTGCTGGAGAAACTGTCAACCAAAAATGGAAAATTTGGCAATAAACCTTCCTGCTTGGTATTGGAGTTTCAGCACTGTGTTCCCTGTTTGTCTGAAAAGAATGAACTATGCTTTATATCTGATTTTTCAAAGGTTCCAAAGATTATGGATAGGCCAAAAGTGATTCATGGTCTATCATTTAAAATATTTGATGAAATGGAATACGTTTAGAAAAGAGCTGAAAAAATTAGGGGCTCTAGAGAACTTCATTCAGAGCAATCATAAACTCTTTGGAAGACAAAACACAATTCAATCTTTCCAAAAATGTGTTCCTTGAGGCACAAACTTTTTCAGAGTACGGGCAGGGGGAATTCATGGTCAAATAAGTTTGAGACACACGGAACAGTAATTATTCCTCTTAAATGTACCTTCAACACAAAAAGAAGAACTATGTTTACCTTTGCTGTTTTCAACCCTTATACAAAAACACTCATTTCAGATTTTTTTTAAAGAAACACTGATTGATATCCCATGGATCAATCTAGAGTTCTGTTGAATACACTGTCAATTGCTTAGATTGAAAAAGTATTCCGTTTGTAGTGAGTAGAAAGTAGGAAGCCACTATGTCAGATTTTCACAGCATCCTTCAAAAGAGTGTTCTAGGAAACCTCTCAATGACAAAGTTTTCCTATATTGATTTCCATTTTGTTCAGTACTAAAGATGGATCTTTCATCAGCAAGAACTCTGGAAAAGATGATTAAGATGGGGACACTTACCCTCTCTGAACTAAAAATTATTAAAATTTAATTTAGGTTTAATTTACTTTATATATTTGAAGGTTTTGATTTGCATTTCTCTAATAAACAGTAATGATGAGCTTTTTTTTTCATATGTTTGTCGGCTGCATAAAAGTCTTCTTTTGAGGAGTGGCTGTTCATATCCGTCACCTGCTTTTTGGTGGGGGTGTTTGTTTTGTTCTTGTAAATTTGTTTGAAGGTGATATTGTTATAGTCATAGCTTTAAATTTCTTTTTAACGTTTCAAGAAGTCTCATACCCACTCTCTTGACCAAGAGAGAAAGGGATAGAATTACAACAACATTTTTTGGTGATTACGTGACTTTCTCTCACTAAGTATGTCCTGGCAGGAATAAAAGGGCTTATAATCATTGGGGTGGTGGGCAGCTGTGATGAGGTGGTTTAGAGTCAGACTCAGCCTTCTCTACTGGCTTTGAATGGTGAACCATAGGAGGTGTATTATTGCATTTTTCTGAATATGAGTTTCTCCATCTGGATAGCAAGGATATATTACTGCCTATCTTAGAATGCAGAATAGTAGAATTAGAAATTCTACTGGGAATAGTAGAATTAGAAAATTTAGGTAAACTGCTTGGTACATTCAGGTGCTCATCAAATATTGGTTAGTTTAGTTTATATTTTTTTCCTGCACAGCAGTGATTCTCAACTGGGAGCAATTTTGTTCCACCAATCACACCCCCAGAGGACACTTGGTGATAATATCTGGAGGCATTTTTGGTTGTCATAACTGAGGGGAAGTGCTATTGGGGCCTGGTGGGTGGAGGCCAGGGATGCTGGTAAACATCCTGCATATACAGGAAAGCCATCATAACAAATAATTATCCAGTCCCAAATGTCAACAGTGCCAAGACTGAGAAACTGTGCTCTATAGCAGGGTAATGACACACCGTCTGCTTCCACTACCAAAGCAGACGGTATTTAGCTATTCCAGCACAGATCAGAGCACGTAGAGGCATCTCTTAAGGGGAAAAGAAACAACACTTTGGAGACCAGAAGCATTCAAAATCATGAAAGTTTAAATTCTGAATACTGTATTCATTTTAATCAATTAGCAGTAATGAATGCACTGTGTTACTTATAAACAAAAGTCAGTGACAAAGAAAACTCCAAGAAAAGAAAAAAGAGACTAGAAAGTGTTCTGCAGATCTAGCAAGTTAAAAATGTTGAACTTCCTTTACCCCCTTTTTGGCCATTGAGCATGTTTATTTCCCTATGGAGTTGGAGAATCCGCTTGATTTCAATAAAAAGATCTACCATATTGTATGTCTAAACTGTGCTTTTTACTTTGAGAAAATCAGGCATTAAAATCCATGTCATGAAACTCTGGGGGACATTTTGGCTTTCAGCACAGATATGTTAATAACACTAGACACTTTGAGATGCCATGCTGCATACCATAAAATAGTAATAAGGGGACTAAAAAAGAGGAAAGTGTATGTGTGTGTTTTGTGTGCACATGTGTTATTTCCCTTGCATGCACACACACACTTAGTATTTGCTTGGAGATGCTGTATATAGCATCATTTAAGTTAGCTGTAGTTCACATCACCAATAATTTGGAAAAACTTTAGGAAGGACAGAGGTTTATTATTTTTAAAATGTGGTAAGTTACAAGCAAAAGTAGAGAGGCTACTTACAGGAACAGTTTGATTTGCCTATAATGCAACTCCAGTGAGACAGCAAGATAGAGTATTGGTTTTTTAGAGTTTTGAGCTCTACAAACCATTTGAAAGAAACTAAAGAATCAAGGTGAAAGAAGAGAGAGTAAAATTTTTAATAGATAAGCACTTACTTATAAGGAAGCATTTCTTTTGAAAATTGGAAGATATATAGAGAAGCCCTAAGGCATTCTCACACATGGAATAAAAAACAAATGTAGGTGTTTTCAAGGAGAATAAGAAGATAGCAGGATCCAGTAAACTCATCTTTCACTCAGTTTCTGATTAGATGAATACAAACAGAAAGGCAATCTGCTAGCGTCCTCCAAACCTAGAATGCAGACATCTTCAATCTGGGCATTGATGGCATTCTTTACCCTCAGCAAGGAAGACTTGTTCTGACCTGTTCATTTGGATTTCAGTGCCTTTTTAGGCCAGATTCGCCAGATTCCCTTTTGATCTTTCCTTTGCTTGTTAGAGCTGAGATTCCAAAAAAAAAAAAAAAAAAAGAAAGAAAATGTATTCACTTGAGCCCTGATATAGTGGCTTTCCAAATTATTATAATATTAGGTCTTCATTATTGCAGCTCTGGGAGCTCAGAAAAATCACTTCCTCTTTCAATGCCTCATTTTCTTCATCTGTAAAAAGGGATATTATTATTAATAGTGGCAATCCCAGGGAATAGTTTATGGGAATTAGATGTGAAGCTCTGAGCACAGTGTCTGGCACACACAAACCCCCATATTGCTTGTTGTGGTTGGTATTGTTAATTTTATTTTTAGTATCATTATTATTTAGGACCTCTAATTATCTCTATAGATGAGACACTCAGTGTCATCCAAACAGTCATCAAACATTTGTTATTGTACTATGACATTCTACAGAATTTCCCAGGCGTTGAAATTTAGAGAAATGATAAAACAATCTGCCATCAAGGAGCTTGCAACAGGAATGGAGGCAGGCACGGAGGCATGATAGCATTATCATGCACATGCGATATGGCTGTCCTATCAGGCTGGCAGCAGAAAGGGGTATCAAAAAAGGATTGTTGCAGGAGGTGCACTTGAACAGGTCATGCTATATAATGTAATTTGGATGTTTGTCCTCTCCTAATCCATGTTGAAATGTGATCCCTGGCCAGGCGTGGTGGCTCATGCCTGTAATCCCAGCACTTTGGGAGGCCGAGGTAGATGGATCACGAGGTCAGGAGTTCAGGGCCAGCCTGGCCAAGATGGTGAAACCCCGTCACTACTAAAAAATAAAAACTACAAAAATTAGCCGAGAGCGGTGGCAGGCACCTGTAATCCCAGCTACTTGGGAGGCTGAGGCAGGAGAATCGCTTGAACCCGGGCGGCAGAAGTTGCAGTGAGCCGAGATCTTACCACTGCACTCCAGCCTGGGCGACAGACAGAGTGAGACTCCATCTCAAAAAAAAAAAAAAGAAAGTGATCCCCAATGGTGGAGGTGGGGCCTAGTGGGAGGTGTTTGGGTCATGAATGGCTTGGAGCCCTCTCCTTGCTGATGAGTGAGTTCTCTGTTAATTCACTTGAGAGCTGATTGTTTAAAGGAGCCGGCATTTCCTCCTCTCTCTTGCCCCCTCTCTCACTGTGTGACACACTGGCTCCCCTTTGCACTCCTCCATGATTGGAAGCTTCCTGAGGCCCTCACCAGAAGCAGATGCTGGCACCATGCTTCTTGTACAGCTTGGAGAACCATCAACCAAATTAACCTCTTTTCTTTATAAATTACCCAGGCTCATGAACTTTTTTATAGCAATACAAAATTGACTAACACACTATACAAATAGAAATTAGCTAGGGGAAGTGGATTCGGTAGGGTATGATATGGTGGTGGAGGGAAACAGCATAAAGAAAAGCCTAGAGGTCATCTACAGGCCTCCTCAACTGCCACCCATTGATGTATTTCAGCCTCAATTAATTATGAACAAACATAGTAAGTGCCCTTCCCTTTTACAGGACAGGTACAATATCCTAATTTGACATGCATAACCATATTCAATCTTCATCATTCCCTTAATTAATTAATTTATTTAGAGACAGGGTCTCACTGTGCCACCCAGGCTGGAGTGCAGTGGGGTGATCATGGCTCGCTGCAGCTTCGACCTCCTGGGCTCAAGTGATTCTCCTGCCTCAGCTCCCCAAGTAGGTGGGACTACAGGCATGCACCACCACTCCCAGCTAATTTTTGTATTTTTTGCAGAGATAGGGTTTTGCCGTGTTTCCCAGGCTGGTCTTGAACTCCTGCACTCAAGCAATCCACCAGCCTCGGCCTCCCAAAATGTTGGGATTACAGGCGTGAACCATCCTGCTCAGCCTGTTCGTTATTATTATTGTAATTTTACAGATGTGAAAACCAGGGCCACAGAAAATGTAAACTTCTTGCCCAAGATTTCAGGGGTACTCAGTGGCAAAGTCAGGGTTTGAAACCTACCCAGTCTCTGCTTGTAACCTACTTGAACAGTATAAAATACTGTGACTAAGTAAGTGGCCTTTAGTTTTCAGACAAGGCCACAGAAATCAAACCCAGTTCTTTCTGGCATCAGTAGCCCATTTGCAAGTTTGGTGCAGTGGCGAGGCCATCTGTTGTGAGGCCAGCAGACCAGGCTTTTCCCATGCCTTGCAGGCAGGGTGAAGAGCCCATAGAGAGAGCTGAAGCTCTTTCCTATACCAGCTGAAATCACTCAAAGACTGTGAAAAATGTCAGAGGACCTGTCGGTCTTCATCAGCAATGACTTTATTATCGCACCTTCTGGTGCATCTTGTACCCTCAGTTACCGAAAGAGACCTGAACAATCGGATCAACACAGCACACATGCGGTGAAGCAGAGACATCACAATTAGCCAGGGATGCATTCCTTCTGCATTTTCCCAAGTTAGCACTGTCAGACGTAGGAAATAAAAATACAAGACATTTAGTTAAATTTCAATTTAATATAAGCAATGAATTATTTGGGGGAGGGGAGTAGGTAAGTCCCATGCAATATTTGTGACATATTTATACTTAAAAAAATTATTTGTTGATTTTCTGAAATTCAAATGGAATGGAGCCTCCTGTATTTGACAGTCTCGCCCTAAGCATTAAGAAGGGGAAGAACAAATGTTATCTGGAAAGAATTCAAAGATGCATCAACAATATGAGCCAAACCCATGGACATTCAGAAAATACCTACTTTGTGGAAATTGTTGTACTCAGGGTTTCGTACATAGAATTTCCATTTCAAAGCAGCTTACAGTCTAGCTGGGCAGCTGAGAGAATGGGAGACAGCTGTGGAGAATGTGACGGGGGTAGGGGGTTCTGTTCCTGTCTGCTTCAGATCTATTTCTTGCCCTGCCCCTGCCGTAATCTGCCGACTATAGGGACCAAATTGTTGCAGGTGCTTTTCAGAGCTGGGATCAGCTGGCTTCTGGCTGGGCTGTTTCACTGGGGACACTGGTCAGAGATCAGGCTGTGGGAGAGGGTGTTCCTTATACCTCACTGCCTGGGGTCACGTCTTCTCTGTGCCTCCAGCTCCCTCCAGAGGCTTATGATACTTCAGGTGCACAGGTCCCTACCTATGGGACAGCCCAGGAGTGGTGCACCTTCCCTTTCTTACACAGCCCCACCCTGATTGACCCCCCAGCTCCTCCTTCACCCGTGTAACTCTCTGTATTAAATTATCTCTGCTTTAAATATTCTGCTTCAGAGTGGTCTCTACTTTTTTTTTAGTGGTCTCTATTTTCCTAGTTGGGTACTGAAAATTAGAGCGCTATAACTGATATGGAAAGAATTGCTGGGAGGAGCTATCTTCCTTGCCTAAGAGGGAGTGGAGTAAGTCTTCCCAAAAGACATGAAGCCTGAATTTAGGGTCCTAATAATCATTCTTATTTATTCATTTTAGGATGGTCTGGAGACTGCGCTAAGTGTTCTTGCTGGTTGATTTTATGTAACTTGACTTGGTCACAGGGTGCTCAGATATTTGGTCAAACATGATTATGGGTGCGTCTGTGAGGGCGTTGCATTTGAATCCATGGACTCAGGGAAGCAGATTGTCCTCTCGCACGTGGGTGGGCCTCACCCAATCACTTGAGGACTGAATAGCATGAAAAAGCTGAATGAGGGAGTATTCCTTCTGCCTAATTGTCTTTTGGCTGGAAATTTTTTCACCGTCTTTGAACTAGAACTACACCATCAGGTCTTTTGGTTCTTGAGACTTTGGACTTGGACTAGAACTACATCTTTAAAATTAACTCTGCTAATTCTCTGTAGTGCTGACTGTAGATCTTCAGACTTGTCAGTCTCCATAATTGTATGAGCCAATTCCTTCAATTCCTTATACTAAATCAATTCTCTCATCCTTTCTCTCTCTCTCTTTCTATACACAATCTCTCTCTTTCTCTCTCTCTATATACACACACATAATATATGTACACATATATATGTATACACATAATATATATATACACATATATATGTATACACATAATATATATATACACATATATATGTATATGAGAATTCTGACTATTACAGTGTTCTTTATGCCTTAGCATATTTAACCCTTAGACCTCATCCTCCAAAGTGATGTAAGTAATCCCAATTTACAGATGAGAAAAGTAAGTCTCAAGAAAGATGAGACACTTGTCCAGGATCAGGCTGTAATCATGTGAACACAGATTTTCCTGGCTCCAAATAAGATGTTGTAACAACTGTTATACAGGGAGGAGTCATGTTTGCTGGGAAAGACCCATCAGGTAGGGGGCTGAATAAACCAAACTTACAGTAAGATCAGCTCTCACATTAGTAAGAGTTCTCCCTCTTCCTCCCTCTCTCATTCTCACATGCCCTCTTTCCCATACTGGGTTTAGGGTGTGACTAGGATACTTGTAGTGGAAGAAGATGGGTTGGAGCTCAATCACCCAGGACGTCTATAGTTCACTTTAATTGCCCTACATTTGGCAATAAAAGCATGACTACAGCCTCCCAGAGACAGTGAAGTTCCTGTGTCTATTGCAGAAAGAAAATTAACCTGGTTCCCAATGATGTTACTCAAGGGGGCTCAGAATCAAAACCATTATTTGTGCTTTAACCACTAATATTCACTTTTTTGACACTCAGTTTAGAGTGGCCTTTGGAAATAAGTCACATATATTCTTTTATGAACCCAATCATGCATTTAACTTGTTTTCCAAATGTTTATTGAACACTGACTATATATATATAGATATATTTTTGGGGTCCATTCTCCATTTATTATTGGTTCATTCATTTAATTGAGTACTCACAGTCTTCAAAATGTTATCTTATAAGGCAATCAGTTGTTAACATGAGTTAAGTATGTAATCGATAATAATGCAAACTTTAAGGTACATATGCAAAATATAATAATGGTGTTGTGAGTTATACCACTACCCAAATCCCAGAAGACATTGTTCCAAACATTAAAATCAATAACATGTGTATAGCTAGTTCTATCCTTGGATCTCCCCCAAAATAGTTAAATAATTCACACAAAAACTCTAAACATTTTAAAAATAGATTTTCTGTATCTATATTGCAGTTATATTAATGTTTACCTTTTCCAGTAATAAAATAAATACATATTTATTATGGAAAAACTAAAAATAAGTTTGAGATCGGTATCTAGATTTTATATAGTACGCCAGAGTTATACATCAGCAGTTCATCAGAGAAATTTTTTTTTTTGAAGTTCTGATATCACTTTTTTAATTATACTTTAAGTTCTGGGATACATATGCAGAACGTGCAGGTTTGTTACATAGATATACACGTGCCATGGTGGTTTGCTGCACCCATCAACCCATCATCTACATTAGGTATTTCTCCCAATGCCATCCCTCCCCTAGCCCCCTACCCACCGACAGGCCCTGGTATGTGATGTTCTCCTTCCTGTGTCCATGTGTTCTCATTGTTTCAACTCCCACTTATAAGTGAGAACATGCGGAAACACCAACTATATTTAAAGTCAGGCATATATTGTATTATTTCCATTGAGTTAGGACATTTGAGACATGGAGATTCTAGAATCTAGACCTCACCGTGGTACATTCAAGCCCATGGCTTTGACATTCTCCCAATACACTTTGGCCGCCTGATTAAATAGGTGAGGAACTAAAGTTTGATCAGACATTAAGAGATTATGTCCCTTTTTAAGGCCTTATCAAAGATTTAGTATGTTTTTCTAAATGAACTAGGAAGCCACCCTTTGAAGCATCTACTCAGAGATGGAGTGTTACCTATCAAGCAGTAGAAGGAAGTGGCAATGCAAAGATTTAAAAAAATGTAAAGTCCACTTTGGGAGGTTGAGATGGGAGGATCACTTGAGCCCATGAGTTTGAGACCAGCCTGGGCAACACAGGGATACCTTGTCTCTCTACATAAAATTTAGAAATTATCTAGGCATGGTGGCATGTGCCCATGTT
The DNA here is from genome assembly GCF_000001405.40 of Homo sapiens. Taxonomy (NCBI): domain Eukaryota; kingdom Metazoa; phylum Chordata; class Mammalia; order Primates; family Hominidae; genus Homo; species Homo sapiens. Next base: position 59,252,220 of record NC_000016.10, read on the forward strand.
CCCTGCTACTTGGGAGGCTGAGGTTGGAGGATCACTTGAACCCAGGAGGTCAAGGCTGCAGTGAACCACGATCACATCACTGCACTGTAGCCTGGGTGACAGAGCAAGACCCTGTCTTAAAAAACAAAAAAACAAAAAGACAAAACAAACAAAGGTCCAAGGGAAGTAAAAATGTAGCAATAGCAGAAAGATTGTGGATAGTTATGAAGTATAGACAGCCTCAGCCTCCCAAAGTGCTGCGATTACAGACATGAGCCACTGTGCCTGGCCTGAGAAAGAACTTTAAAAAGACACAAGAGGGAGCAGGGAGACTGGTCAATTGGCTGCTCTACTGATTGGGGTAAGAGGTGATTAGGATTCAAATAGCATAGGGGCAAAGATGCGGAGACCCATAGTAAGGCTTCTCTTATTTGATAGTACATAAAATCCTCAGTTTAAGTCAGTGAGTTGCCAGTCCTTGAAAAATGGGGTTCCAGTCCTCCCAACGGTGCCTGTATTCCACTTTCCAAGCCCAGCCTGCTGCTGACTTAATATTTCCAAGTTTCTGTGTAAACGCTTGCTCCTCTAAGTGTGGTCTGCAGACCAGCAACATTGACATGATGTTTAACTTGTGAGCTGATCAACAGCAGACCAACTTATCAGAAATGCATACTCTTAGGTCCCATTCCAGACCTACTGAATCAGAATCTGAAGTGTAACACAATCCTCAGGTGAACCATATGCACATTAAAGCTTGAGAAGCCCTGGAAAAGCCACTCAAATTAACTCAGGTGTCTTTACATATTATTGTTTGCAGCTTGTTGGCAATCAACAAATAAAAAAAACTCATCTCAGAAATACATAACTCTTTAGAAGAATCAGATCAATTGCAAAACAGTTAAAGTGTTAAAAGCCCTCAAAATGTTGATTATGAAATATGGGTAATGTAAGTAGCAGAACAAACTGCATGGCTCTGTAATTATCAGTTTTACTGAGAAAAGAGCAGCTTTTTTTTTATGTCTCATTTTTATTTTCGAGTTGTCCAGTTGATTTTCTGGTGTATACACTATCAACAATCAGCTGCAAGAACATTCCCCTGAAGAGTGCTTTCTTTCAGGCCAGGAGTGGTGGCTCACACCTCTAATTCCAGCATTTTGGGAGGCTAAGGCAGGCAGATCACATGAGGTCAGAAGTTCGAGACCAGCCTGGCCAACATGGTGAAACACCATCTCTACTAAAAATACAAAAATTAGCCAGGCAGTGTGGTGGGCACCTGTAGTCCCAGCTACTCTGGAGGCCAAGGCAGGACAGTCATTTGAACGCAAGAGGCAGAGGTTGCAGTAAGCCAAGACCATGCCACTGCACTCCAGCCTGGGTGACAGAGTAAGACTCCATCTCAAAAAAAAAAAAAAAAGTGCTTTCTTTCATCACCATGATTCCTTAAGATCCAAATTAGCATGGTAACCCTAGAGCTGGTGGTCACATATTGTGATTTCCAAATGAAGAGCTGTCACACATAAATTTCTTGCCTGCCTAAAAGCTTTATTATTGGGCATAAGTATCTTGTTTGTCAATACCTGGATAATGTGTTCGCTGCTGTTTAGTTCTTTAATTGTGAGTAATTTCCCATTGTGGAATAACTAATTGGACCAATGCTTAAATTAATCAAAGGGTGCCATTTTTGATCAAAAGTTGCTGGCAATAGTAAACAAGACCATGCAGCATTAATACAAGGTTAAAAAGCTTTATTTTTAAATAGGGAAAATTAGAGTGCCTAGAAAAAACTCATTTACATATGGCCAATTGATTTACCAAAAGGGTCCTACTGTGATAAATGGTCCTGAATTAGTTAGATACATAGATCAGTTAGATCTTAGATATCAATCAATGAGATCAATTAGACAGAGATTAAATACATAGAATAAGAAGGAAACTAGTCCCTGAGTCCAAGAAAAAAGTTTAGGGAATCTGGAAGAAAGGGCACTTATAATAATGTTTTGTTTACATTAAAAAAGAAGTACTTTAATACTTTAGTGCTAAAGTTCTAAAGAAGCACTACTAAATTGCTAAACTGAACAGCATGTTGGAGTTTAGTCCTAAACTTGCCATTCTTCCTGTTTTCACTTTGTATTTTTCACTTACTGTTCTCAAATTGCTAAATCAATCTATGTAGATATACCTCTGTTTTGTTTCAGCTCAGATTTTAAGTTTTGTTGTCCAGTTATTCACTCTGGATCTTCCACATTGTGCTTACAAATAGCTCCTGAAGCACATCTTTTCCTTCTTGTTTTAATGTTGCTACACATCACCCTATCTAGCCTATATGGGACACCCAGCATTCTGACTAATCTTTCACATATGCGACCTTAATGTTAAGTCTCTTAGGACTGAGAGATACTCTGCACTGAAAGTTCAGCTGGAGCTTCAGAGTGTGAGAGTAGATGATTGTAGTGGAAATCTGTTGTAATTTTGTAGGAAATCTCCTTGTGGAATGAAACTTTCTGACTCTTTAAGTATGTACGTGGTAGATTGTATTATTATCCTAAATGTATTCTTTTTTCTAGGAACAAGAATTCTCACCCCTATCCATTGCCATGATGGTTTCTTTCAGTGGGAGAAGTGTTATTTAATATTTCCCTACTGCATTCTTAGGCTTTTCCCTATGACTTGCTTTGGTCAATATAATGTAAGCAGAAGTAGCATATATCAGTACGAGGCCGAAGCTTCAAGTCATTTACAAGCAAAAAAAACTCTTGCTCTTTATTCTCTACCTTGAATGTGGCATGTCCCAAATAGAGTGGTTCCTTCGGCCTAGACCCCAGAATGGAGAAGATACATGGCCAGAAACAGAGCCATAGTCTATCCACAGCTGATATCACAAATTTCACAAATGAGAAACATTTGTTGTTGTGAGCTTTGATTTTAAGGTCTTTGTTATTGCCGGATAATCAAGCAAAATCTGACTAATACAGGGCACTTTGAGTGAGGCTCATCCCAACACCAGTATGGGAGTCAACATACAACTCAATCTAGGTTAGCCAAGCATTGCAAATCTGTGGACACAACTACTTGCTTGGGAAATGGAAAATGGAACTTAAATCAAGTTGGCGGGATTTAATATTGGAACTTCTGTTGGTGTTATTTAAAATAGCCACTTGTTTTTATTCAAGAGTTACTGAAAAAATATTTTGTAAATGTAGAAATTACAGAGAACACCAAGAAGGGCAGCCTGTCTGAATGAGACGTTTACACAATAGAATTTAGAATTAATAGGTGAGTAAGCATGTCAAATTCCTGATGACATGATTATTCAAAAGTCCATCTGAAGCCTCTCCCAGAGCTTTTCACAGCAATTAAGTTCCTGACCAATAACATAAGAAATGTGTGTGTAATAAAATTTGGTTATATGAGGTACAGATTGTCAAATCGTAACTACTAGATGTGTGTGGATAATGTAATTTTTCCTAAAAGAAACTAATTAGGACAAAGAGTTTGTGTAGATAATACCAAATTCTGATTATCATAATAATCAGATTATTGAAGTTTATTTTTCCTTGATATTTAAAAATAATATAATGCAGAAGTTGTATAATAAGAGACAGGAAAAATACATACATGTTTTTCTTTGGATTAGCCTTATGTTGAAACTTACTCAGCTGCATAAAGATAAGTAATTTAAAGGTGGAATATGGCTGTGTCCAAAGTTGATCAAGGGAATCAATCCACATTTATACAAACAAACTGAAAATAAGGTATTACCGATATTGAGGATTTCTTTTTACTAGTATATATTCAGTTGTAAGAGTAACATGAATTATATAGTAAACTCTTTTTCGAAAATTTCAAAACCATTTAAAAAATATTTCAAAACAAATACCACACATTTTATTGATGAATGGCCTTAAGCTAATTCTATGAATAATTAGGCAAAAGTATTTTTCTTTCAGTATTATATAGGTAATTTAGTTAAAGTATAGTATATGAAGGAAGATGAAAAAAGTTAAAAATTTAAGTAACTTTCTATGTTGCCTTAATCTCCTCTTCTGATTCAATTAATTCTGGCCTAAATACTCTAGTTTTATTTTTTAAGCATGCACATTCCTGCAACCACAAATAGTTTGGTCTCAATTAATGTAATAGTCATGACCCACTTTGACTGGGATATCAAGATATCAGGGGGAAGGACAGTTTCTAAACTTTAATAATCTAGATAATTGCTTCAGCTCTCTTACTTTGCTGATGAATCTAGCCATAATTAACCAATTAAATCACATCAGTATTTCACTTTTTCCCTAACCATAGAATTTAGAGAGATGAAAGAGGGAGAAAGACTAGAGAATCTATCTAAACATGAATGTCATTCCATTATAGAACCTTATTAAATGCATTCAAATGTTTTAATTTCTAGCACTCTGTTGTTCATAATGAACTCTGCAGGGATTGAAAATGAATTTTTTATTCTGAGATTTTCGTCCCTTTTGAATTGCAGAGAGCATTCCTCTTGAATTTCCAGTAGATAAAATAAAACGTATTTTAATATCACATCAAGCCAGTCCCCTGGGGAGACAACTGTCAAAAATTCATAGTATCTTTAAATCACTTTAATTACATTTTGCTGAATGTAAAATAATATGTAAGAGACTGTTTGTTTAACTTTGTTGATGCCATAGTGTTTTTCCTACAGTTAAGTTATATGCTGTCCAAGTAAGATTGAGTCGTTTAATTAGGCTGAGGTTCATGGTGAATGGAGATATACAGTAAGAGATGGATTTCAAAAGGAAGATTCAGACCAGAATATAAAGCTCTTTGAAGGCCTGTGAAAAGTTTAAAATTCAGGGACAAATATCACATCTAAAAATAAAATAACTAAAATTCATGTAATTCTTACTAGTGCCAGATACATATTATGCACTTTAAATATCTTACCTCAGTTAATGTTCACAGTAGTTCTTTTAGGTAGTAACTGTTCTTATAATTGTCATCTTACAGCTATAGAAACTGAGGTTTAGAGAGTGTAAGGTCACACAACAAGTAATAAATTTAATTCATAGAGTCAGATATCAGTTCTTACTATACTTTCTATACTTTGTAAATGATAAAACTTGAATTTGTACTAAGACATTCTATAGTCCATGCTTCCTGGAGAAAGGGAATTAGAATAGCTTGTCTATTTGCATTCTAAAATTAGTGATGGCAGTCACACAGTTGGGTAAGGGGGAAAAAAGAATAATTACTTGAGTGTCAGGATTCTGAAGAACCAGTTGACTGAGTCTCACCTGAGACCAATTCTGGGATGGATTTGTGTCTAGGGAGATGTGAAGGCCTATAAAGGAGGAAGAACTACCATAACTAAACCTAATGGAACCCCACCCATCACCATGTCATCCAGGAATGGAAGCAACACCGCCAGTAAGTGTCCCATTGATGTAGGCCTCACCTCCTTTGCCTTTCAGAATTCCACATTGTCACCATATGAAAGGACATTTGCCACTTCTACTCTTCTAAACCCAATTTATCAATCTGCCAGTCCATTCCCAATGTCATCCCAGAAACTCATAGAACACTCCTCAGAACACTTGTCAAATGCTTTTCCTGCATCTATCGAGATGATCATTTGATTTATGTCTGTTATTTTATTAATATGGTATATTACATATTGAGATTTGAACGTCAAATCAACCTTATATTTCTGGATAAGCCCAACATGGCATAGTGTATAATCATTTTTATATGTCCCTGAATTCAGTTTGTGATTGTTAAGTATTTTTGTGGTTACGTTCATAAGAAATATGGATTTTCTTTTGATGTCATTGTTTGGCTTTAGAGAAAGCTAATATTATTTTCAAAGAATGAATTGGAAAAGTCCCCTTCCTCTCTATTTTCTGAAAGAATTTTTAAAGGATTGATATTTTCTTCCTTGAATAGTTCATAGAATTCACCAGTGAAATCTTCTGTGTAGGAAGATTTTAAATGACTAATTCATTTATATGTTATTGTCCAACTCGAATTGTCCAATTTCTTCTTTAGATAGTTTTGTAATCTCAGTTTTTTAAGAAATCTGTTCATACCATCTAAGTTGTCTAAGTTGTTGTCATAAAGTTGTTGATAATAGTTCCTCATAAATTTATAATTTATGTAGGGTCAGCAATGATATTCTTTCTTTCACTCCGAATTTGGCAATGTGAGCCTTCCCTCCTATTTGTTTGGTCAATTTAAGTAAGAGCATGTCAGTTCATCTTTTAAAAAGCAATTTTTGTTTTCATTTTTGTCTATTGTTTTTCAGTATTTCATTAGTTTTCACTGATATTTATTCTTCCTTTCTTTCCTTCCTTCCTTCCTTCCTTCTCTTTCTTTCTTTCTTTCTTTCTTTCTTTCTTTCTTTCTTTCTTTCTTTCTTTCTTTCTTTCTTTCTTTCTCTTTCTTTCTTTTCTTTCTTTCTTTCATCTTTCTTTCTTTGTCTCGCTCTGTCACCCAGGCTGGAGCGCAGTGGCGCGATCTCAGCTCACTTGCAAGCTCTGCCTCCCGGGTTCACGCCATTCTCCTGCCTCAGCCTCCCGAGTAGCTGGAACTACAGGCGCCCGCCACCTCGCCCGGCTAATTTTTTGTATTTTTAGTAGAGACGGGGTTTCACCGTGTTAGCCAGGATGGTCTCGATCTCCTGACCTCGTGATCTGCCCACCTCGGCCTCCCAAAGTACTGGGATTACAGGTGTGAGCCACTGCGCCTGGCCGATATTTATTATTTCTTTTATCTGCTTGCGTTGGGTTTAGTTGGCTTCTGTTCTTATTTCTTTTTTCTTAATTTTTTGAGATGGAGTCTCGCTCTATTGCTCAGGCTGGAATGCAGTGGCACGATGTTGGCTCACTGCAACCTCTGCCTCCCAGGTTCAAGTGATTCTCCGCCTTCATCCTTCCGAGTAGCTGGGATTACAGGCGTCCGCCACCATGCCCAGCTAATTTTTTTGTGTTTTTAGTAGAGACGAGGTTTCACCATGTTGGTCAGGGTGGTTTCCAACTCCTGACCTCAAGTGATCCGCCTGCCTCGGCCTCCCAAAGTGCTAAGATTACAGGCGTGAGTCACGGCGCCCAGTCACTTCTATTTTTTAAACTTCTCTTCCTAGGGTTAGCCTCTATGTCTGCAAAGTGACTAGTCAAAACATTGGTCGGAGGTTGTGTTCAAATACTTTCAACCAGCAAGGCTTCCACTTTCTGAGGATGGATTTCCAGACTCAGGAATACATTAAAAACTTCAGGCCATGTTAAAGTCTGGTCAGACTTTTACTTTCTGCTGAGATTTTCTGCATCTCTTTGCATGTGCACACAGTGTCTGCTAACCAGCAACGTACATGTGGATTAAACCCTCTCCCGTCTCTGCTGCACATGTGCACATCCTTGCATCAATCTGGGTTGTGTGACGAGTTTATCAAGCTTATCTCAGCTTATTTCCCTAAGTCCATTTATTACTCCAAACAGGACCACAATCTCAGGCTAGCGGGAGCACTATCTCCCTATTTGCTTGCCTCTAAGATTTTCTCTTTAAACTGAAGTTTTTAAACTCCAAATCAAGTGAACACCCTCTAGTAGCAGAAGCAAAGCTGTGGTTTTTGTGGTTCTGCCTTGCCTAGTTGAACTAGTGCTGTCACAGAGCTGGAGAGTGTGTGTTGGAGGGCGGGGCTTGTGGGTGGGGTGGGATGGGGGGTGGGCAGTGGGGGAGGGGGCTGCACGTGGAGCTAATAGCAACAGTCGAGAGCATGAATTCTGGCCTTGCTGCTTGCCTTTGGTCAAATTACAGAATTCTGAAATGGTTATTTTTGACTGTTTTGTCCAGCTTCATAGTTGCTTTATGTGGAGAGAATTTCTAAACATCCCTGCTCTGTCATACTGGAAGTCTCATGCATAAACCACAGAGTTGTCTCATCTTGAGGAAAGAGGGTGGTCTATTTGTGTCCCTATGTTGTCATTATTTATGAACCAGCCTCATTTCCACACACCATGAATTCCATCAGCAGGAGGAACTTCCCAGAAGAGGGTGACAGACAACACTCAAAACAACTGGTGCATAGGTGCAAGACAAGCAGAGAAAATGATCTGGGTGGATGCTAGAGTTAATTTTAGTTGTCAACTTAATTGGATTAAAGATTACCTGAAGAATTGGTTAAGAGTTAATTCTGGGTGTGTCTGTGAGGGCATGTACAGAGGAGAATGGCGTGTGTGTCAGTGGACTGGGTGGGGAAGATCTGTCCTCAGTGTGGTAGACATCATCCAATCAGCCAAATAGAACAAAAAAGACCTGAATAGAACAGAAAGACCATTTCCTGTCTCTCCTGGAGCTGGGATACACTCTTCTCCTGTCCTCAGTCATCAGAACTCCAGGCTCTCTGGCTTTTGGACTCCAGAACTGTTCCAGTGGCCCACTGGGTTCTCAGGCCTTCCACCTTGGACTGAGAGTTACACTATCAGCTTCCCTTGTCCTGAGGCCTTTGGACTTGGATTGAGCTATGCTACAAGCATCCCAGGGTCTCCAGCTAGCAGGCAGCCTGTCGTGGAACTTCTCAGCCTCCATAACCTTGTGAGCCAATTTCCCTAATAATTCCCTTCTCAAATATCTACATCTATATCATCCATGTCTATATCTTATCTGTAGCTATAGTCTTTTGGCTTATCTGTAAACCAAAAGACTATCTATAGTCTCTCTCTGAAGAACCCTGACAAATATAGTGGGCTATCATTTATGCTTACTGTATTAGTCTGTTCTCATGCTGCTAATAGAGACATACCTGAGACTGAGTAATTTGTAAAGGAAAGAGGTTTAATTAACTCACAGTTATACATAGCTGGGGAAGACTCACAATCGTGGTGGAAGAGCAAGGGAAGTCTTACTGAAGGCAGACAAGAGAGAGCGTGTGCAGGGGAACTCCCCTTTATAAAACCGTCAGATCTTGTGAGACTTATTCACTATCACAATAACAGAACGGGAAAGACCCACCTGTGTGATTCAATTACTTCCCACCAGATTCTTCCCACAACATGTGAGAATTGTGGGAGCAACAATTCAAGATGAGATTTAGGTGGGGACACAGCCAAACCATATTACCTACTATATCACTTGAATACTATTCCTTGCTCCAGTTCTCACACTTGAAAAATGGATACGATGCCACTTTATTTGGTTTTCTCCTGTACATATTGAGAGTAAGAATTGTTTCAAGGATCGTTCATATGAAGAAAGTAATTGTCATGCTTTTTTTTTTTTTGTTACCATGACATTTATTTTAGAGATTTCATGGGCACTGAGTGGGCAAAGTGTCCTAGTGTCAGAAAGTAGTACAATAATTATTACAGAAAGATAGCTCAAAAGACCAGGGATGTAGGGCAGCAGAATAATGTGTGTTTTTTTCCTCTCTCTAGTCCTCTCTTTTTCTTTCTTCATCCTTTTTTTTTCCTTTTATAAAATGCCGCCAAACCAAGATTCTCTTCTTTCTTGAGCTAAATCTTGAATAAATATTAACAACGTAAGAAGATATACTGTGATGAGCACATGGTTTGAATGATTAGGATCAGAATATGGTCTTTTTTGGGTCATTTCTTAGTTATGTGACCTAGGCCATGCCCCTTAATTTTTGATGAAATGTGAGTCAGTTTTATGGTGTGAAAAAGAAAAATGGAAAACAAAGGTGAGGATGTCTCCCTTATATTTATTTAGGACTCTACAAATGTTTCTGTTTAGTATCAGGCCTACACTAGAGCCAGGACTTAAACACTGGTCTTTCATGTCATCCTCTCATTATACTAGCCTTCATTATAAAAGTGGGCCCTTTGCTCAGTGTTTTTTTTTTTATTAGTTGGTACAGTTTAGGTAGTTTATTTGTTTATTTATTTATTTTGAGGTGGAGGTTTTGCTCTGTTGCCCAGGCTGGAGTGCAGTGGCATGATCTCAGCTCAATGCAATCTCCATCTCCTGGGTTCAAGCGATTCTCCTGCCTCAGCCTCCCAAGTAGCTGGAATTACAGGTGCCCGCCACCACAGGTGGCTAATTTTTATATTTTTAGTAGAGACGAGGTTTCACCATGTTGGCCAGGCTGGTCTCGAACTCTTGACCTCAGGTGATACACCTGTCTCGGCCTCCCAAAGTGCTAGGATTACTGGTGTGAGCCATTGCACCTGGCCAGAGTTTAGGTAGCTTAGATATTCCTGGTAGTCTCACAGCTTCCCTCAAGGAGGAAGGGAAAGGTGAAGGACAGGGTGTCACTTTTTCACCTAGGCACCATCATGGCTCACTGCAACCTTGAACTCCTGAGCTCGTCATCCTCCTATCTCAGCTTCTCTAGTAGCTAGGACTACTGGTGCACATCACTATGCCTGGCTAATTAAAAAAATTTTTTTTTTGTAGAGACGAGGTCTTACTATGTTGCCTAGGTGGCCTTGAACTCCTGGCCTCAATTAATCCTCCCTCCTCAGCCTCCCGAAGCACTGAGATTACAGGTATGAGTCACTGCACCCAGCCAAGTCATTGGTATCTTTACCTCAGCAACAACTGGATTGATGTCTTCAGTTTATATGTTTTATGCATTCAATTTACATTTAAAATCATATTTAATCAAATGGTGATACAATACATAAAATGTGAACACTACTGTCTTAGTTGAAAGCTGGCTTTTCAGGGTCCTTGATAGCCCAGGGACACTACAAGCTATCTTGTAGAGATTTGGAGTCAGCCACTTTCTGCTCATGATTGGGCATAAACCATAATAAGTAAGCCAGGGAATGGTGGACACCATTGTTTTTAGGAACAACCTGAAAAGAAGCAGATTGCTGATTGACTAACCTGGTGCCATCTTTCTCATTGGCCTTAACTTCAATTCATTCTTCTGTTCAATGTAGTCAGACAATCTCAAGAAAGGCAAAACTAACTGTATTTTCATGTCAGTAAATCCTACCTGGGAAGCCTAAATGGTATGAAGGTACAAATACCTACTATAATACCTCTCCAGGATATTGGACCTTTCTACCTTTTGATGCTGTCTGGCACACATCATTTTATTGTATCTTTGCAATAGCTTTTATTGTTCTACCTTTGGCTTGGAAACAGTTCTGCCTATCCAAAGGAAAATAAAAGCCATCCTTCTTCATAATTCATTCAGCAAGCATCACTGCTCCATTAGCAGAGCACTTACCCATCAGGGGAAGAGAAGTAAGAATAATTGCAAGTGTTATCTAGGGCTGGAGATATGTATCTATAGATTTCCAGCATTATAGACCTAAGGACTGCAGGCTGTCCCCTAACATGTGTTTATCCTTCATATACTGTTTAAATTTCACACCTTTTCTGTCTGTTTCTTGCTTGGACTGGGCAAACAGGATAGTAGTATATTTAGCCAAACCATGTCAGTTCAAATAAAGAATTCAGAGGCATCTGGGAAATATATATACATGAGTAATTCTTTGAAAGCTCTTACTCTCCCACAAAATGCCTTTCCCAAATATCCATTCAATTTATTCTTCAATTTCCACAGCTCCCTCTCCAATCTGATACTAAAGCCATTGGTACTGACAGAATACTAAAATCAAGCAAATAACAGCCACTCACCGTTTTCTCCATCACTTAGCTGGTTAAATGGCTATATATTTCCATCGCTTATATCCTAGGATGTAACTAAATAAACATTTTAAACTGGCAGTTTTAAATTTTATAGGATAAAAGCCTGACGTAGGTTCAGGTTTGTAGAGGGGAAAAATCAAATGTGCAAGAATAATGTTTACAAATTTCTGAAACAAGGCTTGTCAGCAGGATGAAGTTGCTAATACAAGCCATTTTGGACTGAATGGTTTTTATCTGTTTATAATAACTTGGATTTGTCTCCTGTTAAAATGTCACAGGGATAAAGGAATAAATTCTAACAGCTGTGACAGGATTATCATTGCTACGAAACTCCGATATGGTGGATTTATGTGTCAGAGACATCTACTTCACTGTCTTTCACTCAGAATAATCCAAATATTCCCTTCCATACTCAGGAAGACTAACAATAAGACACAGATAAAGGCCCATGATTCTGACATCTCATTCCCTAAGTCTGTGGTTAACTGAGATGATTGACACCAAATGTCTAACATTTTCCTGAGGAAGTTAATGGGGAAACTCGCGATGAGGTCCCTTATTATTTTCTCAATGCAGCTATTCCATAAGCTGGGTGGAATTAATGACAAACTTCAGCAGGAATACACCAACAATTGTGATTTATTTTTAGTGTAACATAGAAAAATAGACAAAGAGAAGTGCTGGATAGTCAATAGAAATAAGCATGTGGAGAATAAGTGAGACAAATGACCCAAGACATCCTAAGAAAATAATATGAGATGACATTGAGTTGGAAACCTATTTATTGCTGGTAAATGTCGTAAGAAATTGTATCCAACTGAGACTTATACTTCATTCATTTACTCATCCATTCATTTGTTCATTTAATAAATATATGCAAGGCACTGGAATTAACATTGGTAATGAAAAAATAAATAAGCCATGGGCTCTACCTTCCACACATCATATTTTATCAAACAATGTATGCACAACTAACACTATGAGAAGTGTCATAGTGGAGATGAGTTTAAGAAAATCATGTGGTTAAAAGAGGGAGAATGGGCCAGACCTGGCGGCTCATGCCTGTAATTCCAGTACTTTGGGAGGATGAGGTGGGAGGATCACTTGAGCCCAGGAGTTCAAGACCAGCTTGGACAACATAGTAAGACCCCATCTATGCAAAAAATACTAAAATTAGCTGGGTGTGGTGGCACATGCCTGTAGTCCCAGCTACTTGGGAGGCTGAGCTTGGATCACTTGAGCCTGGGAGTTTGAGGCTGCAGTGAGCCAAGATTGTGCCATTGCACTCTAGCCTGGGATACAGAGCCAGACACTGTTTAAGAATATATAAATAAAAGAGGGAGAGTACCTACGAGGGTCTAAGAATAAATCAAAGGAGAGATAACTGAGCCACATTTTGAAAAATGGGCAGGAATTTACTGGGTGGATGAAGCAGAGACAGTCTTCCAAGGAGATGAAATATCCTGAAGTGATGCTTAGAGGCTTTTGAATTCCACAGCGATCCCAGGGATGAAATCTGATTAGTCCAAGTGAGTTCATGTGCCCTTCCCTGAGCCAATCACTGTCTCTGCTTGAATGGTTTCTCTGATTAGACCGGCCTGTAACATGTCATAGAAAATCACATTGTTGCCCTTTATCTTTCTTCATAGAGATGCAGCTGTGAAGGTTAAATCAGCTAATCCATTGAAAGTAATTGATACAGGGATGGGCAAATAGTAGGTACTCTAAATGAAGTTTGTTTTTATAGTTGTTATGATGATTTTTTTTTTTTTTGACGGAGTTTTGCTCTTGTTGTCCAGGCTGGAGTGCAATGGCATGATCTCAGCTTACTGCAACCTCCGCCTCCCAGGTTCAAGCTATTCTCTTGCCTCAGGTTCCTGAGTAGCTGGGATTACAGGCGCCCGCCACTTCACCCGGCTAATTTTTTGTATTTTTGATAGAGACAGGGTTTCACCATGTTGGCCAGGCTGGCCTTGAACTCCTGATCTCAAGTGATCCACCTCCCTTGGCTTCCCAAAGTGCTGGGATTACAGGCGTGAGCCGCCACGTCTGGCCTGTTATGATTTTTAATATCACGAATGTTTTAATTAAAAAGAGTGACACACACGCAACTAGCTGCATTGCAGACCCTCACTGAGTGTCTCTTAGAGACCTGAACAGGTGGGTTACACACTAGAAGAACAGCACTTGAACAGCGGTCACCACATCTCCCAGGAAGCCTCCCCTGCTACCCTTAGTTCAGACTTGGTGACTCCTTTATACTCTATACCTAGCTCCATCTGACCCTGTCATATTGTAATTGAAAAATTTATCCCATTACACGGTGAGTTCCTCAAAGGAAGAAGTGCATCTCATTCATTATTTTATCCCAAACACTTGGGATATTGTTAGATACTAAATATGTCTGTTCAAAGAACTTATGAATAAGCACGTCAGAGAACACTTCATGGTGGGGATTATACCTGAGCTGGGCCCCAAAGGATGGGAAGGGCTTTTGAAATGCAGAAATGGGAAAAACCACATCAAGGAGATGGAAATGCTCAAAATAAGCTCGGAGATGGAGCAGTGTCCAGCGTGTTTGAACATGTCAGTTAATGAGATGCAACTGAAGGGAATAGTGAGTGAAGAAGATTGTAGGGCAGATCCCAAAGGACCTTGAATGCTAATGAGATTAGACTTTGTATTCTATGAAATATAAAGACTTTGAAATATAAAGGTTTTCATGTGGGGATCGATATGGCCAAAATTCTTCATACAGACACATGCACACACATATACACACATCACCAGACCCACTCACACACATAATACAAGGCATTTATTTAGGACCTACTAAGTAGATGAAAGATGGGTTACACACATTAAAGAAGCAAAGGTCCCTGCTCCTAGGAGTTTGTGATTTAGTAAGAGGTGGATTTATCAAGAACCTAATTATGTGTAACTTTCAAGTTATTTGTACAGACCCCTTCTAAATAAATATTCACATTGGTATCTAATTTTGTTTTTTAAGAGAAGAGAATCTTCCCTTTGATTTGATGGAACAAGGGCTCTAAAAACACCACTAGGGTTGAGAAACAGAAAGGAGCAAATTGTCCTGATGAGAATGTACCAATTATGAATAAAGAAATGGGCTTTGGAATTCTCCAATCCATAGGATTTTGAGTCCTAGGTTCGAGACCTCCTCAGGGAAAATCTACCTTAGCCTTTCTGTTCTTTGGCTATATGAGCAAATGAATGTTCCTTTGGTTTAACCTAGTTTGAGCTAATTATTCTGCCACTAGCAATTTAGAATCTTTGTAGTTATTATTATTTAAATGATCATTTTATAAATGTGAAAAAGAGGGCACAGGGAGATTAAGGAACTTGCCTAAGGTCACACAACTAGTAAAAAAGGTGAACCAGGATTGAAATTGAGATCAGTTTAATTTCCAGAGTGTAAGCCTTTATATGGTGTGCAAATGGAGTCTCAATATTTTCATTGTAAAGGAAAGTCATTGAAGTTATGACTCTGTCTTAATTATGTTTTTATCTCCACAGCCACTACTATAACACATAGTAGGTACTGGTTTAATGCATGCGCAATCCTTGAACAAAGCCTAAATCTATAAATATTCCAGATCTACTGTCTTTTTGTTACCATGAAATAAGGATATCTGCATCATTCATGTTGCAAATATTTCTTCCTGTTTATTAAATCAAAATATTGTTTGTGTATACAGATATGCGAAACTGGTTACTGCAGAGAAAAATGTTTTGTTGTCAATTCTTGTACTTTTCTGCATTTTTGTCTCTCTACCACTTTTCTTTTATCAGCAAAATCTTTTCCAAATGAGGGAAACAGTGAGCATTTTATAAACCTGTCTAGGGCTGTAAAATATACATATACTTTTAATAGTGACAGAGGTATCTTTGGAACTTCCTCCAGAGTGAAATCTACTTCAGAAATTTGCATTTAACAGGCAAACATAATATTGTTGAAGAACACAGAATTATGAATTCATGGACATTTGAGTACTGGGGATACTTTATAATCCACACATCCATACTTCTAACTGTAATTTTTATAGCTATATTGTTCAAATTGCCCAAGATGGATAAAGCTAGCACTTTTACTATTAACTGTATTTGAGGGGTTTGTAGCAACTGCTCCATGAAAGCTCTTTGTAACTTGAAACTCACACAGGAAGTTTCAGGCCAAATAATGTGCTTTCTGCTTTAGGGTATGAATTTGTCACCTCCTGATGTAAATCTCCTAAAGTTGATTGGTCTTAGAAGTATTCATTTAATACAACATTCAAAAAGTCTCCTGCTTTAAAAATGAAAAATTGCAAGTGATTACTTTACAGCCCACTTAATTGCATTTGGAGATTTTCTGCCCCTAAAAATTCTCCTGGATAACCATATTCATGCTCTCCCCAAACACACTTTTGAGCAGAGTTTTATTATGGGTAGCACCTGACCTTTCAGCATAATTGCATGTGGTCCCAATTAATTGTTCTGTTCTACTGTGCATTCAAAAATGAGACTAATTATGCAGATACCTGATAGAAAGGAGAATCTTAAAAGTGAGCTCTTTTGGGTGCCTGGAATTTAGAAAATAAGGTATAAAATGACACTTAATTAACTAATAAACCAACTGACATGGCTGACTCCACAGGAGACTTCTAGTCAACACAATTCAGACAATTAGAAGACTTTTCCCTAACTGAAACACAATGAGATAGAGCTTACAAGCCAAACTGAATATTGCCATAAATCAACATGCTCGTGAGAGACCCATTTAATACAGGTCTGCTTAGAAAAATATATTTTAAAATTTTGGTTAACTATTTCCATTGCTTTAAAAATACATACTCCACTCATTTATATTTAACTCTCTTGATGCCTTTTAAAATATTTTTATGAGTGTTATTATGGTATTGTAGAGAAAACACCAAGGTGCATGTCTTTAACCTAAATGTGATGCCACTTTGCTGTGTCATTAACTGATTTAAGGATTTCAGTAATTGTGTAACTAATTTAGGTTTCTGAGATTATTTTCTCCTCCTCTGAAATGACTTGTTAGATTTTCTCTCTACTTGATTGTTGGAACAAATTGTTAAGGAAATGAGTAGAAAAGTTGGCACATAGTGTGGAGTGCTCTGAGGTGCTGGACATGAGGAGAAGATGGATCTCGTGCCCATCACCCATCCTTCCTCATTGGTGTTAAACTGACCAAGACCTCCTGAACATTCCCCTCAGTTCTACTAAACTCTGGACAGGGTTCTTCCTAACTCTAGACCCAGATTTCCCTTTTCTTAGAGTATTTTTTTAAGAACATTCTCCTGTAATTGTATATTCTTTCTCTGCCTCTTGGAGATGTATGTAAATCTTTTTTAAAAGCCTCTATTGAAAATACAAAAATTAGCTGGGCATGGTGTCTCGCATCTGTAGTCCCAGGTACTCAAGAGGCTGAGGCAGGAGAATCACTTGAACCCGGGAGGCGGAGGTTGCAATAAGCCAAGATCGTACCGCTGCACTCCAGCTTGGGTGACAGAGTGAGACTTAATCTCAAAAAAAGAAATAAAAAAAAGCCTCTTGCAGGTTTGACAATGCAGGGATGTCTTTCTCAAGGATGTGGGAGGCATCTCTTTAAAATGTAAACATCGATGGAGATAGCACCCCTATCTCCCAGTTTCTGTGAAAGAGCAGGAACCTAAGTTTAGTGGGTGCCTTGCTCCAAGTTGTAGAACTACCTCCTGTCACAAAGATAAGAGAAAGTTTATTTTTTAGGGGATTAAAGCTAATTAGCAAATGCAGATGACCTGTGTTCTTCTCACTACAGCACTCAAAATTACTGCTAGTTGTTTCAGCGGAGTGGAGTTCAGACTTCTCCCTGCCCTTTGCAATAGCCTTGAATAAAGTCTTCTTGCTTGTTTAATTTTGTAGGTGCAATTTTTGCTTTGACAGTCAGTGCCTACTGTCAACATTATGCTCTGCTACATACGACTATTTCCTGGAGTTGTTCCTTGGAGTTGCCCAGTAGCTGTGTTGAACATATAACCTAGTGTAGTGAAGATGTCATTGATTTCAATTATTTTGTTGTATTTCCATCATATATAATGCACATGATTTTTATGCCACATATCCCAGTTGTTTTGCTGACTGTAGTCATAATACTAATAGCTTAAATCTTTGAGTAAGGAAGTTAACATTTGTGATGCTCCAAGGATGTGCCACATGAATTGTTGTGTGATCCACATATTTTATGGCATTCAATCCTGTCAATATCCTTGTAAAGTGAGTAACATCTCTATCGTGCAGATGTGGAAACTGGCAGGTTATTTACTTGCACAAAGTCAATCAGCTGAAAGTGTTAAAATGCAAGGTAAGCTTGACTTCAAACTTGAGAAAGAACCTGCAGACCTAAATTTGAGTCTTGTTTTTCTCACTTAGTTCTACCTAATCAGCCTACTTACTAATTAGCTCCCATTTTACCTATGGGAAAACCAAGGTATGTAAAATGTAATGAACTTTCCCCAGAGTGTACAACTAATAATGATCTTGTATGGTTTTTGTGAGGCTGGAATGAAATGATGTAGGCAAACTGCTTAACAAAGATCCAAAATGTGATAAGTAGCCAATAAATGTAAAATGTCATACTTAATGGTAGTAAAAGTATACATTTTACTGTCTCTTCCTCTGGGAATGAAGACACTACCAGGGCAGCACAATTCCGGGTGACTTAGAATCCACAGTACTGTCAGTATGACTTGTTGATTGTTTGAAAGATGGTGGATAAAAAACATGCCTTATACAAGGATATTCCACTTACACTTACACTGAGTGGGTAGAAAAACTTTCGTAAGGTCCAATGATGTAAGTAAGTGTTTGTGAGAGAGGCGAGACAGCTTCTAGAAATGAAGGAAATCATCCTTTCTGGCTTGTTGAATTGGGAGTCTTCAGTTTGGTTTTGGATCCAGTTCTGTTGAGCCAAATTCAAGGGCCATGACATTTACAAGATTTTAAATACTTTCAAATGCAAAGGCAATATTATTTTTCACTTTTGGGGCATCAGAAATAAAATTCCTTTTAATTTATAGTTAATAAAAATGGTTCCCATGTTAATTCATTTCAGTATGTAAATAACTTTTAATGATTAACTTTTTGAATACATTTTTGGATTAACAGCCTAAAATTAGCTTAATTTCAACAATTAACTAATGACTACATGGCAATTTAAAAGGCATTCAAAGAACCCAGAATATGTCAATGTATGACATATTAATTTTTCCCTCTATAACATTTTCCTATGAGTTAATTAATTCTTTTCACATAATAAACAAATTATATATACGTTATAGTATTTTAAGAAATTGACTCAATTCACTTAATTGTTCATAATTATCACAGTTTTTTTGGACTTGGAACTATGTAGTTTCTTCATGTTAGGGTAAAGAATAAAATATTAGAAAAGAAAAACTGGAAATTTTAATTATCAATTGAGGTTATCTGAGAATTTTGCTATGATAGTGTTAAATTTTTTTTAGTTGATTAATTTTGCTCAGTAATTGCCTGTTTGAAGGTAATCATGCAACACCTAAGAGAACAAGGGTAGAAATTGCTTCTTTCTCCTAGCCCAGAATACTTTTTATAATTCATAAAGACAGAAAAGTCCACATTAACTCTCATTGTGTTGAAAAACAATAATGTTATGAGAGCTTGAACATAGAGATTGAACTTTTTGGCTTTGGAGAGGTACTAAAATGTACATTTTAAAACTTTAATTCTGGTGTTGCACTGGGTGAATATGTCTTCCTGGGAATTTGATTGAGCTGAATTGCTATGAAATACATGCATTTATGCAAAGGTCAATTATGATATAGGCAATCTATTTTAGTGTAAGCTTCCTCACACCTTTGGAAATGATTCCTTTTCTTTTTCTTTTTTTTTAGCTAAGTGAGAATCTCTCAAGGAATACAAAAATTAAAGAAAAAATCAAGCAGTACACTCTTAATAGTTTTTTTCTACGTCTCCCCAGTAGAGGCCGTCATATGCGTTTATTCAGCAAAGGCAGCAGATTGCTGCATCTACAGTGCATTTAGTGACCTCAAATATCTGGGTATATCCTTTTGGAAAGAGAGATCAGCAGAAATCTAAGGCCGAAATACAATGATAAGGAAAATGTTGCTACAGCATTAATGAAAAAAAAAAAAGCAAGCTAGAAAGTAAAATTTTAATTTTATTTTTTAAAATGCTTATACACCTATTTATGCATTGCAGTAAAAACACTGGGAAGAAATGCATCAAATTTTTAATTATCTTTATCTTACCATACAAATGGTGGTGTTTACATTTCTTAAATTTTTCCATATTTTTACCAAAAATATATCTTTATCATTAGAAAATGAAACAATGTTATAGATTTTTAAAGAATATGAAGTAATGGAAACATAATTTCTCTAAAAAAGCCTCTAGTTGTCATTTTAAGGACCATGATTAAATGAAGATGACCTGGGAAAAACAATAGATTCCTGTTCTTTCCTTTATTTTAATCATACTTCTTAGCTCCTCTTATGTGACAGGCAAATAGGATACAAACTGAACATTGATTCTACAGACATCATTCATGTGGAAGATTTTTGATATTTTATATATATGTATATATATATGAACACATACAGTCTTCATTACTTGCAGTTTTCAAATAATGCAAACTTTCAAATTCACCTGCTCATTAAAATTTATTTGTAACCGCAATATCAATAGTTAAGGTGCTTTGGAGGTCATTTGTCGACATGCACATGTGCAAAGTGGTGAAAATTTGGAGTCATCCAGTATGCAAGTTCCCAGCTGAGCTTGAACAAGGTGACACTCTGCCGTCTTGTTTTGAGATCTCATACTGCAATGAACTGCCCTTTTCCTGGCCTATTTAATGCCAAATTTGTTGCATTTCTGTGCATTTGGTTGGCGCCTTTGCTGTTTAAAATGGCCCCTAAGCATAATACTGAAGTGCTGTCTGGTGTTCCTAAATACAAGAAGGCTGTGATGTGCCTTACTGAGAAAATACATGTGTTAGATAAGCTTCATTTAGGCATGAGTTATAATGCTGTCGGCTGTGCATTCAACATTAATGAATCAACAATATATATTCGCCTCCCGGGTTCACGAACCCGGGAGGCGGAGCTTGCAGTGAGCCGAGATCCCGCCACTGCATTCCAGCCTGGGCGACAGAGCGAGACTCCGTCTCAAAAAAAAAAAAAAAAAAAAAAACCAATATATATTAAATAAGGTGTCTTTAAGTGGAAATGTACACAAAACAAGGCTATATATTGATTGTTAGATGAAAATGTTGTGACAGGAGGCTCGCAGGAACCTAATCTTGTATTTCCCTTAGGAGCAATCATTTAGTATTTGCTAATTCAGTGTTTGGGTCAATTTTGTAGAACATAACTACTGTGAATAACAAGAATCAATTCTGTGTATGTGTGTCTATGTAATTTTATCTAATTTAAATATTAATACAATTTACATATGCAATTTAGAAATACACACACACACACACACACACACACCCCGTTACATGTATTCATTTTTTTCTCTCCCATTCTTTTTCTCTAATTTTCCTGGTTCATATACAACACAATGACTTATATTTAGTTCCTCAATTACTGAATATTGAAATGTGAATATAAGTCCTTAGAGTGGCTTTTTTTTTCTTCTGCAGAAACTGCAGAAGAATATCCTATCCAAAAATTTAAACTCCCTTAAGTAACAACAAAAACAATGATGATAATAACAATAGTAAATTGCAAGCTTTTGACAGTTTTTGGTGGATATTAACTAGGTGGTAGCCATCAAGGGATAGATGACTACAGAGGAAATTGCACTGAGAGGCCTCAGGGCTTAATTGGAAAGCATAATATTACAAAAAGAGAATTAATAACACTCTACATAATAATTTTGAAATGCTATCTCAATTGATAACCATGAAAGTAGTACAGATTTTGTTGTAGCTAAGAGAATGTTTTTAATCCTGAATGTAAATGTTTTGACTCCTCTTTTTCAGAAGCCTAATGCTGATAAAGTAAAGGTATCCGAATGTTTGTATATGTGTGTGTGTTTCATCCGATTGATATCCAAAGGATGACCACGAAGAAGAGAAAGTGTATCTGCAAGCCACATAAAGGGGCAAATATTTATTTACATTCTGAATCTGAAGTACTTAAACAAGTTTTGAAAAATAAGGATGGATATTCCAGGCAGAAGAACAGTATGTGCAAAGCTATGGATAAGTAGGAGAAAATGAGATGTTCTTCGAATTGCAACTATTCCACCCAGTGCATCCGCCGTAATAGTCCTGAGTCCATGGAGAAGATGTGAAGAAGACTAGAGACTTATGGAGCCTGACAAAGAAGTTGATGTTTCTGACACAAGCCTTGTTCCTTATTCAGAAAGCCTTGTGGAGCCATTGTTGAGCCCTGAGCAAGCCAACTTGGTAAGATTTCTATTTCAGAAATCTGGCAACCACGTAGAGGAAGCTGAGACAAAGAGACCACTTAGGAGTCTATTTCAGGATCAGGCAGGAGCTGAAATTAGCTTTGATAATCCCAGTGCCTATGGACTTTGTTTGAACTTCCCTATGCGTCCACACTACCTGCTGGGGGCTCCCTCATATCTCCACAGGGGCCTCCTCTGTCTGTCCTTTTAAGCTCTGTCCATACTACTCATTTGAGTCCCGGAGCTCCCTGCAAATCTCTCAAAGAAGTTCACATGGGCTAAGCAAAAATATCCAAAGTTTGCAATTTATTAATTCAGGGTCAAATTGTTGGATCTTTCTACAGATAACGCATCAAATGAGAGCGGAATATAAATACATTATGTCCTTCGTTAATTTAATAAACAATTATTTGTTAAATGCTTGTACCTACCAAATACTGACTTAGGCGTCTAATGAATAAACAGTGACAAAATATAGAGAAATTCCACTCCTAATTCAATTTTTGTTCTAGCAGGGGAGGTAGAAAAAAATAATTACCTATAGTTATTTGTATTATGAAGAAAATAAACAAGATGATGGTTTGATTGCAAATTTTAAAAGGAAGGATTTTCTAAACAAGGGAGGGAAGTCAGGGATGTTCTCTCTGAGAAGATGATATTCAAGCAAGACTTCCAGAATGAGAAAAAAGCAGACCGATAAAGAATTGGGAGAAAAGTGGTTCTGGGAGCAGGTACACAAAGCAGCAATATATATATATTTTTGCTTTTTAGTTAGAAAATGCTTGCAATTTCATTTTTTTCTTTGTAATATCATTTGTACATTTCAGATTCTTTCTCTATCATCATAGTATACACAGAAAGAGTTAGCGTATTCTTTTAAATTCTAGTTTGAAAAATATGAAAAGAGCCTGCCTTTTAAGTTTTGTGAATTATTCAAGGTGGAAATGGAATTTTCTGATTTCGTATGTGCACGTATGTGTTTATATATTAGTATAAAAATGATTTCTCTTAATCTTTGAATTTGCAATGATTCTGCAATATACTGAAGACTTCTTTGGAAATAATAATAGGAATAGATGACCTTAATTGATTCCCTATTAGTTCCAGGCACGATTGTACACATAAACATATTAACTCTTTTAATCCTCTTCGGGTTAGTATTTTAATTATTCTCATTTCGTGACTGAAGTCCAGAGACATTATCTAATATGTCAAGGTCAAGGTCACACAACTTTTCAATGTCCGTGTTCTGATTCAGATTCCAGGCAGTTTTCTTCTAGGACCCACCTTTTAAATCAAACAGAAAATATTTCCTATGCTGGGGACCACGTGAAAATATAGCAGCAACACCATCCTGCCCTTAAGTGAAAGAAAACTTTTTTAATGTAGCGAGTAGAATTTCCTCACTTGTATTGTCTTCTTCCTTTATTTTTTAAGTATTGGCAAGTACAATGTCTTATTTATATTAGTAAAGGCTCAATAGACATCCACAGCCAGGCATGGTGCCATACACTTTCCATGACTTATTAAGTCTCACAACCACTCTTTGACAGAATTGCTATTAATATTGCCTGGACTTAAATTTTTACTTTGCCACATTATAATCATATGACCTTGGGCAAGAAGCTTAATTTATCTATGTCTCAGTTCCCATATTTGTAAAATACAGTCTGATTTCAGAGCTTATAACCTTAGCCATTGGATATTGCCTACCACTAATATAAGATGCTATTGATTGCATAAGAATAATATATTTAATTATTCTTAACATCTTATAATTTGTGGTGTTTTTTCAGAGCATCATAATTTCCAATTGCTCTATCAACAGAAAGATATGAGAATCACTGATCTACTATCTTTTGTGAAAATGGCTTCCGCAAATCCAGGACTTGGGTCATGGAGAAGCAGTGAACCTTTAACTTGAGTTATTACTACATTTAAATCTGTGTAATTATTACCCTGAATTTACTGAGCATAAGCTAGATGACACAAAATAACATATTTTCATTTTTCAGCATTTTAAATTGAATAACAAATATGTTCATTTGTTGGTAATATCAATCTCAAACCTATACCGAAACAATCAAAATGTAAAATGTAAAATCCAATTATGTAATCCAGATTGAAATTTTATTTCACTTTTTAAAGTTGAGCTGTATCTGTGAAATTTAAATAACCAGACTATGATATTTTAATGGGTGATTCGGCTTACCCAATGGCCAAGTCAATAAACTGCAGAAATTGACTCTTTATTATGGCACATGAAACCAAGTCAACCCTGAATATAAACAGGCAATTTCTCTTTTGGAGCTATAGTTAGAAGTAAATACTCTTCACATATGGGGAAACTGATTAAACAACTTAGATTGAGTCTAATTTCAAAATTTATATTTATATACATGTATAAAACAACTGGATAAAAGGTTTTGTATCTACATTTATACTATATATAATATATATGTCAAATGTATGTATGTCTATAAAATATACACATAGATACAAAAACTTTTATATTTATATATTTATTTTTATACACAGTATATATGTTTTACTAATTCATTTTCCCTATCTGGATAAACTAATGAACAGAATGGTAACTACTCCAAAGTAACTAACTAACATAGTAGTCAGGCTAACTCCTGTTATATGCCAGGTACTGTGTTAAGTGATTCCAGCTCTGCCAATGGGAAGAGCATTTAATCTTTACAGCCATTCTCTGAGTTACAGTTTGTCTCTTTTATGAAGGAGAAACCTGAGGTTCAGAAAATGTATTTAACTTCTATGAGTTGTCACATGCATTAAATCAAGAAATCAAATTAGAGCCCAGCATTCTGCTTTTTTTGTTTTGCTTTTTTTCAAGACAGAGTCTCCCTTTTGTTGCTCAGGCTGGAGTGCAATGGTGCAATCTCAGCTCACTGCAACCTCCTCCTCCTGGGTTCAAGCAATTCTCCTGCCTCAGCCTCCCAAGTAGCTGGGATTACAGGTGCCCATGACTATGCCCAGCTAATTTTTGTATTTTTAGTAGAGACAGGGTTTCACCGTGTTGGCCAGGCTGGTCTTGAACTCCTGACCTCAGGTCATCCGACAGCCTCTTGCCTCCCAAAATGCTGGGATTATAGGTGTGAGCCACCACACCCAGCCTCTGCATTATCTTTAACCCCACAAAAATATATTTTTTCAAGACTTAGTATCACTAATTAAACCAATGCACAAATTAAACTAAAATATTTATTTTCAATTTTGATCTCTAAAGAATGTCTTCTGTAAGGAACATCAATTTCTTTTTTAAAGGATGTGATTTTTCCAGGTAACTGAAACTGGTTGCCTCATGCATTGTTCTTCAAGGATCTGCACTTAACATTTTCTCATTCCAGTATGCAGATTCTCTTTGGATGGTCTTGACTATTGTCTTTGCTTCTAATAATTAAAAAATCTTTATTTCTGCCCACATCTCTGTTATAAGTTCCATGTACTTCCAATTGATCAGTGGATATGCAGACACCTTAATGCACAAAGGACCTCAAATAAAATAGGTCAATTACTGAGCATATCAACTGTCCCCAGAAAGTAGCTCTTCCTCCAGCTATGCCTATCTCAGTGGATGATCCAGTTATCTTCCATTTGCATAGTGAAGAAACCTGGGCTTCATCTTTAACAACTTACCAATCACATCCTAGAGTTCTGTCCATTCCATTTCCTACATATTTTCAATTTTTTTTTTGTATATCCGTATATCCATGGTGACTCAATTCTTTTTTTTTTAATTTTATTATTATTATACTTTAAGTTTTAGGGTACATGTGCACAACGTGCAGGTTTGTTACATATGTATACATGTACCATTGCTGGTGTGCTGCACCCATTAACTCGTCATTTAGCATTGGGTATATCTCCTAATGCTATCCCTCCCCCCTACCCTCACCCCACAACAGTCTCCGGTGAGTGATGCTCCCCTTCCTGTGTCCATGTGTTCTCATTGTTCAATTCCCACCTATGAGTGAGAACATGCAGTGTTTGGTTTTTTGTCCTTGCCATGGTTTGCTGAGAATGATGGTTTCCAGTTTCATCCATGTTCCTACAAAGGACATGAACTCATCATTTTTTATGGCTGCATAGTATTCCATGGTGTATATGTGCCACATTTTCTTAATCCAGGCTATCATTGTTGGACATTTAGGTTGGTTCCAAGTCTTTGCTATTGTGAATAGTGCCACTATAAACATATGTGTGCATGTGTCTTTATAGCAGCATGGTTTATATCTTTTGGGTATATACCCAGTAATGGGATGGCTGGGTCAAATGGTATTTCTAGTTCTAGATCCCTGAGGAATCGCCACACTGACTTCCACAATGGTTGAACTAGTTTACAGTCCCACCAACAGTGTAAAAGTGTTCCTATTTCTCCACATCCTCTCCAGCACCTGTTGTTTCCTGACTTTTTAATGATCGCCATTCTAACTGGTGTGAGATGGTATCTCATTGTGGTTTTGATTTGCATTTCTCTGATGGCCAGTGATGATGAGCATTTTTTCATGTGTTTTTTGGCTGCATAAATGTCTTCTTTTGAGAAGTGTCTGTTCATGTCCTTTGCCCACTTTTTGATGGGGTTGTTTTTTTCTTGTAAATTTGTTTGAGTTCATTGTAGATTCTGGATATTAGCCCTTTGTCAGATGAGTAGATCGCAAAAATTTTCTCCCATTCTGTAGGTTGCCTGTTCACTCTGATGGTAGTTTCTTTTGCTGTGCAGAAGCTCTTTAGTTTAATTAGATCCCATTTGTCAATTTTGGCTTTTGTTGCCATTGCTTTTGGTGTTTTAGACATGAAGTCCTTGCCCATGCCTATGTCCTGAATGGTATTGCCTAGGTTTTCTTCTAGGGTTTTTATGGTTTTAGGTCTAACATTTAAGTCTTTAATCCATCTTGAATTAATTTTTGTATAAGGTGTAAGGAAGGGATCCAGTTTCAGCTTTCTACATATGGCTAGCCAGTTTTCCCAGCACCATTTATTAAATAGGGAATCCTTTCCCCATTGCTTGTTTTTGTCAGGTTTGGGTGACTCAATTCTTGCAGACCACCGTCAATCTCTTGCCTGTATGTCTCTATCAGCCTTTAAACTCATCTTGGTGAGGAGGCTTCAAGATGGCCGGCTAGAAACGTCTGGTACTCACCTCCTCCATGAAGAAGAGCCAAAATGGCAAGTAGATTACCACATTTGAAATAGAGCATCTGAGAGAGAACACTGGAATTCAACAGATAAGTGACAGGAAACACCTGATGCATAGAAAGATAGGGATGTGAGGCAGCTGGCTCGGATGGAACTGGCTGGGAGTCTGGAGAGGCTCCCCAGTGAAGG
This sequence comes from Homo sapiens, assembly GCF_000001405.40. Lineage (NCBI taxonomy): Eukaryota > Metazoa > Chordata > Mammalia > Primates > Hominidae > Homo > Homo sapiens. The sequence continues at coordinate 59,279,628 of NC_000016.10, forward strand.
GAAAGGGCAAGTGAGAGATCCCCAGCAGTCCACATTTCCACCATACACTTCTGCAATTCTAGCCACACTAGAGCCTCTCATCTCCTGTGGGCCCTTAGACTAGCATAGGGAGCTGCTTGGAGAATGAGTGATGACATTGCTCCAGAGAAGGAGCTCATGCTGGGTCCTACACACCCTCCAAGTCCTAAGCAGCTGCAACATGGTGCCATTTTGAGAGCCGAGCACCCATCAGACTGCATCTTGCTCTGGGGCTGGACAGCACCTGCATCTCCACATCCGTGGAGCTCCACGGATTTCCCCCCACATCTACCCAGAGGACTGCAATGGTATAACACCTAGCAATGCTGCAAGGTCCCAAGCACTCTAGCCTACACAGTGTCTTGCATCTCAATAAATTGGCAGTGCAGTGCAATAGGAAGGTGACCCCTGGGACAAAGGGAACCAAAGCCTATGCTCCCCAGAGCCTGAGAGCTGTCTGCCCGGGGCCACTGCCACTGACAGCATTCCTGCCCTTCCAGTAGCAGAGCCACAGCCTACTTGTAAATACCTTGAGGACAGTCTCTCCTTTCCCACTGCCAGTGCTGCTGGGCACCAAAGCATACTCTCCCAGAGCCTGAGAGCCATCTTCCAGGGGTCAGTAATTCTGATTGCAAACTTGTCCGCCTCCTGCAGGCAGCAGGGCCACAGCACACTTACATATGCCCTAAAGAAAGGCTCTCCCCATGTGCCATTATTGCTGGGGGCTGAAGTGAGTGCTCCGAGAGCCTGAAAGCCATCTGCCATGGGCCAGCCATTGTTGCTGACTGCAAACCTGCCCCTCTCCTGCAGCAACAAGGACACACCACGCTTACACATGTCCTAAGGAAAGGCTCTCTCCATGTGCTGCCACTGCTGAAGGCCAAAGTGTGTGTTCCCCAGAACCCAAGAGCCACTTCTGCTATAGACAGCAACCCTGCTGCTGCCTCCAGCAGCAGGGCCACCATACACCACAAGTGCCTGGAAGACAGGCTCTTTCTATCCACTTCCACTACTCCACTGCCAGCCAAGTACAAGGCCCAGGAGCCTGGGGATGACTCCAGTGGCCCATATGCCTGTGCACACCACCAGGGAGCCTGAGGAAAGCATTGCTTGGCCTGGCACTGCCCCTTCAGTGCTCAAGCATCTGTCCAGAGGCCTGGGGGCTCACCTTGGCCTGTCCATCACTGCTGTCATCTGTGCACTTCCCCTGGAGGCTGAGGACACACCCACTCAGCTTTCGGCCATGACTACATTTAGCACCCAACTTCATGCACCCCCCTGAAGGCCTGGGGATTGGCCTCCCCAGCCTGTCACAGCCATTGCTAATAACAGCGTATTCCATATGGGATCTCAAATATTTTTCCACCCCACTATACTATTGCCCATGTAACACATGCTGCCCAGAGGCCTGGGACCTGGCCACTAACTCAACCCACTGCTGCCACTACTGGTACCTACGAAAGTCACCTAGCTGGGTGCAGTGGCTCATGCCTGTAATTCCAGCACTTTGGGAGGCCGAGGCAGGTGGATCACCTGAGGTCAGGAGTTCGAGATCAGTCTGACCAACATGGAGAAACCCCATCTCTACTAAAAATACAAAAAATTAGCCAGGCGTGGTGGCACATGCCTGTAATCCCAGCTACTTGGGAGGCTGAGGCAGCAGAATCGCTTGAACTCGGGAGGTGGAGGTTGCGGTGAGCCAAGATTGTGCCATTGCACTTCAGCCTGGGCAACAAGAGCAAAACTCTGTCTCAAAAAAAAAAAAAAAAAAATGCCACCCAGAGGCCAAGAATCAGCCCACCTGGACCTGATAACACTGGTGACTCTGTATGCTGCACAGAGGTCCAAGAACAAGTCCTGTTGGCCCACTGCTGCCACCAGTGAGGCCTGAATACTGGCATATTTTGTGTCCCCATCTCCAGCAAAGCCTCACCACATCCTGAACTAACAACTGTAGTAAGCCACTGGAGAAATTATAGACACTGCTGATGCTGTTTATAGCCAAAGAAATGTTTAGAGTACACACCCAGTATCAAAGCTAAATTGCCCTATCCAACCAATGCCATAGATATAGCTTCAAGAAAAAGTTCTCCCCTACAAAAACCAATCCAAAAAAAAATTGGAATAGCCTGTTACTCTAGATGCACAGGTATCAATGTAAGAACACAGGAAACATGAGCAGGGAAGTATGACACTTCCCAAAGAACATAATGATTATCCAGCAACAGATTCCAATCAAAAAGAAATTTATAAAATCCTAGAATAATTCAAAATAATGATGTTAAAGAAGTTCACTAAGATACAAGACAACACACATAAATGATATAAATAAATCAGAGAAATAATTTAGGATATGAATGAGACATTCATCAAAGAGAGATTAAAAAAACAACCAAACGGAAGTCCTGAAAGTAGAGGAATTAATGAATGAAATAAAAAACACATTTGAAAGCTTCGACAATGGACTAGATCAAATAGAAGAATGCATTTTAGAACTTGGTGACAGGTCTTTTGAAATAACACAGTCAGACACAAAAAGAAAAAGAAAAAAAGAATTTTAAAATGAACAAAGCCTATATGACATGTGGGACACCATAAAGTGACCAAATATCCAAACTTTGAGTGTTCCAGAAAGTGAAGAGAAGGCCAAAGTCACAGAAAACCTATTCAACAAAATAATAGCTGAAAACTCCCCAAGTCTAGCAAGAGATTTAGATATCCAGACATAGGAAACCCAGATATCCCCAAATAGATACAACCCAAAAAACTATTCTCTGTGGCACATTATTGTCAAACTGTCAAAAGTCAAAGAAAAAGAGAATTCTAAAAACAGCAAGAGAAAAGCATCTAGTCACACATAAGAGAACCCCCATCTGACTAATAGCCAACTTCTCTTCAGAAACCCAAAGTGCTGAAAGAAAAAACTGTCAGCCAATACTATTATGCTCAGCAGTTATCCTTTATGAATAGAGGAGAAATAGTCTTTCCTAGAAGAGGAATTCGTCACCACTCTACTGGCCCCACAAGAAATGCTTAAGGGAGAGCTTCACCCAGAAGTGAAAGCACAATGTTAACATCATAAAAGCACATGAAAGTATAAAATTAACTGGTAGAGCAAACACACAAATGAGGAAGAGAAAGGAGTCAAATGTTACCATTACAGAAAACTACCAAACTGCAATAATAAGCAATAAGAGAGAAATAAAGGAACAAAGGGTAGATAAAACAACCAAAAACCAGTTACCAAAATGACAGGAGTAAGTCTTCACATATAAATAATAACTTTGAATGTAAACAGATTAAATTTTCCACTTAAAAATACAGACTGGCAGAATGGATATAAAAAAGTGACCCAACTATATGCTGCCTACAAGAAACTCACTTCACTTGTAAAGACACTAATAGATCAAAAGCAAAGCAATGGAAAAAGATATTACTTGCACACAGAAACTAAAAGTGAGCAGGAGTGGACATACTTATACTAGTTAAAACAGACTTTAATCAAAAACAGTAAAGGGAGGTCATTTTATAATAAAGGGATCATTTCAGCAAGAGGATATCACAATTATAAATATGTATACACCCAACATCAGAACACCCAGATGTGTACAGCAAATATCAGATGTAAAGGGAGAGGTAGAGTCTAACACAGTAATAGTTGGGGACTTCAACACCCCATTCTCAGCACTAGACAGATGATCTAGTCAGAAAATCTATAAGGAAACATTGGATTTAAACTGGACTTTAGATCAAATGGACCTAATAGATATTTACAGAACATTTACTCCAACAGCTTCAAAATACACATTCTTCCCATCAGCACATGAAACATTCTCTAAGGATAGACCAGATGTTGAGCCACAAAACAAGTCTCAACAAATTAAAAAATATCAAACTTATATCAAGTATCTTCTCAGACTATAATAGAATAAAACTAGAAATCAATAACAAAAGGAACTCTGGAAACTACAAATATATGGAAATTTAACCACATGTTCCTGAACAACCATTGGGTCAATGAAGTAGTTAAGATAATTAAGGACAATTTTTTGAAACAAATGAAAATGGAAACATAACATACAAAAGCTTTGGGATCCAGCAAAAGCAGAGCCAAAAGAAAAGTTTGTAGCAATAAATGCCTACATCAAAAAGTAACAATAAACAATAAAATGGTTTCAAATAAACAAACTAACACTGCACCTCAAGAAACTAGAAAAGCAAGAACAGATCAAAATCAAAATTATTAGAAGGAAAGGAATAATAAAGATAAAAGCAGAGGTAAATGAAATAGAGACTTAAAAATACAAATGAACAGTGCAATGAAAAGCTATTTTTTAAAGACAAAATCAATAAACTGCCAGCTAGATTAACCAAAAAAAAGATAAAGACCCAAATACATAAAATCAGAAACAAAAAAGGAGGTATGATAACTGATACCACAGAAATAAAATAGATAATCAGAGATTATTATGAACAACTGTACACAAACTGGAAAATCTAGAGAAAATGGATAAATTTCTGAACACATACAACCTACCAATACTGAATCAGGAAGAAATAGAAAACTTGAACAGGCCAATAACGAGTAGTGAGGTTGAACCATTAAAAAAATTTTTCCAATAAAGAAAAGAAGCCAAGGACTAAATGGCATTACTGTCAAATTCTACCAAACTCATAAAGAAAAAAACAATTCTCCTTAAACGATTCCAAGAAATTGAAGAGGAGGAAATTCTCATTAATTCATTTCATGAGGCTAGCATTACCCTGCTACCAAAACCAGACAAGGACACAATAAAACTACAGGCCAATATCCCTGATGACTACAGACACAAAAATCCTCAGCAAAATACTAGCAAACGGAATCTAACAGCACATCAAAAAGATAATACACCATGATCAAGTGAAATTTATTCCAGGGGTTCAGGGTGGTTCAAATACACAAATCAATAAGTGGGATATATCACATCAACAGAATGAAAGTCAAAAACCATATGATCATCTCAGCAGATATAGAAAAAGCATTTGATAAACTTCAACATCACTTTATGATTAAAAACTCCTAATAAGCTAGGCACAGAAGGAATATACATCAACATATTAAAGGCCATGTGTGACGAACCTATAGTTAACATCATACTGAATAGGGAAAAGCCAAAAGCCTTTCCTCTAAGAATGCCAAGAAGACAAGGATACCCGCTTTCACTACTGGAAGTTGTAGCCAAAGCAATCAGTCAAGAAAAAGAAATAGTAAGCATTCAAATTGGAAAAGTGGACGTCAAATTGTCCATCTTTACAGATGATGTGAATTTATATTTAGAAAACCCTAAAGACTCCACCAAACAACTCTGAGATCTGATAAACAAATTCAGTAAAGTTGCAGGATACGAAATCAAGATAAAAAAAATCAGTAGCATTTCTATACACCAGTAATGAACCAGCTGAAAAAGAAATCAAGAAGGCAATCCTATTTACAACAGCTGCAAAAAACACCAAGGGATACATTTAACTAAGGAGGTTAAAGACCTCTGTAAGAAAAAAAAAAAACCTTACAAACACTGATGAAAGAAATTGAAGAGGACACAAACACCTGGAAAGACATCCTATGCTCACGTACTGGAAGAGTTAATATTGTGAAAATGACCATACTAACCAAAGCAACCTACAGATTCAGTGCAATTGCTACAAAATGCCAATGACTTTTTTTTACAGAAATAGAAAAAAAATCCTAAGATTCATACAGAACCAAAAAAAAGAGCCTGAAGAGCTAAAGAAATTCTGAGCAAAAAGAACAAAGCTGATGGCATCACATTACCTGACCTCAAAATACAAGACTATACTAATCCAAACAGCATGATATTGATTTAAAACAGATATGTAGACCAATGGACAAGAATAGAAAGTCCAGAAAAAATCCATGTATTTATAGACAACTGATTTTCAATTAAGGCATCAAGAACATACCTTGGGAAAAGGACACATTCTTCAGAAAATGTGCTGGAAAACTGGATATCTATGTGCAGCCGTATGAAACCGGACTCTTATCCCACATAAGAGTGGTATACGAAATGAAGGATTTATTAGAGACTTAAAAGTAAGACCTGAAACTATAAAAAGACTAGAAGAAAACATTGGGAAAACACTCCAGAACATTGCTCTATGCAACGATTTTATGGCTAATATCTTAAAAACACAGTCAACAAAAATAGACAAATGGGACTTAATTAAAATAAAAACTTTCTGTGCAGCACAAGAAACAATCAATAGAGTGAGCAAACTGTTGAATGGAAGAAAATATTTGCAAACTATTCCTCTGACAAGAGACTAATAACCCAAATATACAAGAAACTGAAACAACTCACTAGCCAAAAAGCCAACTAATCCCATTAAAAAGTGGACAAGGAACATGGGTAAACATTTCTCAAAAGAAGACATAAAAATGGCCAACAAGTAGATAAAAAAATGGTCAACATCACTAATCATCAGGGAAATGCAAATCAAAACTATAATGAAATACCATCTTACACCACTTAGAGAATGAGTGTGGATAAAGGAGAGATTTCTCAAAAAAACTAAAAATGGAACTACCATATGATCCAGCAGTTTCACTACTGAGTATTTATCTAAAGGAAAGGAAATAAATATATCAAAGGGATACCTGCATCCCCATGTTTATTGCAGTGGTATTCACAATAGCAAAGATACGGACTCGAGCTAAGGGTCCAGCAACAGATGAATTGATAAAGAAATGTGGTGTACAGACACAATGGAATACTATTTAGCCATAAAAGAGAATAAAATGCTGTCATGTGCAGCAACATGGGTTGAATTGGAGGTCATTATGTTAACTGAAATAGGCTAGGCACAGAAAGATAAATATCACATCGTTTTCACTCATATGTGGGAGCTAAAAGGGTTGCTCTCATGGAGGTAGAGTAGAATGATAGTTATCAGAGGCTAGGAAAAGAGCATGTGTGTGGTGGAGGGAGGCCATGAAGACAGACTGGTACAACAGGTACAAACATACAGTCAGGGGAAGGAATAGGTTCCAATGTTTGATAGCTATGTAGGGTGACTATAGTTAATAGCAATGCATTATATATTTGAAGATAGTTAGAAGAGATGACTTGAAATATTTCTAACCCAAATGTTGAGGTGATGAGATCCTAAATGCCTTGACTTGATCATTACACATTCTATGCATGTAACAAAATATAATATGTACCCCATAAATATGTACAAATGTTATGTATCAATGAATAAATTTTTATTTTTAAATTAAATTAAATTTTTTTTTTTAGAGACAGGGTCTTGCCATCTTGCCTAGGCTGCTCTCTAACTCCTGGGCTCAAGCGTTCCTGCCGTCTTGGCCTCTCAGAGTGCTGGGATTACAGGCATGAGCCACCACGCCCAGTCTACAAATAAATTTTTTTAAAACTCTCACCTTTGTGCCATTTAAGACTTGCCTTTCACATCTATCCCCCCTCCAATTCACTCTTTATAGCCCAATAAGAAAGTTCTTTTGAAAATCAAATATGATCATAACTTGCTGTATTCTAACCTTGGAATGAACTCATCATTGCTTTCAGAATACTGTCCAAGCTATTGATCATGGTTTGCTTGTCCCTTCATAATATTTTCTTTTCCCTCTGATCTCATCTCTTGCCATTCTTGCCATTGTTATCAGATCTATCCATAATACCATGCATCATCAAAGATGCTTTATTTTTGTTTTTTCCAGACTGTTGCCTCTTGTGAAACACTTGCTCTTCCTTTTTTCCTTTCTGGTTAACTCCAACTCATCCTTTAAATGTTAGCTTAAATATCCACTCCTCTTTAGAACCCTCCATAAGCACCCTGTCTGGATAATGTATTAGCCCATGTGCTCTTATATCATCCTTAAATTTCCCAATACTCTCCATTGAGCATGGTTGGGGCACTTTGGAGACTGCATTACAATTGCATATATTCTTGTTTTATCTCCAAATAGATTGTAAGCTTCTACAAAGCCAGGAACTCACTTCCTGTCACATAGCAGGTTCTCTCTCTCTCTCTCTCTGTATCTACTGAATCACTAATACATATTAATATATCCTACTAATGTGCCCAACTAATTTACTTTCCTTATTCAACTATTTTTCCATGTGATAACACTCAGTCTGCATTAACAAAAAAATCATGGGAGTTTAGGTTTGAGAAGGACCAGCAAATTAAATGTTGTTTATCTGAGCTCCAGGCCAGTTCAGTGACTTATTTTTTACATAAACTTAAGACATATCATATGCTCTCTCTGGGATTTAGGGGCCATCTGTTTAAATCCCTCCAGATTAAGTTCTGTCCCTATCTGTGATTCTAGGTTACTTTAGAGGTGGCCTCAAATCACTCACATGCGTTTAGCATATGTCAAGCAGAAACAAACAAACAAAAAAAGCTATGTCTTTATGCCTACAGATGAAGTAGTTATTTCACCATAATTTTTGTCTGTCTTGTTCTGACAATGTTGTTAACATTTTAAAATAAAGCCTGAAATAAAATCTCTAATTTCAAACACTAAAGTCTAAAGTCTATTCTTACTTTGTTATAAGTTTGAATATTATTTTTTTGACCACAGACAATGGATAAGACAATAAGACATAGCATGTTTAATAAGTACGGTTACTTAGATACATGTACAATGGGGTTTTGTATATTTATTGATCTATGTTATAAGTATAAATATTTTTTTAAAATTAGCTTTTTTAGGAAAAGCATCTGTTCTCTCTTTGAGTTTTTGAGGAATGAGCAACAGTCCCTTCCTTCCTTCCTTCCTTTCTTTTTTTTTTCTTTGAGACAGAGTCTCCCTCTGTCACCCAGGCTGGAGTGCAGTGGCGTGATGTCGGCTCACTGCAACCTCCGCATACAGGCTTCAAGCGATTCTCCTGTCTCAGCCTCTGGAGTAGCTGGAATTACAGGCATCTGCCACCACACCTGGCTAATTTTTTTTGTTTGAGTAGAGATGGGGTTTCACCAGGTTGGCCAGGCTGGTCTCAAACTCCTGACCTCAGGTGATCCACCTATCTTGGCCTCCCAAAGTGCTGGGATTACAGGCGTGAGCAACTGCGCCCAGCCTATAGCATTTCTATTCAACATTAACCTTTAATATATCAAGAATAATCACAAAGATGCCTTTTCCAATTCACACTGGTAAGTGATGAATGAGAATGACTATTTGGTCAGTACTTTATACTAAATAGAGTCCAGGGATAATTGGCCAGTGAAATTTTCATCTAAATCAAACAAACCAATCTTTCAAATATAAAATTAATCATTTCATTGATATTAGCCTTCAATCCTTACTCCATTAAATCTCTAAATTCATGCTAGGGATTGCATAGGAAGCAAATTAAAATGGGATTCTTATAAAATGAGAAAGATAAAATTGTGCCTTCTGAAGAAGCAATTTAATCTTAATAAATTATTTTTTAATATTCTTTTTTCAATGAGGCATCACACTGACCATAAAATAAAGTGTAAAAGGGCACTGGTTGAGGAAACTGAGTTACAAAGAGACCACTGCACCCTTGAACAGTTACACCTGTGATAATTTGCTTCATAAATTTTTATGGTGCATTTTACATTTTTTAAGAAAGCGAGTATTCCCAACAGTGTCATAATTAGAATTGTGACAGTGTGAGCACAACTAAAGGGAAATTATATTTGATCTCTGGAGTATTTAGCTAACTAGTTTTAAATAGGAATTTGTTGCTTTGTTGAAGACAGATTAGAGTCGACACAGAAGATGTTCCTTGAATGGAGGGCTCACTGCTCTCAGATGGCCCACACCTGCAAACACAGCTTCAGAGAAGAGCTAAGTGAAAATTAAGGCAACCCAGGAAGTGAAGATCATTTGCCTACGAGATTTATGAGGTAGTTACTGAAATAAAAGGTCTCAATCTTTAAATGTCAAATGTTAATATGCACCGTATGCTAGCCCTTTCTTCTCAAAATTGTATTTTGTGGTGCTTTATCTCGTAGTTTGAGAAGCCAAATTTCTCACTAGAAAATATCCTTCTGAGGCACATTCTACATTTAACAAGCCCATTTCTCCCTTTTCTCTGTAAAATGGCTCTCTATACTGTATACCATGAGGATATTTTTTGAAAGATAAGATGGAGCTGACCATCTTGGAGTTGCCAAGATTCAGGCATTTTTCTTTTTTTTTTTTTTTTTTGAGGCGGAGTCTCGCTCTGTCACCCAGGCTGGAGTGCAGTGGCGGGATCTCGGCTCACTGCAAGCTCCGCCTCCCGGGTTCACGCCATTCTCCTTCCTCAGCCTCCCAAGTAGCTGGGACTACAGGCGCCCGCCACTACGCCCGGCTAATTTTTTGTATTTTTAGTAGAGACGGGGTTTCACCGTTTTAGCCGGGATGGTCTCGATCTCCTGACCTCGTGATCCGCCCGCCTCGGCCTCCCAAAGTGCTGGGATTACAGGCGTGAGCCACCGCGCCCGGCCAAGATTCAGGCATTTTTCATAAAAGACGTGCTCTCTTCTAATCAAGTCAGCATCTATTGCTTAAGCACAAATATGCTCTTAGAAACCTTTTACCAACACCTCTGGGTTGCTGGGGTCAGTGCCCAGCATACTACAGCTGCTCATTAAATGGTAGTCCTTGTTTCTCTAGTTGTTCAATGTATGTGTTGTATGATAGGGCCTGGGCTGGAGAACACAGTCTTCCATAGCCAGCAAATCAATCGGCAGAAATAACAGCAGAATTAAACAAATAGGAGCTTTTTTTTAAAAAAATAGGACTCTCCTCTGTTCTGCCTATAATTAAAGGAAAAACATCTTGAATCAACATCTGATGTATATCAGCTGTAGAAGTTTATGCTATTTTTCCGTTTAGGGGTTATTCTACTCTCTCTTAATGAAAAACAAGAATATAGGGACCCTTTGCCATAGAATAACAGTGGATCTGATCTGAATCTTTTTTGACTTGAACAGGGATGCCACTCTCTGTGACCCCAAGTACATAAAGCTGTGAAAGAATCCTGTGGACTTTTGGGAGATAAGAGATTGAAAATCTACTCTCTTCCTTCTGGGCTTCACTGTGAGCTATTGTTTCACAGTTAACTAGGATAGCCCTAACCAAGATTATTGATAATGGAAAGAGAGACACTCTTCAGGAGAACATGGGGATACATTGGCTAGATCACCTGAAACAGCTTAAGAATGCAGAGTTCCTGGAGGAGGGCAGTTTTGACCCAACATGAGGCTAATGTGGTCATTTCTTTGGTAATAAGCCAACCTGGTGCAGTTGGGCTTGGAGAGAAGTAAGTTGAAATGTCACAGAACATCGAAATCGTAATTTGGAAGCCCCAGCATGCAGCAGCCTTTGATAAGATTAGCTTTTAGGGACAGGTGTCATCTTACCTTGCAAGCTTGTTCAGAGATTGGTACCAATAAGAGCCTTTCTCCAGCAGTGGAAAAAATCGTACCATGCAGCTATGAGAAACAAAGTGTAATGAACTGACCATACTCTTTGGCATTTGGAACTTTGACCAACTTCCTTTGGACTAAATCCCCAGGTTCCTTAGAAGATTAGTGGAGGCTCAAAACGTGGACTCCCCACTAATAAGGCTCATAAGACTTGGAAAAATTAACCAGAAAAAAATAAAAGAAATGGATCTTTGGAAAAAGTCATAGCCATTAGCAATCTTACGTCATACACAAATATCCATAGAACGTCTTTCTATTGCCTCTAGGCACATCAAACTCAACTACAACATGGAATTCAACATCTATCCCAATAACCAACAACTTACTGTTTCTCTCCCATCCCTTATCTCTATTTCCCCCCGTGTTATCCTTCCAGGCACTAGAAACAGAAAGCTTAGTGTCATTTTAAATGTTTCTGTCTATTTTATATCTCATTAATCAGTCATGATTTCTAGTCTTTTTTTAATATATATTTTTTTGATAGAGATGATGTCTCACCATCTTGCCCAAGCTTGTCTCCTGGCTTCAAGCAATCCTCCCACCTCAGTCTCCCAAATCACACTGGGATTACAGATGTGAGCCACTGCACCCGGCCTTGTCTAGCTGTTTTTAATATCAAATGTACCTCAGATTCATTGTGTCTGTTGCATCTCTGTGACTACTGTCACAGAACAGTCCTCATGAGGCTTTAGTCAGACCATTGCAATAATTTCCTAAGGGGATTCCATATGTCCAGCCCAGCAAACTTCATTCCATTTTCTATTTTGTTACAGACATATACATGTATGTATGGGTGTATGTATGGCTTAACTAGCATTTCTTCCAGATTGAAGTCCAAAACCCTTATAAGCATACACAAGGCCTTCAGTAAGATGAATTTTGCCTTCCTCTACCACTAGACTGAGATTCTTGCAGGAAGGACTAAATGCATTAATTTTTTTAAAAAGTCCCAGAACCTACTATGGTGTTTTGTATATCACAAATCCTCATATAGTTACTAAAATTGAATGGAATTAAAGGAAAGCTGAAACTTTATAGTTTTCAAGTCTGTTGTGTAATAATTGTCTTTGGTGCCATTTCTGGCCTGTGATGTAGTTTTAGTTACCCTGGAGAAATTCTCCTCATGCCTCCTCTCTCTCTGTTGGTGAAGATTATACCTGCTGCTACTTTATTCCAGAAACTGGATAACCTTCTAACTTCTTTTTTTGTGCCGAGTGACCCTTTTGACAGACCCTGTGGCTCTGACCCTTTAAACAGTAGAAGTATCCTGGCGTTTTTACTCAGCAGTGGATCGTGATATTTAGAAATCCCTTCCTCAAACACCTTTGATTCTCCAGGGATGCCCATAATAAATATTTGCATTATTAAAGGAGTTATGAGCACAGTATAAAAAATGAGTACACAGGGATGTCACCACTTGGCTTCTGATTATGTCTACCCAAATGAAAAATGAATGAGCAATTAATAATAAATGTTCTTGTGTTCTTGTTTTAATTTTAACTCATCAGAGGATATTACAATTAAAGTGGAACCAACATTTGCTTTGCTGTTTTATTAAAGGCAGAGTGTAGCCCTCATGTAGCCAATTTATGCAGCTTCATAGAGCATAGCATTCTAATATTTGTATTGCCACTTAATAGCTATTGACTTTACTCATGCTGCTTATTCTCTCTTAACTTCAGTGTCCTCATTAATAAATGTTATAGATTTCTTGATGGTATTGAATGAAGTAATTCACCTGATTTATAGTCATCACTAAATATGTATTAGGATGACAACTGTATTTAGGTTGGTGCAAAAATAATTGTGATTTTTGCCATTTTTGTACCAACCTAATATTTGAGCCTCACTCATTGTGAGTTAGTCTACTTTAGTATTTTTCCTTTTTCATTTTAGAGGTGGAGTAATGTTTTCCTTTCACAGAATTGAAGTATTCTGTCAAACAACACTTAGCTCTTCTAAATCCCACTATATCTATTTTTTTCAGTTGAGAAGAGTGTGTCAAGAAAAATCTCTTTCTATGCTCTCTAGCCTCCAGAGAGGTGAGAAGTTTGTACTGTATTTGCAGATAATGATTGAGATAGGAGTGGAATTTCACAATTCCTGCCTCTCTGGCTTTTCTTTTACCCCTTGACTGCCATGACTACAACTTTATTTTTCATCAGGAATGGTTTTCTAGACCTGTCTGGACTTCCCTATATCAGCAGCTTGTTGATTGGTTCTAGCTAAAGCAATTCTAGAGCTTTCTGTTCCACAATTCAAGGCTATCCTTGTAAATGTGATATTTCTTTTCATTTTTTAAAAAATTTTACTTTAAGTTCTGGGATACATGTGCAGAATGTGCAGGTTTGTTATATAGGTATACATGTGCCATTGTAGTTTGCTGCACCTATCAACCCGTCATCTAGGTTTTAAGCTCTGCATGCATTAGGTATTTGTCCAGATGCTCTCCTTCCCGTTGCCCCTCACCCCACGACAGGTCCCAATGTGTGATGTTCCCCTCCCTGTGTCCATGTGTTTTCATTGTTCGACTCCCACTTATGAGTGAGAACAGGTGGTGTTTGGTTTTCTCTTCCTGTGTTAGTTTGCTGAGAATGATGGTTTCCAGCTTCATCCATTCCCTGCAAATGACATGAACTCATTCTTTTTTATGGCTGCATAGTATTACATGGTGTATATATGCTACATTTTTTTTATCCAGTCTATCATTGATGGACAGTTGGGTTTGTTCAAAATCTTTGCTATTGTAAATTTTCTAAGAGATCATGCCAAAGCAAGCATCTCATCAGGATTCAGAACCTTCTGTCAAGACCTTATAGGGGTGTAAACATTTTCCCATGGGATGAAACCAGGTGAGAGAGAAATTGTCACTCATTTGGATAAGTCTTTAAAATTCTTAATCCTGTCTAATGTGGTTCCCTAGAGATAAGGTATGACAGACAGGGGCACAGGCCCTTTCTGCTTAAAGTTTATGGTTGCCCACAAAAGAACTTATCTTCAAAATCAAAAGGAGCTACTCTAACAGAGTCCATTAAGAAAACCTAACTGCACATGATGACTTTTTTTTTTCCTTTCCTGTCCTTAGTTTCCAGGGTATAGTTCATGGGGCTGTGAAAATTGAGGGGAAGAGTGACATTTTCCTCATCACTATACCTTTAGCATCTCTACAGTTTTAAAAGCATTTGTGGTTTTGCTTTGACAATTGATGAATGGATGAACACTTAACTCTGCTGCCGCTTTGAAGTTATTCGTTTTACATTCTCTACCCTGTCACACAATATTTCACAAGGGAACCTGGACAAAGGGAATTGGTGGCAGAAGGATGCTACCCTTGCCTCTTATGAGCTCCCATTCACTTCAAGAGCTACACATATGCTCATAGAGACTCTCGTTCTGCCTCCACATTCTGAGTATATCTAAATATGTAGAAGAACAGTACCCTCACCTTACCTCCAGTATTGGAGGGCTGGGTAAGCATGATGGTATCATTGTTCTAGTAGTTCATGTTCACTGGAGGACAATGTGGCCCAGGCTGTTGACGTGATGCTTGCTTGTTACATGAAACTTCAATGCTGGAATTTGGATTGTATTTTATGCCAGAAGTCGGTGGGTAGAAATACTCTGGATAGAATGGATAGATTCTGTTTCACAGGGAAAGACAAAAATTAATAATGTGGCAATTAATACTTGGGCAAAAGTCTCCCATGATGGGAGATATTTCTTACTTCACTTAAATGGGAACTAGTAAAAGCCTGTATCTGTGGAAGGATGGTATGTATCTTGTTGAAAAACTTCTGGATTTTTTCTCCACCTCTCCCACACCCTTTAAACGTTGGTAGACATGAGGATAGTGAGTTTTATATAGTATATTCATCATGTTATTTAAAAAAAAATATAGTCCCTAAGCCAGTTTTTAAACAGCTCTCTGCTGGAGAGTAGTGCTTATGTCAAGCTAAACAGAGGGCAGTAAATGAGGTAAGTCAAGTCCTTCATGAGAGTCATGCCTTCTTCTAACCAAATACAAAGGAGGCTCATCACCCAGGAGAGGGAAGCTACTTTTAGTTGCTTTTGCAGCAACATGATTTCAGGATGAAAACAGAATATACTCAAGTCTTTCTCTGCATATACAATTTCTTATCTTCTTATTAGAAGCTAGTTGGCCATTTCTCAGATGAAAATTGAAATGTTACAGATGTTCTTTCCAAAGGGTCAGAAGGGCTGCAGTCCTCAAGCAAGTAAATATCAGCATTAAGGTTAGGTGGCCAGGATCTGAAAGGGAATAATTAACTGCATGCTTTTGATTTTGGCACTGAAGAAGAACTGGTGCTTCTGAAGATATGAACGATTGAAAGAAGGAAGAAAGAGGGAAGAAAATGGAGAGAAAAGGCAGAGCTGGTGGTGGGGAGAAAGACAAGAAAGAAAGGAAAGAAGGAAGCAGGGAAAAAAGGGAGGGAGAAGAGGGAGAAAGAGAGAAGGAAAGAAAGAGAGAAAGAAAGGAAGGAAGAAGGAGAAAAGGAGGAAGACTGAAAGGAAGGAAGGAAGGTAAGAAAGAGGAGGAAGGAAGGAAAAAGAAGGAAGGAAGGAAGAAAAGAGAGAGAAAGAAGGAGGAGATAGAAGAAAGAAAAGAAAGAAAGAGAAAGAGAAAGAAAGAAAGAAAGAGAAAGAAAGAAAGAGAAAAGAGGCTAAAAACTGTGGGAGATTTTTTGGAGAAAAGCACCAGGAAAAATAATGCTAGCTTGCCTCTAATTAGTGTGAAGAAAAACACTGACAAAGTGAACATTCTTTCCCTTTTTAAGAAAAGAAGGCACTACCGTTTGAAATTGGAACTGTTTACAAGACAAACTAAGTTACATGTGAACAACATTATCAGTGTCCAATGCCCAGTCTTGCACCTTATTGTGTATCTACTTAAGAAAAACTGGCTCCAATTAGGGATCTCCTGTCGAGCGTCTTATTTATCAGCTTCCAGAACAGCTGTGAGCCATTCAGGATGCCACCAGTTTTTCCTCATTACACTCTCCTTAGAATTACAGATGTGCCTGGCTCATCCCTAGGGAGCCACATTCTAGTAAACACATTCTTCTCTGTTTCAGCGGCTTCTCTGAAATAAGCTGGTGAACACAGGCTGACATGGTCAGTTGAAATTGGCTTAAGAGTCTTAAGGCTGTAAATACCCCCTGTAATTTTTGGGGAAAGAAAAGCTGGATAATGAAAGGGATTTAGGATGTATGGAGAAAGGGAGAGCTGGTTAAAATAACACAGTTTTATTTTTAATCAGCTTTACCAAACAAGTTGTATTGAGAATTTGTGACTGAGAAGCCACTTCTGGAAGTGCATACTTTGTCACAAGTTTATTTAATCAGAGGTTAAGGAAAGAGGCAGAGCCAAGTAAAAGGGAATGAGTAAATCAACATATTTCAATGAATGTACATATTTTTGCTTTGATAGTACAAACAAATGTCTTTTAAAATCTTGGATGGCGAATTCTTTACACTTCTGGAGAATGACTTAGTAGCAAATACATGATATATTTAGCAAGCAGCCTCAAAATCTATTTCCTCTCCTCTTCCCACCACTACTTGCCCTCAAGAGCGAATCATTCTATTAATGAACACAGTCATAGTTGAAGTTATAATATTATTAACAGAAAAAAAAGAAGGTTCTTATGCCAGCAGACATGGAGGCACCTGTGGAAAAGAAACAATCCATCTAAGATGCAAGAATGAGATACAGGTTTTATTGAGAAAGAAAACTGTGGTGAGGCTTCATATTGGTCCCTAATTTGTTCACCTCTCACTATAGCCTCACTCCTGGGCTGTCCTTCTCACACTGGTTTGTCTCGGTTGTGTGACTTGCTGTGGCCAACGGGATGTCTCCATACAAACAGAAACGTGATGAGTACTTGCACGCTAGGGTCTTTCTGCTTATGCTGCTCTTGGGAACCCTGCAAGTACCTTGTGAAAAGTCCCAGGCTAACCTGCAGGTAACTGCTGACCCATTAGGGATTCCAGCAGAGATGAAAGGAGATTAAAGGACCAGCATGATCACACAGCGGGCCCTCAGAGACCTAAACTAAGTGAATCTTCATTGTCTTAAACCATTAGATCTTGGGGTGTTATTGAAAACAGCAAAAGTTAACTATTAATAATACAGAAAGCCAGATCATAAAGTGGATTTTAATGTGTATTGGAGTCATACATCTATATTCAGAATTTTACATTTGCCAAACACTGTGCAAAATACTGTAAAACAAGACAAACAACCGTCTTTCCTTCCATTTGTTGTGGAAAACAATGTTACTAGCTATTACATGAAAGGATTGTAAATATTATAAAAAGAAGAGACTAGAGTACAGAGATAGGGCACCTGACCCCAGCCTAGGAATGTGCAACAAAGCTTCAAAAGCAGAGCTGCAAGGAAGCGTTGATGTTATTTAGGTGAAAGGGGGCAGAGGTAAGGGGTGCAGAGTTGGGCTGGGTGGAGCTCCAGACGTAATGAATAACACACATAAAAGCCTGGAGGTGAGAATAAGGATCATCTGCTGGAAGAAATAAAAAGAGTTCAGAGCCAGGTCTTGAACTAGCTTTCTGTTGTCACATCTTTTATGACCTTCCACTGAGCCTCACTCCAGGAAGTTTCTGCTCCATTTATCAAGGTCTGGAAAACTTGCTGAAGTTTTTCTTGTGGTCTATGCGGGCAATGGCAGAGAGATTGTTAGAGCTATGTAGCCAATGAATGCAGCTTATTTGTTGGGAGATTTGTAACACCACTTTAGAATAGTGGCAAGCCCTAGGGTATCATATTCCATGTTTGAGGGTCCGAGCCCATCCAATGGCAATTGTAGAGGGAAATGTGGTGCAGAAGGACACACATGTCAGATGTGCTCCCTGATGCGTGTCTATCATGCATAAACACTGAAGTGTAGGCAACTGAATTGCTGTGAGTATTTCACAGTGTTATTTTAAGGATAAAGGAAGATCGTTAGGGCAGAAAGCCTTGATTGAGTCTTCAAGTGCAAGGAGATATTATAGCTTTAATTTAATTGTATCTGATGGGGCCTTATTATAATATTATTAACATGATAGGCCAAACATATTCTATTAATAGATTTCTAGAACAGAAATAAAGTAATAATGGAAGCGTCTCATAATACCGTCTGGATTTAGAAACTTCAGCTTCCCACCACTATTGTACCACCATTTTGGACATTTGTTGACTAGTATAATTTGTGTGTCTTTTAGCTTTTCCAGGTCCAGGTCCCTGTTGTACACTTTTCAACATTCTCATTTATTTGCAGAAGGTACCACTAAAGAAAAGTTTGTTCATTTTTAATATTTGACGCTCACATTCATTTAAATGAAGCATGTGGGTTTATCTGGAACAATGGCTGGCACTCATTAAAAACTGGTTTCTTATCCAATTTCCTAATTCTGTATAGGCAATCAAACTGCAGTTCTACATACTTCCCTAACTTTGGAGGTAGAAATGCCTCTGACAGAGAGTATAAATAATAATGGTATTCATAATACCTCCTGATATTTCTTTTGTGTTTTAAAATTTGTGAGGAAGAGTCCTATACACACTCTTTTGTGCAACTCACAGCACCCCTGTGTGTGGGCAGCACACCATTTAATATACATGCTTTTCATATGAGGAGATGATAATTGAGAAGATAGTATAATATGGTTAAGTAGTCTAGACAACTCAGAGTCAGAAATAAAATCTAGCTGCGTATAATCTTGTGTAAGTAACCTTAAGAACCTGCGACACAGGAGTTGCAGGTTAGAAGTAATTAAACTAATATTCAGGGAGGAGAGCCCAGCTTGAGTTCTTCGATTCCCCTTCCTCGTGCCCCACTGCTCTATGGAAGTGTCTTTGTTGTACAGAAGACCTCACAGTATCATGCAGTCTCTCTGGAATATAGCAGTTAATTGATATGGGAATGAAAATTGGACCACAAAGACTGTTTTCTCACTGTTGAGTGTTGTTTCCTTCTTGAAATCATCAAAGAGACTGAATTTAACAAACTGAAATAACCTTTGCCTCCTGCACTTAATACTCAACGAGAAAGATCAGAAATGTATAATCATTAGTTAGAATTTTTCATTTTTGATTCAATCATTAAGGATTTTTGAATGCCATTTACATATGGATACCTTAAGGTAGTGATTCTCAACTGGGGATAATTTGCACCACCCCTCTTCCCAACCCTGGTGATGTTTGGCAATGTTAATGTTTGATGACATTTCTGGATGTCACAACTGTGTGTGCAGGGGGACAGTGTTCTGTTGATGTCTAGGGATTAGATGCCAGAGATGCTGCTAAACAACCTACAATGCACAAAGAATGTAGGGATCCCTCTACATTCTTTGTTCCAGGGACCAAAGGGATGCTACCTTTGAAATATTGAATAGTCTCTGCCAGTGCAGGAAGAGCTTCTAAGCATGTTCTTTGGTTATGCATTGCTATTTAATAGGCAAGAATTAAACTTCAAGAATAATGATTTTCACAGTATCATATAATCTCTCTGGAATACAGCAGTAAATTGATATGGGAATGAAAATTGGACTACAAAGGCTGGTTTTCACTGTTGAGTATTGTCTCTAATACTTTCTTCTTGCCCCCGCAACAAAGAATTTTCCAACCCTCAATGTTAATAGTGCTGAAGTCCAGAAAGCTTTCTTCAGGGATTTTTAAAAGCAGCATTTATTATACTATCTAAAAACAAAGCTACACATACTCATTGTAGAACATATGAGGAAAAACAAAATAACATTACAAAACAGAAAATGAAAATCATTCATAATTCCATACCCAGAGGTAGCATCTGTTAATAGTTTTTCTATCTTACCACCCCCTCCATGTTTAATTACATGTTTTAAAAAGAGGATTGTTGTATGCATATTTGGTTACTTATTTTGCAACTTGCTGCTTTACTATACCTTAAACACCATTCAGTATCACTAAATAGTTTCTGCAAAAATCACTTGGAGTATGGTGTTCTGATTTGCAAATTTATACAGATAATTCAGCCACTCTACTGTGGTTGGATTTTTGGTTATTTCCAAATAAATGATATGATTATGAAGATTTCTGAAGTTACATCCTTCACAATACTAAATATGATTTTCTTAGGATAAAATTCAATGCCCAAAGTGTATTCAGTTTTTTCTTTATTTATGATTTGAATTTTCACACTGTATGCTAAGAAAGTGTTCATCAAGGTTTCTTTCCACCAGCAGCATGTAAAAGCTCCTGTTTCTCACCTCCTTGCCAACTTGAATAAGACAGTGTCTTAAGGTAAAAATCATTATTCTTGAAATTTAATTTTTGCCTATTAAATAGCAATGCATAACCAAAGAATATGCTTAGAAGCTCTTCCTGCACTGGCAGAGGCTATTCAATATTTCAAAGGTAGCATTCCTTTTGTCCCTAGAGGACCTCCCTTAAAGCAATTATTGATTTGTGTCATCAAAAACCAAGTATTCAAGAAGAAGACTCAGACTCTGGCTAAAATCAAAGTATGTGGCTTTCCCAGGAGTCCCATCTGCAAAAGGATCATTGATTTTTGACCTTTTGGGATGTTTCATCTCTCTCTCTCTCCTTTTTAAAAATTCTCCCAATGTTTTATTATGTGCATGGATAACATGAGGAGGATGAGAGTAAAACTGAGGGATAAATGACACAGTTTCCCTGGTTTGTGATTGGTGCATACCAAGCACCTCTCAGGCATATTAAACTTTAAACATTTTAAACAATCAAATAAAAATCAATATGTCTAGGCAGATGTCCTTCTCTACTAATCAGTAAAGGTACTTTGTTTCTGTTTGATTTTATTAAAACATTCCAAATAAGTAAGGACAAGCTTTCTAGAGGCAATTAATTAATACAGCCTCTGTGTTCATATAAAGATGTTTATCTCAAAAGTGTCAGATGTAGTCCACAAATTGCAATCTAATTTGTGTATAAGATTTTAATGATCCAGGTTCTAGATCTTCAAAAATTGCTTTAAGCTCTTCTCTTCTAAATTTGCTTTGACAATTTTTGGGGTGCTAGAAAATGATATACTTTGCATGACAAATTTCATATTCTAGGCACCTAACATAATAGGTACAAATCTCACATTGATATTAACTAAAGGCGGTAAAAATGTCACTTTCTAGATCTTTAAGTGTCAAAAAGCTAAATACGTTTCCCTCTATACTGATACATGATGTATTCATCAGTTTTTGATGTATAACAGCTGACCTCAAGATCGCAGTAGCTTATAGCACAAACATGTATTTTATTGTGCAAGATTCTACATATCTCATGATGCTCTGCTGGCCGTGCTCTAGGTTGCTTGTTGGGTCACGATCTATTCTACCTATTTCTTCATTCACCTTGGATCTGCAGGCACTTGAGACGTATTCTCCTCAGGACAGATGGCAAAAGTGTGAGAGGCCAAGCCAAACACACAGCTCATTTAAAGCCTCTGCTCCTGTCATGTCTCCTAACAGTCCTTTTCCCAAAGCAGGTCAAGTGACCAACACTAACCTCAATGGGAAATATGCTTCGACTCCTCCATGGAGGGTTCTGCAGAGGCACAGTGTCTAAATTAGTTGCTTAGTAATTTAATCTACACCTAGTGCTGTACTGTGCTGTCTTCATTTAGTTTAAATTGGTTTCTATTTTTAACAATCATAATCTGTTCATATGGCTGTTCTTGTGTCCCAATTAAACAGTGATATTCTCAAGGAAGAAATTGTATTTTCTTCTTCGTGCCAACCACAAACATAGCATTTGTAGAGGAAATCTATGAACTCAGCAATAGTTTAAGAAATAAATTTAATAAATTAATACTAGTAACACATTGACAACCCAGTCAAATGGCTGACCAGAGACATATTACACAACTCACTTTAAAAATGTAAGACAAATGTTCTCTAAAAATGAACCATTTAAAATGCCTATGTTTATGATACTATAGTTATAGTCATTTCAGCGAGTCCATTTGAATCTGTTGTCAATATGGCTAATGATAATGATAATAAAAGCACCCAAGAGCAACTTTATAGCCACACTCTCCTAAATTATTTTAACCCACTTTTTCCTGAATCGCACCTCTGTTGTGTTTCACTTTCAAAGAGAAATTGCAAAAATAAAGTAGGAGGTTATTAAGTAAAATGAATACTTAACAACTCCCCAAACCCTCACTGTGGCCTTCTCCTTGAGACCTAAGTGGCAGTCTTGTGATATACGATTCCTCATGATTTTCAGGTTCTGGGTCACAAGAGTGACTCATTTGTTACTAAGACACCTGTCTGCTGCACAATTCCAAATGCAAGAGGAAAATGGGAAAAGGTTCTGTTGTTTTCTATTTCTTTAAATGTTTCATTAGCAATATTTGGAAGAGAAAGACAGATATCTTGTTATTACTTTGAGACTTAAAAAGGTGCATGAATGTCATACAAGTATGTACACACATACACAACTACTTATGTTTATTGGTTGGTACCAACACAAACAAAAGTTTTCTGAGAAGAAATGCCAAAAAAGGAAATGGATAGTAAATCTTTCATTGCCTCTTAAGATGTATTTATGTTCATACATGTCAAAATTTGGGGGATAAGAGGACGTGGATCATAGTCTCTGCTGTGTCAAACTTAAATCATCAAATACTATCAAAATCGTTCAGCGCAATGAGGAAAATCATTTACAAATGAGGATCAGAGACAGTTGCAGGGATCCACAGTCTCTTTTTATAGATCATAAAAATTATGGCTTCCAGAAAGGCAGACGTGGGTTTGAATCCTAACTCCATTACACTTTACACATCTTCAAATATCACAAAGTTACATTTTCTGAGCCTTAGTTTCTTCATCTTTAAAATGATCCCAGAGGGCTGTTGTAAGGACTTACAGATGCATAAAGCAGATAGTTTAATGTGTGGCAGCAAGCCAGGTTCCAGTCAAATTGTGTTCCCCAAAATGGCCACACAGAATTAAAGAAAATTTAAAGTTAAATCAAATTGCATTTATAGTTTTAGCATTAAAACTAAGGTGGAAGTAGGACACAAACCCATCTCTGAGCATATTTACTTCTAATAAATAAATGTAGTGATTGAGGACTCATCCTTTAACACACACACTTATAAATAGATCATGAAAAGCAGAATGACTATTTTAGGCTATGTTGTACAGCAGAAAAATCCTGGCCTTTGAAGTCAGAAATTTATCATTTACCAGGTGTGTACCTCAGACAAATTATTTAACCTTCCCAAGCCTTGATTTCCTGATCGGTAATTGTAGTACATTTATGGGGGAACACTGTGTTTCAGGCACTGTATTAAACCTGTCAACATGTTTATGCACTAGTTTATTAATTCATCCGGCATCTTCAAGATGTTAGCCATTGTGAGAAGCCCTGAGTATAGAGGGGTGAATGGTATTATCACCATCCCAACTTTCAGCCAGGTAGAGGAAACATGATTTCACCCTTTGTGGTACTTTCTCATTTTAAAATTGCATATTAATAGTAAATGGTAAAAAGGATTCTGGGAGAGATAAAAGTACAGTGAGACAGGCATTTAAATAGGGTTAAAAGTGATGTCTTCTCTAGTGAGGCTTTATTTAAGTTGAGACTTGATGGATGAAATGCAACTAAGCAAACAATGTTTGGACATGGAAGACAGCTTGTTTGAAGCATAAACAAAAACTCTAATACTCCTTAAAATGAACCTATTTAAATGTGAAAAAAAAATTCTGATGTTGTGATTCCATGTAAAGCTGTTAGATTTCTAAAGACATAGGTTGAGTCTAAGCTCTATTTCTTAATGGACTTTAATATTTCATTAACTTTTCTGAGACTTTGTTTCCTCATTTTGATTTTCAGTAAATATTAACTTTCTTATAACCTCTGTTCCCCATTATTCAGTCTTGGCATGTTGAAATAGATAGAAGGTGATAGCTTGTAAGTAAGAGAGGTGATGACAGAGAAGTCACTGAAAATCATGTATTCACTTAGTGCACATAATCACCCAGAAATTTTAGATATTTATGTAACTTTAAATTTTGTTCATGCTTACAATAACAGAAAAAATAGTACTGTAGTCTACTCGTGGATAATACTGACGCACATCAATCTTATTTATTTTCCTAAGCATACAGAATTACTACATTTCCAAGCTTCCCTTGCAGTTAGATTGGGATCATGTGGTTAGATTCTGACAACTGCAATAGGGACGTACACATATTCCACTTACAGGTTTGGCCATAAACTAATTTATACAATTGTCCATGCTATGTCTTTCCATTCCATGAAAATTGAGGAGGTCATATGTAATGGTGAGCAGAAAAAGTCCGAATCCCTAAGTCATAATTTGGAGAAGAGCCACCAGGAGACCTAGATTCTGCCATGTGAGCAACAAATAAACTTGAACCACTGAGATTGGGGATTGTTTATTGTAACAGCTAACATCCCATATCCTGACTAATGCACTAATCGTATGCATGTCAGAGGCTATTATGGCAAAAAGACTTTGAATAAAAATTTGATATTTAAGGAAGTTATTATCTCTTTTTTTCTAATCCTTTCTTTTAAAAAAGGTACATTACAATCCATCCTCTTTTCTTAATTAAAAATCCATTTTTGAGACCATCTTAAAATGAATCAGATAGGATGGGGTTTGAGAGACCAAAGCACTCATACTCCATTAGGTTGTGTTTTAGCCACAAGATGATGACTAAAATCCCAGTATATTTCTGTCTTTATTCTTTGTAAATAAATGCAAATGGCTAATGCCCCCATAAAATATGAACAAAAGGAGTCCATAATAAAGGCAAAGAAAGCTCCACTACATTAGATGTATTTTGCACAAAAGAATTAAAATACACATACACACACAGAGGAGAGAGAGAGAGAGACATACAAACTTTCTACAACACTGACATTTCCATTGTCCTGAGAAATGGCCCTTTTCTAGGAACATATAATTATTAAAATCCTTAGGCCTAATTGGAAACCAGTGGTGTAGGTTAACATGGTGGATGACCACCAAGGAGAGAGTGTAATATAGTGAAAAAGGAAAGGACATGGGGTCAGGCCTGAACTTTGCCTGTTTCTATCTGTATCATTTAGGTAAGGCATGAGTTTCCCCATCTGAAAAGACAAAATAATTATTTTTTCAGTATAGTCTTTTTTGTTTTTTTTTGTTTGTTTTAGACAGGAGTGAAGTGGCATAATCTCAGCTCCCTGCAACCTCTGCCTCCCGGGCTCAAGTAATTCTCCTGCCTCAGACTCCCTAGTAGCTGGGATTACAGATGCACGTTACCATGCCTGGCTAATTTTTGTATTTTTAGTAGAGACGGGGTTTTGCCATGTTGGGTAGGCTGGTCTCAAACTCCTGGCCTTGAGTGATCTGCCTGTCTTGGCCTCCTAAAGTGCTGGGATTACAGGCATGAGACACCACACTCAGCCAGATTTTTTTTTTTTTTTTAAGTATAGTCTTGAGCACTAAATTACTAGTCTGACATTTCTCTGCCTTTTTAATTCTTAACACTCTGGGTGCTGTGCTTGAAAGAGAATTACACGATTTTGCAGATTTATGTTCTTTATCCTAAAGGCTATTCTGTACCCTAAGGATTATTAGACAATTCTTCATAGATCTCTGGTCAGCTACCTCCCACATATCTCAAAACATCCATTACAAAACTTTAATCACTTCCTTCTGACTCTCTATTCTACTACTCTCAGTCGCTGTCCTGGCCTCTTGGAGGCTGCAGGGCATGAACCTACCTCCTGCCATATCATGGACATTTCTATTTCTTCAACTTCACTTTCCACGATCAAGGAAGAAGTCCCTTCTCTCTGGGCAGAGACTAATCTGCCTTCTTGTGCTCCTGAACTCATTCCTTGTGTCTCATATGTGAGCTTGTTTGGTTGGTGGTGATTCATCCTCTCCTGCTCCTTCAATCTTCCCTCTCATCTGCCGCTCCTCCACAGCATATCAATGCACTGAAATCTTCGCATGAGGGAAAAAATAAAGACAGAGAGGGTATTTCCCCTCATTTTTATTTTTTGTTTTGCTTCTCCAATCTTGCTCCTTTCTGTCATTAGCAAGCCCCTCCTATGAACAATGGTATCAACTTATTCTTCTTTTACATCTATTGCAGGAAGCCTTCTCCCTTGTTTGCAGCACTAGAGCTGCTCTGGAAAATGATCTTCTAATTGCCAACTTGAAGTTAGTCCATTCAATTCTTTTTTTATTTAACTTCTCTGTAGCATTTGATGCTGTTGAGATTCTGTCTTGACACTATCACTTCCTTTCCATTTCTGATATTTGGTTTATTTATTTTCCCTCCTACCCCTTTGATCTTTTTCCTTATTTAAATAGTCTATGATATACTATCTTTTGGCTAGCATTTTAAATGCTGGCATCGGCCAATACTCTATTTGTCAGCTTCTTTTATTCTCTGCATTTTTCTTTTTAAAATTTTAACCATTTCCTTTATTTTCACTACAACTGACATGAAAATATTTCCTAAGTTTGTGTCTCCAGCTTAACTTCCCTAATTCTAGACTCAATAGTCTACTCAACCTCCACACTTAGATGTCCAGCAGCCATCTCCAGCTTGACATGTGAAAACTTCAATCTTCACTGCTCTTCCTCTAACAGCTCTTTCTCTTTCAACCTTGGTTGACAGTGTAACTTTGACACTTTTAGGCTTTCTGCTTTATCTAAAGTTGCTTAAGAGTCTCAAATTTCAATTTCTTCATCTATAAAATGAGAATAATGCTAGTCAATGGAATAGAATGATATAATAATGACAAGAAAAACTATAATTTACTGCCTATTAGTTTTATTCTATGTGCCAATCACAGTCTTGATATTTTACAATGGTTATTATTTATGGAAGGAGAGTAGGGTGTGTAAGTGGTTATTGCTTTTGCAACTAGGAGCCTGGGATTTGAAACACTCTTCTGTTTTAATTCCATTCTCACTGAAGCATAGAACTTCAGTGTCTATATCAGATGGTGCTTTTCCGGGAGAGAGAAAAGCTATTCTTTCAAGTCTATATTCTTGGAATCTTGGACAGTTTCATTCTTCCTCTACCCTAAGCAAATCTTTAAACCTATGGGATAATTCTGCATACCAAATTTGCAATCCATAGTTGGATTCTTGATTTCAGTGATTAACACTTAAATAATCATCAAAATTTCAAAGACATATGTAAAAACTGATATCCAATTTTCCAAACCATAACCAGTCAGCTAATAGAATAAAAAAATAGAAAATTATGGCTTTGCTTTGGTATTGTGAGACCGAACATACCCAACTCAGGTGCAGATAGAATAGAAACCTTTTATGAACATAGGAAAGACTTATTATTTATAAACAAAATAAATACCATTAGTATTTGCCTTTCAATATTAATTCTCCTACCAGTGATTTTCAAGTTAATCCCACTGATTTATAAAATAACTTGGATTTCTTAATATTTTGCAGCACCTCATCACTTTCACATGGTGAGCTAATTCAGTAGCAATGGGCTCTATGGGCTCACAAATCAATGCTTCTTAAGCTCTTTATTAGCTTTTTTTGGTTCATTTATTTAATTTTACATTATGTGCCAAATTTAATCACTGACAAAATCTTCCCAGAAAAATTCATGAATGCAACTTCACAAATACTTGTCAAATATCAAATATTACTTGAAGAAATAACAGGCCATCTGAAGCCCATCTATTAACCCCTTATGAATCTACAGACCCTAGGTCAAAATTCTTTTGTATTAAAAGATCTTGGAGGGTCTAGGAATCCAAGCTTCTCCAAATACAGGAAGCAGCCAAATTCATTAACTACATATCCATTTATATAATTTTATAAAGTCATTTACTCAATTTTTTTTCACAATATAACTGGTTTCCTCAAGCTTTCTTAAAGTCTAACAATTATTTAGAAGGGTTTCTGTTTGGAATTAAAGAATTTTGCTGGCCAGGCACAGTGGTACACACCTGTAATCCCAGCACTTTGGGAGGCCGAGGTGAGTGGATCACCTGAGGTCAGGAGTTCGTGACCAGCCTAACACGGTGAAACTTCATCTCTACTAAATACAAAAAAATGAGCCGGGCATGGTGGTACATGCCTATAATCCGAGCTACCTGGGAGGCTGAGACAGGAGAATCACTTGTACCTGGGAGGTGGAGATTGTAGTGAGCTGAGATCGTGCCATTGCACTACAGCCTGGGCAACAAGAGTGAAACTCCATCTCAAAAAAAAAAAAAATTGCCAGAAGTCAATAAATGAAGCACTTTTTTTTTTCTCTGTCTGTTGGGGGAGACTGTATCTTTATACTTTTCAGAGAAAATCTTTGGACCTGAAGAATTAACATTAACCATTAAGAAGCAAAATGGAAAAAGAGACACATGTGGTACTGTAATAGTCTATACACTGTAGAAAAGTCAAGAATATTTGTTTTTATTTATTTTATAACATGGTTATTTTCAAAGCATGTTTTTGACTTGTCTAAGTGGATTATATGAAATGTTTTACATTTAGCTTCAAAGTCTTTTGCAGATGCAGTCACTAAACTATCATTTATGGAGAAACAATTTAAGTTTTCACAAACTGCTATTGGTTGTATAAAACAAATCTTATGAGGTATTTTTCTAAATTTCAAAATGATACATATAATACATATTCTTCTTTAATGAATGTTGTTCTCATTATTTTTCTGCCTTGCATTTTCTTTAACAATTTCTAATTTAATGCTTAGTGATATTGAGCCAGGATTCAGAGATGCGGAGGTTTTGGGACTTGGTCTCAAATAGAAGTTTATAAAGTGAAAAGAAGACATCTCAGACACAAGTGGGAAGGGCAGGCAAAATCATAAAGATGTGAAATACCACCACGTTTCATAACACATTCCCTTACTCCAAGCACAATCAATTCATTTAAAAAATTTAGGGTTGCAACATTGGTATGTCTTATGTGTCTTTTTGTTTTGGTCATGGGTTTATCATATCTAAATGATAAAGAATTCCAAACATAGCAACAACCATCTTTTCATCTTCATTTTCAATCTACAACCACTAACAGACCCACCGTACATTATGTAACGATGCTGCTATCCAACATTTAATAAGTTCTTATAATGTCCACACATGATGTGTGATTTGCATTGTGTCAATAAACTTGCTCAGTGACTCTATGCAGCTAGTAGATACTATGTTTTATTTAAGAGGGGAAATTAAAGCTCAGAAAGATGATATAAAAAATCCAAGACCAAACAGCTAAGGGCAGACCTAGGATTTGAATCCAGACATGGCTTCAGAGCAGATATCCTTATTCACTGTAGCATTGTTTGTGATATAGTGGCAACTTTGAACAGAAAATATAGCAAACCTATAGCATTTTCCCCGTTTGAACTTTAATCATCTTCTTTTTCCTTTATCTTATTATACCTTTATTCTCCTACCCCTCTAGCCTCACCACTCCCCTCCATACAATTAGAGACCCATCTTTTGGGATTAGAGACAGATGTTCCAAATCACAGTGGGATAATTTTTTTTTTCTTATGGGATCACTGACCTATATTTTCCTTTGCCATAGGACTCTATTTCTGGAATTCTGATGCTTATACAAAGGGGGAAATTCTCCCTTTGTGTTTATGAATACTTGCTCCTCTCTTTTTCTCTGTTTAGCTTTTTTCATTGGTCTGATAGACAGAAACCCTCTTCCTCATTGCATTTTGGTAGCAGTTAAATAGAAATATAAAATAATAAGCTAGATAGGTACAAAAATATTATCTTTCCATTACTAATACAAGCTGATATTAGAAAATATAGCTAATATTTCTAGGAAGAATATCTTTCAAATAGTTAAAACTAAACAAACATTGCTCAGTCCCACATAACACTGGTCTGGGACAAACTGCAACCCCACGAGGGCAGAGTATACTCCATGGCTTCTACAAGCAACTTGTACCTAGAAGGAAAAGGAAAAAGAGCAAGGGGCTTATACACACATTGTTTATCATTCCAAACTACCAAATCAAATGTGTCCTCCTTACCCACAAGAGAGGAACTCATTTGGGGGCAGGAGGAAAGAAGCCAGAGGAGTCTCTGACAAATGGAACAAAACTTCTGAAGTGGAGAACTGCCTTCCCATTCAACATTCGCATATTGTTAAAATAGTATAAAGATTCAATTGTGAGATGAGCCAAATAAAAGCTGTGGCTATCACCAATAGGAAGACAGTATAAAATTAGAATGAAGGCAAATGCCACCCAAAATGATCTTTTAAAGTGGAAAATGGAGGGCATTTCTTTAATCTAGAGAGATTGCTCCCTTGAGATAGATAAAAGTGGCCAGTAAATTTATTATATTTCTACTATATAATCACAGTTTTTATAAGTGTTTTCTGAAATTGTATAACCTGACCAAAACATCTCAGGTCAGAAAAGTATTGAAAATGATTCTTCGGATGCTTTGGTTTAATGTTTGAAAGATGATAGGATTATGATTTGTCCTAAACTGCTCAACAGAGCACACATTTTAAGAGCAAAGCACATTATAAAAAAAAGTGTCTGTTTCTTTTGTCAATTGCTATGATCCCAAAAAGAGCTGTTGAAAATTGAAGAATAAGAGAACAGACCTCTTCTTTTGTTGTAGGAGAAAGTTTAAAAAAAATTTAAGAGGCGAATAATAGCTGAAAGTTGAGATTTGGCAGACTGTATGATATGATCTGATTTTCAATCAATCCTGAAACTGAGAATTTAAACACCTCCATCTGATATCAAATAGAAATGACCCACCGGTCATGCGGTCAGTATTTCTGTGCTCAGGATGTCTTGCAATAGAAGATTTTCCGCTTTATTTTATTCTTTCTCCAGCTCTAGCACATTCCCAAACTCCCTTACCTGCTTTTTGTCCAAGCCAATAGCTTGATGAGACAGAGCTGCAGAGTAGAAATAGTGTTAGGATAAAGTAGAATGCTCTTCAATATCAACATGTTTAGTTCTACAGTTATAGGAGAACTATCTGTGAGCTTCCAATTAATGTGTAATTGAATGATAATACTATGTTGCTGCTTTGCTATGAACTATTTTTAATCTATGCTCTGGATAATTCATTAGAGCAGGTGTGTGCTTCTTGTCACCCAATGTGTCTTAGAAAAATAGCACTGTGGCATGGCACATAATAAAATGTCAATTAATTTTTCAGGCTGGGTGCGGTGGCTCACACCTGTAATCCCAGCACTTTGGGAGGTTGAGGCAGGTGGACCACTTGAGGTCAGAAGTTCGAGATCACTGTGGCCAACATGGTTGAAACCTTGTCTCTACCAAAAAGTACAAAAATCAGCCAGGCACGATGGTGTGCACCTGTAGGTGCAGCTACTCGGGAGGTTGAGGCACAAGGATTGCTTGAGCCTGGGAAGCAGAGGCTGCAGTCAGCCGAGATTGGGCCATTGCACTCCAGCCTGGGTGACAGGGTGATACTCTGTCTCAAAAAAAAAAGAAAAAAAATCAATTAACTTTTTAATTGAATTATATTAAATTGAGCAGTAGAATGAAATATGAAAATGTATGTAGAGCCTGAGTCACACACAATGTAACACTTGTTTCCCAAGTGTTGAATTCTGTCATTTTTGTTTCAGTAACCTACATGGAGGACACTTGTGTAGAAAATGGCACGAGATGTTTAAAGGAATAGAGAAGTGTGTCATACTTTTTATTTTTGCATTCATAAATCTGAGAAGATAGGAAACCAGCAAAATTTATCCTTTTTCTGAGTTTAAGGAATTTGGGGTAGATTCAACACTGCTTAAAAAAAGTAGGAATTTATCTCACTCACCACACACACTTATTTTTTGTTCCAAAATAAGGTGTATGATTATAACTTCATTTATAAAGATTTTTAAATTAAAAAGATATATATATATATATTTGCACAACACCTTGTTGCATAAAGAGCTAATTTAAAAAAATTTAATTAGTAGGCCAAATAAATATATTATGGTGGATAAAAGCTCAGATTTTGGAGTTCTTGCAGCTGAAGTTTAATCACCTGTGGGACCTTGGAAAAATTACTTAAGTTCTCTGAGCCTCATTATCCTCATTTTGTAGATCGGGAATCAAATCGTACCTGCCTCATATTGCTGTTGAAGCTAAGACACCACATGTAAAGCACTCTTTGCGGAGGTAAATAGAAAATGTTAGTTAATTTTGGCTTTTGTTTTTATAAGAGAACACCTATTTTTGTCTCAGGCATTATAATAGGCAGATAGTATCACTTATAAACATAATTAGAAACTGAAGGTGAGACAAAATGACTTGTTTGAGGTCACAAGACTAGTTCGTGTAAAACAAAGACTAACATCCCAGGTCTTTTGGGCATTAGTACACCTTCCTTTTCTTTTCTTTTCTTTTCTTTTCTTTTCTTTTCTTTTCTTTTCTTTTCTTTTCTTTTCTTTCTTTCTTTCTTTCTTTCTTTTTTTCTTTAAGTTCTGGAATACATGTGCTGAACATGCAGGTTTGTTACATAGGTGTACATGTGCCAGGTGGTTCGCTGCGCCTATCAACCCGTCATCTAGGTTTTAAGCCCTGCGTTCATTAGGTATTTGTCCTAATGCTCTCCCTCCCTTTTCCCCACCACCCCCGACAGGTCCCAATGTGTGATGTTCCCTTCCCTGTGTCCATGTGTTCTCATTGTTCAACTCCCACTTATGAATGAGAACATGCCGTGTTTGGTTTTCTGTTCCTGTGTCCAGTTTGCTGAGGATGGTGGTGTCCA
Organism: Homo sapiens; assembly: GCF_000001405.40. Lineage (NCBI taxonomy): Eukaryota > Metazoa > Chordata > Mammalia > Primates > Hominidae > Homo > Homo sapiens. The sequence continues at coordinate 59,312,892 of NC_000016.10, forward strand.
GCTTTATCCATGTCCCTGCAAAGGACATGAACTCATTCTTTTTTATGGATGCATAGTATTCCATGGTGTATATGTCCACTAGCACACTTTTCAAGATGCAACAAATCCAAGAGGGTATGTTGCTCAATAGTATAGCAGTTTGGTACCACAATTATGGACTATGCTAAAAGTGATCAAAGGAAGATAAGACTCTTCCTCCCCACCTTCCCCTACCCCCACCCCATACACACATTTTAACTTTGAAGAGTTTAAAATTGTGTGCCTTGTTGTAGGTGTTAATGATGACACTGGCCACAGGGGGGCTGATCAGATGGGAGAACCTCACAAGGCCTCCCTTCCTTCTGGGGTCCACATAAAGGCATGGAGCCAGAGTCCCAGGTATTATAATAGCAAGTCTGATTGTCCAGAGTGTAGCTTCACTCATGGCATCAAGTCTGCAAGGTAGAAATTAACATCCCCATTTTATAGATGAGCAAACTAAGGCACAGTATGACTAGACAACTTGCTTAAGACCACAAAGCTAGTAAATAGTAGAGATGTTATTAATGCCAGACAAAGTCAATCCAGTGTAATTGTCCTCAAGCAGTGTGTATTATATTTCTAAGGTACTTTTGTGCAAATATGCTGCTATATAGATATATTAAATTATAAGATTCATTTATCTGGGATGTGCACGTGGCAGAACAATGCTAGCTGGTAAATTTTAAGATTATCCCAAGGCTATAGAAAAAAATCTTCAAACTTTTTTGGGTGTTAGGCCTCTTAACTGTGAGATGGCATAGTAGAATAGAAATTTTAGGACTAGGTAAGTTCTGGATGGTATTGAAGTTCAAAGATTTTTTTATAATCAGTCAAGTATTAGAATGCCTTGACTTGAATGAGTGATTAACTATCAATAAATAGTCAGTCTGTGACTATTATCTTATACCAGTAGAGACTCTATATAGTTTTCAGGTTTTAACCACATTTCTGGTGCCTGATAACCATCATACTGCTTCTTTGGAATAGGGTGTTTTTTTGTGCTAATAACCATGGTGTTTATACTACATCTATTTTAGAATGATATTTTAATATTTAGGATATGAATTATTTACAAAATCATATGTGTTGTGTGGTCTGATCCTGTCTCCAACAACCTCACAATATACTTGAACACTAATAACCAGAAAAAAAGACCCTGCATACCTGTAACTAACTAAAAAGCCTGAGAGTTATCTCACTGGTGGGCAGGCTGGAAACCAAGCTTGATACAACCTTTGTACTTTTATGTACTTTGTTTTCTCAATCACATAAAAGAAGGGGATGTCAGATCTGTGTCATAGCATTCCCCTCTTAAACACCTTGGAATACCTGTTATAGAGGTTCCTTATGTTTCAGTTCAATCCTTTCTCTAGATCATACAGAAATAAAAATGTAAAGAAGTCAAACACAAAATGAGAATAGTAAATCGACAGGAAAAGTGCTCAGAAACCATGAGGCCAAATCTACCATAGAAACTCTTTGGTCTTTTAGGCAGGACACAGTTTTGAAGTTCAAGGGCAGAGTCCTTGTGTTAAAAGGTGAATATTTTCAGAGTTAAAAGCGACGATCTTTTATATGTTTTTTAAATGTCTCTGCAAAGCCCCAAAGACCCAGAAAAGAAATAAAGGGGTACTTTATTCCCCTCTCATTTCTCATTTTGTTTTTCTTTGTTAATAAGGACGTGGAGCTACAGTTGAGGTTATGACTGTGACCTCTTTGTAGTGTCCCATTAGAGAATAGGACCCATTTTCAGGGAGCAGTTGTGCTGAAATAAGAACCAGTGCTCATTCTAAGATGTAGCCTGAACTGGCCAGCTCAGAACTGAGGATATCTGTGTCACATCTTTAGAACAACGAAGGTGGAAATATGGCCAGGGTGAAGGTAGAAGTCACAGAGGAACAAACATTTGTCCTCTGATAAATCCTACTGCACTGAAAGTCATCATGAGGTACTTCTGAGCGATGACATTACGATTTCTTGCCCCAAGAGTACAACTGAAGCAAAAAACCTAGAAACAGAAGTTGAACTTCAGACACAGTTTTTAAAAAGAAAAATCTAAAGACATAGCAAAGATGACTGTTTGACATTCTCTCTCTCTGGCAAAATTACCCCTGAGGTAATGATTACTTGATTCTTTGGTCAAAGGGGAAATAGAAGGCTAATACAGAGAAAAAACTATTATAGGCAAAAATGTCAGGCTGGGTGGAAGAAAGTTTTGGGGAATGGAGATGAGAAATAAAATCTAGTCCAAAATGTTACTGTGCAATTAAATAGAATAAAATATATACTAATACAAAAGGAAATTTGTGACATATTCTTGAGTCTAAAAAGTACATAGATCTACCTTTTTTTCACATGTCCATATATGTATGTACACATATTTATGGACACATACACATATAAAATTCCTTCAATGATTATAGCTGGGGAATGAGGATAGAAGATGACTCAAGGGGAAAATGTTCCTTTTAAAAAAATAGACATCATTTTGTGTTTGAATTTTTTCAAGGTTTAAATGCCAAATTTTTAATAGAGCAACAATTTAAAAGTATATCATGTGGGAAGACACTGCAGTATATTTAAAAAGGAATAAATTTTGTTCTTTTTAGGTCAACTTGGGAAATAATACTTTCATCCTCTTCTCTAGTGTGTGAACTCAAACGGGGCAGGATCTGTCTTTAAAAATTTGGAATTTCCAGCATTGACCATTTACTCTGGCAAGTATGCAGTCTCAATAAGTTTTTGTTGAATGAATGGCACAGTGAATGGACAAATGAATGGAGAGAACTGAATAGCTAAATGGCGAAGTGAGGGCTTTCCATCCAGATCCTTCAGTTCATCTGACTTTCAGAGTTAAATGTGGTATTCTCTGAGGACCCTCCTTGAGCAGGGAGTAAAGACAATGGCTGTTCTGGAGCAGAAGCTGTCCTGGAAGAGGAGCAGGGTCATCTTTCTGCTCATTGACAGCCCTTTGGTTGACATGTCCAGCAGCTGAAGATAGAGAGAAAAGCTGTGAAGTTTCTTTCTTTCTTTGTTTTTTTTTTTTTTTTTGAGACGGAGTCTTGCTCTGTCACCCAGGCTTGAGTGCAGTGGCGCGATCTGGGCTCACTGCAAGCTCCACCTCCTGGGTTCACGCCATTCTCCTGCCTCAGCCTCCCGAGTAGCTGGGACTACAGGCACCCGCCACCAACACCGGCTAATTTTTTCGTATTTTTAGTAGAGACGGGGTTTCACCGTGTTAGCCAGAATGGTCTCGAGCTCCTGACCTCGTGATCCACCCGCCTCGGCCTCCCAAAGTGCTGGTATTACAGGTGTGAGCCACCGCGCCCGGCTGAAGTTTCTGTGATTAGCCAGAATTGGATTCTGGTGAGCAAAACAGATAACATTTGTTTATATTAATCTCATTTATAAATTAGATAAGTCACAGTCACAGATATTATCAAATAGGTCTCAATATGTAGATCAGAAGGAGAAGGTATAGAATATGATTCTTTAATACAATGAAAATTATTATTAACTAATAGGAATATTTCAACATTAAGTGATAAAATGAGAACAATTCCTCCAGAAAAAAGTAGAGCTAATTTGTATTAAGCGCATGCTACATGCCAGCTTAGTTTGTGGTACTTTACATGAACTGGGCATTAGTGTTTATTTGTTTGTTTGTCTTCTTTAAATACAGTGAGGAACTGGAATTGGGGGCAGAGTAATTAAAACGCAGGACTACAATTCAAAGTTAACTAAATTTTTAAATCTGCATCTTTAGCTGTGATGAGGGCAAGAAAAGTAACCTCTTGTATGGAGAGGAGGAAGGCAGAGAACAAAGAATAGAATTTCCATTACTTCTTAGAGATAGGGTTTTTATAAAGACAGATACTCTCGACCCAGCAATCCCACTACTGGGCATCTACCCAGAGGAAAAGAAGTCTTTACACGAAAAAGATACTTGCACATGCTTGTTTATAGCAGCACAATTCACAATTGCAAAAATGTGGAACCAGCCCAAATGCCCATCAATCAATGAGTGGATAAAGAAACTGTGATATATAAATATATATATATATATATATACACGCACACATATATATACACACACACATACACACACACACACACACACACACACACACACACACACACACATATATATGATGGAATACTACTCAGCCATAAAAAGGAATGAATCAACGGCATTCGCAGCAACCTGGATGAAATTGGAGACTATTGTTCTAAGTGAAGTAACTCAGGAATGGAAAACCAAACATATGTTCTCACTCATAAGTGGGAGCTAAGCTATGAGGATGCAAAGGCATAAGAATGACACAATGGACTTTGGTGACTCAGGGGGAAAGGGTGGGAAGGGAGTGAGGGATAAAAGACTACAAATTGGGTGCACTGTATACTGCTTGGGTAATGGGTGCACCAAAATCTCACAAATCACCACTAAAGAACTTATTCAGCCAGGCACAGTGGCTCACGCCTGTAATCCCAGCACTTTCGGAGGCCGAGGCAGGTGGATCCCTTGAAGTCAGGAGTTTGAGACCAACCTGGCCAACATGGTGAAACCCTGTCGCTACTAAAAATACAAAAATTAGCCAGGTGTGGTGGCCGGCACCTGTAATCCCAGCTACTTGGGAGGCTGAGGCAGGAGAATTTCTGGAACCTGGGAGGCAGAGGTTGCAGTGAGCCGAGATCACACCATCGCACTCCAGCCCCGGCAACAACAGCGAAAATCTGTCTAAAAACAAACAAAAAAAGAACTTATGTGACCAAACACCACCTCTTCCCCAATAACCTATGGAAATAAAAAAAATTTAAAAAAGGACAGATACTCTCAAACTATTCCTCATCTCCTGATAGTATTTGTGATGTGAAAACCTGGGTTTTCATCTTGCCCTTCTTGTCTGTTGGGGTGTCTGTCTGTCTGTCTGTCTGTCTCTCTCTCTCTCTCTCTCTCTGTGTGTGTGTGTGTGTGTGTGTAATATCTACAGGTTGGCTTCTCTGGGAAACAAGACAAGACAGAGTAAGGAGTGCAAAAAGTATACTGGGAGTAACACCTGGGGATCTCCAGAACGGATATGAGAACTGGCTAAGCCCAAGGCTATTTACCATACTGCCTTGCCAGGTCTTGGCCAGGGAATGCTTGAGAAGAAAATAACTTAGGCTGTAAAGCTCACATAACCCCAAGGAAGCTAAGATCTAGAGGACATTAGCCAATTGCACCGCTTGTACCAGATGATGAGTTCTTTCTTGAAGGAAGATTTGTGCAGTGTATCTCCAGCTCTCATTTCAGTCTAATAGATTTGGACCTCCTGGTAATATTTGTTGATCAAGTTTTGAAAATGTATGAAAATATATAATTGTTCTTCTTGTCTTTACACAAGCTTATGTGACAAATGGATATGTCCAGATTCTTAAAGTGATTGTAAAATAAAACCAGTATTTCATCTCAAAGAGTGATTTTTATCATTTCACCAATCTTTGGTTATTGCATGGAATTTTACATTTCTGAATTTCAGACTACAACTACTAACTCTTTAAAAAATTTCTTCTATAAATTTATGGGTACAGGTGTGGTATTGTTACATGCATAGGTTGCACAGTGGTCATGTCAGGGCCTTTAGGGTATCCATCACCCAAATAACATACATTGTATCTTTGAAGTAATTTCTCATCCATCCCCCTTCCACCCCTCACCCTTCAGAATCTCCATTGTCTGTCATTCCATACTCTACATCCACATGTATACATTATTTAGCTCCCACTTATGAGTGAGAACATGTGATATTTGTCTTTCTATGTCTGACCCACTTCACTTAAGATAATGGCCTCCAGTCCTAACCATGTTGCAAAAGAAATACTTTTATCCTTTTTGATGACTAAATATTATTCCATTGTGTGTGTCTGTTTGTGTATGTATTCCTTTTTTGTGTTTGTTTCTATTTAGTGTGTCCACATTTTCTTTATCCAATCATCCACTGATGAACACTTAGGTTGATTCTATATCTTTGCTATTATGAATAGTGTTGTGATAAACATATGAGTGCAGCTATCTTTTTATATAACAATTTTTTGTTGTTGAATAGATATCTGGTAGTGTGCCTGCTGGATCAAATGGTTGTTCTACTTTTAGTTCTTTGATAAATCTCCATACTGTTTTCCATAGAAGTTGTACCAATTTGCGTTCCTGCCAACAGTGTATAAGAGTTCTATTGTCTCTACATCCTGAGAAACATCTGTTATTTTGCAAATACTAACTCTTAAAACATATTTTTCAGCTGTAAACTCTTTATAACATTTTAATTTAAGTAATATGGCCAGAATATCTATTAGTATTTTTATTACTAATAATTTTAATCAATGTAAAAATTTTGAATCCACTATATATTTATTCAGATATGGTAGACATGATGCCAGCCATGATTTAACTCATGCTTTGGGAAGTGGACAAGAAAATCATTTGGTTAAGTATTTAATTTAGTCAGCTACTTTTTGTAAAGAATTTCAGATTTCAAGATAAATAATATCTGAACTGAGTGTTTAAGGAGTAGGAGAGGATCACCAAGTGAAGAAGGGGCAAGGGAGCTCCAGAAAGGTAATTTATCACATCAAAGGAGTGAGGAATAGAGTGTGTGACCCCCCTAAGGACAGGAGTGAAGTTTGCATAAAGAGATGGTGAAAAACTCACTGGATCTAGATGGTGAAGGGTCCGTATGACAAGGCTGCCTTAAGAAGCAGTTAAGAGTATGGCTTCTGGTGTCATAAAGAACTGGACTCTAATCACTGTTCTGTCATTTTCCAAATAACAATGATGACTTTGTATAGTTCCTCTATCTTCAGTTTCCTCATCTGTACAATGGGAATGGTAAAGCCTACTTTAAATATTAAGTGATATGAATATAAAGTACTTATTCTAGTGCTTGGCATATAGTCAACATTCAATGATTAGGTAATATTTAAAAATCGGGCTATACATATCATTAATGTTATAATTATTTTATATTTCCGTACCATATTTCATCAATTAATAGTAATCAGTAAACATGTATATCTCCCCTTTATATAAGACCTTCTTCCATATGGCAGGATCCTCATGGCAGCCTGCAGTCTGAGCAGTGGGAGGGAGATTCAGAAATTGCCTTTACTACTGGAAGCAGATTGCATGGTACTAATTAGATATGCAGAGGGGAGCACAGCAAATGTCTCCACAGCACTCATTGCTTTGGCTTGCTTTCACAACACCTCCTAGAGGAACAGTCTTCACCTGCCTGTTTATTGTATATCGTTTCCTATAAGTTAGTGAAAAGCCTGTGGCTATAATCTTGAAATAGTTAAGAGAAATAAACAACTCAAATAAAGTCCTTAGTTTATGCTTGTTTTCCTCTCTCTCTAATAATTAGGAATAAGTCATGCCCTGGATTTATTCTCAAATGGGAAATGTTTGTAAAACTAGCAAGACACAAGCAGCTTAACAGTAGGACAGTAGATGGCAAGTTTTTGCCAATCACACATTACTTTTCTCCTGCCCTCACCTTCTACACACCTGCCTTCAAACTTAACCAGAATATGTGGTTATGTGTTCATTTCATGAGTGTGAGATGACCCAAAACTTCAACATGTCGATGAATAAGGACACGTATAGAATAGTGGTGCCTCCTAGTTTGTGGTTCCACTTTTAGTCAACTGACCCCTATACCCATCCTTAATACTACTTCCAGTGTGACTTTAAGAATGCAAATCTGATAATGCAGCCACCCTGCTTCAAAACCTTAAGGAGTTCACTCTTGCTTTCTAGATGAAGTTCAAATTTCTTAGCTTAGTGCTCAGGCTATTTTAGATTTAGGCTCCAACTACTGCCAATCTCATCTGACATTCTTTCATGTTGCGTGGTTCACTGCAGTTGGAGTGAGCTACTAGAGGCAGCACATTTGCATGACACTGGAGCCCCTCTTTTGTTTCCTCTAATGCTCACTGATATTTCAAAAGTAACTCTAGGGTTGTCACTTTTTCCTAAATGCCTTTCTTGACACCCTACCTGACCTGGCTACATTTGGGTTCTCTTTTCTCTGTTCCCATAGATACCTGAATAAACAGCCTGAAGAGTAATTATAGGGCTGGGCATGGTGGCTCATGCCTGTAATCCCAGCACTTTGGGAGGCTGAGGCAGGGGGATAATGAGGTCAGGAGTTCGAGACCAGCCTGGCCAATATGGTGAAACCCTGTATCTACTAAAAATACACACATAAGCCGGGCATGGTGGCGTGCGCCTGTAGTCCCAGCTACTCAGGAGGCTGAGGCAGAAGAATTGCTTGAACCCAGGAGGCGGAGGTTGCAGTGAGCTGAGATCATGCCACTACACTCCAGCCTGGGTGACGAGTGAAACTCCGTCTCAAAAAAAAAAAAAAGATTAATTATAACTACCTGTTGAAATACAATGACATTCATAATTTTAGACAAGGAAAGGGAAGGGAAGGTTAAAATAGGATTAATAACAAAAATATATCAGCCCGGATAAAAAGGAAATTAAAGAAAAATTAAAGATAACATCATAATTTTTTATGAATATTTTGCAGATCCAGTGAGAATTACTGTAGGACATTTCTTGAACATACTTGCCCAGCCTTACTTTGTGCAAATATTATTGAGAAGGTGAAAAATAAGCAGAAGGTCTAGGCTATGCATGCATATATAACATAATACTAAAATTAATAATTGATCACATTTATTGAGTGTTTACTATGCTGGCCACTTTTCATACATTGCCTTTGAAGCTTGTGATGAGCAGTAAAATATGCTTCCTTTATGCAGATGAGAAAACTGACACAGTGCAAACTGTGTCAGATCTTGAAGTCAACGAGAAGAAGAATTGAGAGTAAAACTCGTGTCTACTTGATCCCTAGTGGTTACAGGGATAACGTTGAAGATACCTTAGTGAATCAACAAAGGTGAGGTCAGCTGCGATGAAAACCTCCAATGTGATTTGACCAACCTGTATTATTCAGTATAACCAAACCTAAGGGGAGAATAGGCTAACCTGATGTCTCTTTAAATGTCCTGCTTATTATATGATTCCAACAACCACTGAGAGACTATAATTCATTGGAGGGAGTGGGGAAGGAGTCTTTATACGAACATAATATATTTCAGTGATCCTTCAATTTGGGTTTTTCTAGCCAACTGTGGGGAGAGATCCATTCTCTTTAATTCTTGTATCCCTAAAGTCAAATTTAGTAGGTACCACATGGAAGAAAGTCAATGTTTCTTAAATGGTTTTGAATGAGTGTAGTTTATCACTCTTTTTGGTAGAATCCAGTGCTAAATGAAAAGTTTAGAGCTCTCTTGACAGTAGATTTCTAGATTTAAAAGAAATGTAAGAGTTAGATAATTCAATACCTTCATCTTATAGGTGAGGAGACTGAGATTGATGGGGGCAGCTGACAAAACTAAGGTCACACAGTAAATTAGTGACCAATTCACACTTACAAACCATGCTTCCAGCTTAGCCACCATCATACCTTCTTGCTCTTTTGCAGTTTAGTTTCCTCAGAACTGAATAGCTCTTAGACTGATAGCATTGATATTGATGTGGGATCTTGGTGTTCAAATAGCCCACCCTCTCATGCATTAAATAACACCTTTGCATACTTCTCTGCTCATTTTAGGGTCTCAACACCAAGAATTGTAACTGGAGAAGTGTCTTTTTTACTTGTGCCCAGGATGATGGCAGAAAGGCAGTGCATGGAGCCTGTTGTTCAGGATTCCCACTGAGAGTCAAAACAATGGGCATTGCCTGAAAAGGTTTCCTAAGATTTTTGGCTACAGCGTTTCAAACCAAAATGTTGAGATGTGGCATATGGCCAATATTTATAGCCCGCTTAGCCAGTGAACCTTTACAGAGCTATTACCAGAAGGATTTTCATGATTAATACCATCACAATACGAAGGAAATTTATTTGAGAAATAAACCCTTGGGCTCAGTAAACAAAAACACAAGCACATCCAGAAGCCTGAGTTACCTTTGCCAAATTCTCTCCCATCATCAGGCAAATGCCCAAAGAAACCCTGACTTCCAGCCAACATGGGTTCCATAGAGAAATATGGAAGCTTCTGTTTTAACTTTCTTCTTCCTTTCATGACTGCCTTTTAAGAAATATTTACAGAAAAAGTTTATAGATTTGTATTCCTAAATCTATAGTATTATAGATAGAGTTCTTAGATTTTGGAAGATAGGGACATATGATCAAATTTTTAATGAAATACTCTGATTCAGTCAAGATGCCAGTGTCTCTTCACATTGCTGAGACCTAGAGACACTCAGAGACAGAGGGCAATTTTCCTGGGTATAATCATGACTCTTTGAACTGGGGTCAGCTAAAAACACTTCAGTCTATTTAGTTCTCTTCCCCAAACCACTTTTCCTTCATTGCAACAATATGTTCCTCATGTGAGGAGAGCGGATCTTTTCAATCCATGTACAATATGGAAATTCATAAGAGAGGCTGCCCAAGTAAAGTTTAACAAACAGCGGTGTACTACAGATGGCTTATGAGAGCTAACTGTTAAGTTTTCAGGAATCTTGAGAGCCAATTGCTAGCCATGGTAGGAGTATTGACAACATGGAAAGTGTCAAACACAACAAATCAGGGCTTTTTGCTTTGTTGAGTATCCCACTGGAAAGTGTTTGTATATTAATTCATTCCTTCAAGGCTGTGTTAAATGCTACCTCCTTTTTAAAGCTTTCTGTGACCCACCCAGGTAGTCTTAACCTCTCTCCCCTAAACTCCCAGTAATACTGTATTTTGAACTCCTTTTAGGAGATGCATCATTTTCAACCACAAAGCATGGAGGTTCATTCCCATTCACATACTTTATATTCTTTCTGGTATATCAGTTTATTGGGTATTGGATTGCTATATGATTTTTTAAAAACATCCTGTAGTTAGCATGATGCCCAGCAGGTTTGGCAGGCAGAAAATATTTTGCAAATTAAGTCGATAAAACATTAGCACAACAGTGATCCAAGACTTTACTTAAGCTCAATTATACCATTGCTGTCATTAAAATCTGAGTTGTCATTCTACCAGTGGAAGCCATGGCAGCATCAGGATGTTGATACGACATGTCATCCAAGAAAGGCGGGAGTAGGTGTGAAGAGGAGGCTCTCAGCCCCTGTACTTTAGCTTCTGTGGAGATAAACTCCTTATCTTTTAAAGGCTGGTCACTTGCTCTAGTTTTTTGTTTGTTTGTTTATTTTTGTTTGTTTTCTTTTTTGAGAGAGAACCTTGCTCTGTCGCACAGGCTGGAGTGCAGTGGCATGATCTTGGCTCACTGCAACCTCCGCCTCCTGGGTTCAAGCGATTCTCCTGTCTCCAAGCGATTCTCCTGTCTCAGCCTCCCAAGTAGCTGGGATTACAGGTGAACGCCACCATGCCTGGTTAATTTTTGTATTTTTGTAGAGAAGGGGTTTCACAATGTTGGCCAGGCTGGCCTAGATCTCCTGACCTCAAGTAATCCACCCCCCTTGGCCTCCCAAAGTGCTGGGATTACAGGCATGAGCCACCGCGCCTGGCCTCTAATTCTTTAGTTATAAAATTGCTCTCACTAGGGAAGAGGGCAGAAGAGGATATGCCGTCTTGTGCTTTCAAAACATCAATTATTTCAGGAAGTACAGAATATAATGAGAGTAAACATTTTGGCGAGATAGGACAGCTGTCTGCATGTTTAAAGAAAGGAGAAGGATTCAGAGAAGAGTGAATGATTAAAATTTTGGTGAGTCATTCCTTCAGTCATTCACTGAACTAACATGTTATTGGGTGAATAATACATGCTAGACATTCTTTCAGGGACTGGGGATACAAAGATAAATAAGAAGTTATGCATCCCTTTGGAAATCAAAGACTATTAGAAGAAGTCGAAGGTGGAGGAAATATATTTAGGAAGAGATTTCATCAAGATTATGGGAAATTTAAGAATGGTAAATTAAAAGACCAACAGAAAAACAGTTTTAAAGTGAAATGTGTTATGTCTAATGGAGAAATAGACAAAAAACTTTTTTGTATAATTAGAGTTGAGACAGAGAGAGAGAAGGGGTGGCGGGAGAGAGAGAGAAAATGACTATGGGTTTGAATAAATCCCTTATTCCTCTTGCCCAAATTTAGACTTCCAAAGGTATATGTAGATGCTATCTATACCCAGTGGAGCCATTAGTGCTGAAGAGCTCAGCTGCATGGCTAGTAATTAGGAAGAGGCAATGAGGAAACCTGTTTCCCTGAGGTCTTCACCCTACTTCACTCCCACAACTTCAATCTGCCCAGTTGTGCCATGGAGACAGCTACAGCAATTCCATTCCGATAGTGGCACAAAATAAATCACTGGAAACCGTTTTGCACTTGCCCAGAGACTTTCAAGAGAGAATCTCAAAGTGGATCTGGGCTGCTGTGTGCCACAAAGAGGACCAACATTTCTCTTTGGCTTTAAAGGATGTCCCATTGTGAGAATGAACTTTGGGTTTTATCTCTCCCTTTGAAATAGAATACATCAGAGTGAGACATCTAAAGGCAAAGACACAATGATCCCCAATCCAAAGCCAAGTTCAAAAACACAGAGATGAGTTGTGTTATTATGAAATTGTATTTGCTGGCTGAGATGGGGGACAAAGAAAGATTAAGTTGCTAACAGAAAATGGGTCTTGAAATTCCTATTAGTCTCGTGCCCCAGGGCACAAACTTTTTCAGCTAGACAGTTACTTTTTAGAAGTATGGGAGCAATGGCACGGGTGGCGCTTGAGGCTTCCCTTTCCTCTCATTCTGAAATGTACAGAATTATTAATGTGAGATTTATTAATGATTGGATGATGGATGAGGAAAATTAGTTTTAGAAAGTTGTTAGCATTGAGAATTGTTTCCTTTAGGAGGCCCAAGTTCATACTATGAGGGGTGCCTCAAGTGTTAGGTTTTATAAGTACAGCAATAACTTTCCGCATACCAACTTCTTAAAGCATATATCTAAGTAAGATATACCTACCTAATTGTAACTGTGCTTTAAACCTGACATTTCAGTTAGATTATATATACATCAATCATGTTAAAGGATAAATGCTTTCTAGCCCAGCTGGATTTCAGTACAGAGAAAAGCATTTCAAATTCATTCATTCATTTTTTTCTGCTTGTCATCTATTACCCTGTCTACTTTTTGTTATAGTAATACTAAAACAGTTTTTTTTTTTAAAATTCATTCTACATTCAACACGTATTTACTGAGTATCTACCATGGGACAGGTAAATTTTTAAAAAAATTTTGTGGGTACATAGTAGGCATATAGATCTATGGGATACATGAGATGTTTTGATACAGGCATGCCATGTAAAATAAGCGCATCATAGAGAATGGGATACCCATTCCCTCAAGCATTTATCCTTTGAGTTACGAACAATCAAATTACACTGTTTATTTTATTTTATTTTATTTTATTTATTTATTTGAGACGGAGTCTCTCTCTGTCTCACAGGCTGGAGTGCAGTGGCGCGATCTCTGCTCACTGCAAGCTCCGCCTCCCAGGTTCGCGCCATTCTCGTGCCTCAGCCTCTCGAGTAGCTGGGACTACAGGCGCCCACCGCCACGCCCGGGCTAATTCTTTTGTATTTTTAGTAGAGACGGAGTTTCATTATGTTAACCAGGATGGTCCCAATCTCCTGACCTCGTGATCCGCCTGCCTCGGCCTCCCAAAGTGCTGGGATTACAGGCTGAGCCATCGCGCCCGGCAACTTACTTCCTTTCTTTTGGGCATATACTCAGCAATGGGATTGCTGGATCATATGGTAGCTCAATTTTTAGTTTTTTGAGGAATCTCCAAACTGGTCTCCATAGTGGTTGTACTAATTTACACCCCCACCAACAATGTACAGGGGTTGTCTTTTCTCCACATTCTTGACAGAATTTGTTATTGTCTGTCTTTTGGATACACTGAATAGTATACTGATCATCATCTGACGATCAACGATGTTGAACACTTTTTCAAATGCCTGTTTGCCACTTGTATGTCTTCTTTTGAGAAATGTCTACTCAAATTTGTTGCCCATTTTTTTATTGGATTATTACATTTTTTCCCTACAGAGTTGTTTGAGCTCCTTATATATTCTGGTTATTAATCCCTTGTCAGATGGGTGGTTTGAAAACATTTTTTTCCATTCTGTGGGTTGTCTCTTCACTTTGTTGGTTTTATCCCCTGCTGTGCAGAAGCTTTTTAACTTGATGCGATCCCACTTGTCCATTTTTGCTTTGGTTGTCTTGTAGAGTGTTGCTCAGGAAATTTTTGCCCAGAGCAACGCCCTGGAGATTTTCCACAATATTTTCTCTCAGTAGTTTCATGGTTTGAGGTCTTAGAATTAACTCTTCAATCCATTTTGACTTGATGTTTGTATATGGTGAGGGCTGGGAGTCTAATTTCACTCTTCTGCATATGAATATCCAGTTTTCCCAGCACCATTTATTGAAGAGACTGTCTTTTTCCCAGTGTATGTTTTTGGCACCTCTGTCAAAAATGCGTTCAATGTAGGTGTGTGGATTTGTTTCTGGGTTTTCTATTCTGTTTTATTGCTCTATGTGTCTGTTTTTATGCCAGGACCATGCTATTTTGGTTACTATAGCTCTGTAGTATCATTTGAAGTCAGGTAATGTGATTCCTTCAGCTTTGTTCTTTTTGCTTAGGATAGTTTTGGCTCCTCTGGGTCTTTTGTGATTCTATATAAATTTTGGGATAGTTTTTTTCTATTTCTGTGAAGAACATCATTGGTATTTTGATAGGGATTGCACTGAATCTGTAGATTGTTTTGGGTAATATGAACATTTTAACAATATTGACTCTTCCAACCCATTAACATGGAATATCTTTTAATTTTTTTGGTGTCCTCTTTAATTTTTTTCATCAATGTTTTATAGTTTTCATTATAGAAACTTCTTTGGTTAAGTTAATTCCTAGATATTTAATTTTATGTGTGGTAAATTTTTGATTTCTGGATCTGAAGAAGCACAGGAAACTTTACCCCAAAACATGGCTCCTTTGTATAATAAGATTTTGAATTAAGGCCCTTAGAGATCAAAATATGCTGGAAGAGATTTTTCCTCTGGAGTTACCATTATTGTTTGTACTGGACACTGGGTAACTATTACGTCACCATCATCCTGGGTAACTGGAGTAACTATTACTGTTTGTACTGGACACTGACTCTCTAGGGCTCATCTTCCTTGTTGGTAACCAAATTCACATCTTGCAGGATTGTCTTAAAGATTAAAATATGCAAAGTCAATTACTAGGTACCTGACACATAATTATTGAATGCCTACCATAATTATTATTATTACACCGACGTAATTACTTAATAAATAACATTTTCGTGGAGCTTCTGAAGAGAAACATTGTCTCTTTTTTTTTTCCAGCTTTCATTTTAGAATCTAGGGGGACATGTACAGGTTTGTTACCTGAGTATATTGTGTGATGCTGAAGTTTGGAATATGAATGATCCCATCACTCAGGTACTGAGCGTAGTACCCAAAAGTTAGTTTTTCAGCTCTTGCCCTCTCCCTTCCTCCCTCCTCTCTTTAGCAGTCCCCAGTTGCTATTGTTACCTTCTTCATGTCCATGAGTACCCAGTGTTTAGCTCCCATTTATAAATGAAAACATGTGGTATTTGGTGTTCTGTTCCCGCATTAATTTGCTTAGGACAGTGACCTCCAGTTGGACCCATGTTGCTGCCAAGGACATGATTTTGTTCCTTTTTATGGCTGCACAGTATCCCATGATGCATATGTACAATATTTTCTTTATCCAATCCACCACTGATGAGCACCTAGGTTGACCCCATGTCCTTGCTGTTGGGAATAGTGCTGTGATGAACACGTGAGTGCATGTGTCTTCTTGGTAGGACAGTTTGTTTGAGAGACATTGTCTTAAAGGTAAAATTATTGTGTCATATCAGGGAAGTGAAAAAATCTATATTTTATATCTTTTCTCTGAGTCTGTACACTCAAGATGCGATCTTCAATTTTGTTCTACTAATTGCTTTCATCTGAAGCTGCGGGAGAGTTTACAACTCTTTCTTATCTCACATTGAGAGTGAAAAGGCATGCTTTCAGAGATGAATGAAGTCCAAGTTAAGTATGAATGAGAGAAGCTAAGGAAGTTCCCTTCTGGCACCATTTCAGAGATTTATAATTTTTGAAACCATGATGATGCAAGGAACAGCATAGAAAGTCATTTCTTTCCCCTTTGTCCAGTCTAAATGCAAATTTGAACTTTTAAGGCAGTTTGTTTGCATGTTAATGCCTATAATCTGTCGCCCTGGAGATTGCTCTAGATTTCCTAAATTAGGTTGGTGGCTGGCTTAAAGAAGAGGTCATTTCATTACATAGGCTCTATTTCAGAAACACAATACTTGGAAGTGGAAATCCACAGAAGCTTCATTTTATCCCAGGGATGACAGCCTTGCCAGGGCAGGAGAGGAGGGTCAAGGGCCAGCAGCTGGTCAGAAGTAGCCTCCTGCATGTTTTCCTGAAGATGGAAAAATACAATGAAAGAAAAAAGGCTAAGAGTATACCGTGGTCTAATTAGCATTTGCTTCTTGTAGCCCTCGAAATGTCAGTCACCAGTTGGTAGCAAAATAAAGATGTAATGTTAGTGATAATGAATTAAATTGTGGCCATTTGCATTGGAATGCCATGATAATGATCTGAAATTACCATTGTATATATTCCCCTTGACAGTTCAAAATTGGACTCCAAGCTAATAGTATTTTGGATGAACTTTAAACCAATGAAAATGCTGTGAGTGTATACACTCCTTTTGGCAAGCTAAGCCATGTGGATTTCAGAAAGTTAATTTACCTCTGCTTTGTTCAAGCTGTTTGGTAATTGATGAACATACCATAAAAGTTTTAATGAATAACCACAGGGACCATTTAAATTATTTACTAGGTAAAAGTGAAATGCATTTGATTACCCTCCCTAATCTGGCTTTCCAAATGAAGCCACCCCAGAATAAATACTGTCTTTTTTTTTTTTTTTTTTTTTTTTTTTTTTAGTGCAATCTCTGTTGCACAAAACATCGCAGGCAAATATTTTCAGAAATTCTGAATGAAGGAGTTGCATTTTCTCCCATTAGCTGCAATTTATAGTTCTACTGCAAGCATTAGATATTGCTTAGGGAGAAGTTATGCCTATGTGCATAAGGACTGGAGGCTCTGTTGCAGTGGGGTTATGTAGCAACCCACAGAATCAGCACATATCTTCACAGCATCTGTTGTGTGAATAACTCTCCAGCAACATTCCATTATTGTGAAGCAGTTAAAATAAGAGCCACTTTTTTTTTCCTTTCTGGCCTTCCGGCATCTAATTACACTATAGCATCCTTTCATAAGTAGAATCTTATTATGAGATAAATGCCCACATGTATCTTAGTTTCCCATTAAATTGTGTTCCTTGGCATGTCTTTGTAGAGTGTTTTTAATAGCTTAGCCTACACGCAAACAAAGAAGGTTGCCTTGCAATTAGTGGCAGAGTCAAAAGACATGCTCATTCCCATTCATACCACCTCAGCAGGAGCTCTTACAGACAGGGGTGAGATTTCCAGCCTTATCACCTACTAGCTGTGCCTTTTGGGGAACATTAATTCAGCTCCCCATGCCCCAGTTTCCTCATCTGGAATTATGAACTGACATTAAAAGTCTGTTATAAGGTGAAATGACATAATTTACTGTATTGGTCTGTTCTCACGCTGCTCATAAAGACATACCTGAGACTGGGTAATTTATAAAAGACTCACAGTTCCACATGGCTGGGGAGACCTCATAATCATGGCGGAAGGAAAATGAGGAGAAAAGTCATGTCTTACTTGGCAGCAGACAAGAGAGCTTGTGCAGGGAAACTCACATTTATAAAACCATCAGATCTCATGAGGCTTATTTACTACCATGAGAACAGCATGAGGGAAACCACCCCCATGATTCAATTATCTCTACCTGGTCCCATCCTTGACATGTGGGGATTATTACATGTCAAGTGAGATTTGGGTGGGGACACAGCTAAACCATATCAACTTGTGAAACCTGTGATCAAGCACCCAGAGCAGTGGTTGGTTCTTATCTGGAGGGCCTCGCTAAACAGATTCTGGATCCCAACCCCAGAGGTTCTGATAAGTAGGTCTGGGGTAGGATTCAAGAATTTGCATTTCTAAAAAGATCACAGGTGATGCTAGTCCAGGAACTGCACTTTGAGAACTGCTAACTTAGAAAAGATACTTGAGAACCAATAAAATTGAGCTGTGAGTTTTCAAAACTCTAGAAATACATATACACATTGTTGTATAGTTGGCCAAACAGCAGAAACTAAAGCCAGACTGCTTTGATGTGATCCCAGCTCTGCCATTCATTTTTTATGTGTTCTTGGGTGAGTTTTAAACTCCTTAAACATCTGTTTTCTTATCTATGAAATTGGCATAGTAATAGTGTATTCCAAAGTGCTTAGGCACAAAGAAGGCATCCAGATATTTCCAGCTATCATTATTAGTCTCTACTTCTACCCCATCCTATGCCCTTTCTCCCCCTATCAGATCCTCACTATGGTCCTGGTTTTGAAAACTGTCATGTCACATTAGAGGCATTTCTGTGTTTTGATACATACCTCAAAATGCAGCTCTTCCTGAGAGTGATGACAGGGTAGGCATTACATAAATTTACATTAAGAAATAGTTATTCCAAATAACTTAGCCTCTTTACATATGGAAGCAGAAGTCCTGAAGAAATAGGTTTTGAGGATGTAACTGGATGTACCAGGCCAAACAAAGTTATCAATTTATGGTGGTGAAACTGGCCCAGTGCTCCCATAAACTGTTCTTTTGGATAAACATAGACATTTACCTTTCTTTGTATTTGTTGTATCTGAGTCCCTTCCTCAGGAAAGGACCTTTAGGCCTCTCAAAAAAAGTATCAAAGAACTGAAACTCACCAGACCACTGAAACTCACCAGACCACTGAAACTCACCAGACCACTAAAACTCACCAGATCACCGAAACTCACCAGACCACTGAAACTCACCGGACCACTAAAACTCACCAGATCACCAAAACTCACCTGACCACTGAAACTCACCGGACCACTAAAACTCACCAGATCACCAAAACTCACCTGACCACTGAAACTCACCGGACCACTAAAACTCACCAGACCACTGAACCTCAACAGATCACAGGGGCAGATGCCTCCTTGCTCCTCCCTAGTTCCTGTTTTCTTACAAATTGCTATATAAACTCCTGGTTTTAGTTAATCAGGGAGATGGATTTGAGGCTTAGCTCCCATCTCATCAGCTGTAGCACCTGATTAAAGCCCTCTTCCTTGGCAATAGTTGTTGTCTCAGTCTTTGGCTTTCTGTGAGGCAAGCAGCAGGATCGACAGTGGGAATTTAGGTAGTGGGGTGGTCAACATAAATAACTGAGACTGACTCGTGTGTGTGCAAAGGGGCATCAAAATTCAACTTCTGCACTTTTGTGTCTTGGTCTAACCCTATTCACAAATAAGGATTCTGAAATCAAGATGGACTTGGAATAAGGATGAGATATAGCTGCTCCCAACCTTTTACATGTAAATAAATTGCAATTATTAAAATAACATGTAATTGAGGAAAATAAAGAAAAGATAGAAGAAGAAAATGAAAGCTGTTCTTGTTTTTATCTTCCATGGGAAACCATGTTAGTGGGGCAGAATGCAGTGGCTCACACCTATAATGCCATTACTTTGGGAGGCCAAGGCAGGTAGATCACTAGAGGTCAGGAGTTCAAGACCAGCTTGGCCAACATGGTGAAATGCCAACCCTACTAAAAATACAAAAATTAGCCAGACATGGTGGTTCATGCCTGTAGTCCCACCTACTTGGGAGGCTGAGGCAGGAGAATTGCTTGAACCTGGGAGGCAGAGGTTGCAGTGAGCTGTGATCACGTCATTGCACTCCAGCCTGGATGACACAGCAAGACTCTGAAGAAAGAAAGAAAGAGAGAGACGGAGGGAAGGAGGGAGGAAATCATGTGTTTATATTTCTTGAATTTTTCTAGGAAGACACACATACATAAAAACACATTCATCTATCAGCTAATCAAAATGATAATTTTATCCACTCTGCTTTTAATATGCTTTTTTCCTTATCAATAATATGGACAGCTTTCTATATGAAAAATAACATTATTTTAATGTCTATAAAGAATTCCATTATGTGGCTGTATCATAATTGACTTACTAAATCTATGAACTGCACTGTGATTAATACCTTGGAAATATATGTCAGCGGCAGTGAATCCCTGCAGGTCTGCAGCAACCTCAATTCTTGCTTCCTCAGAAGAAAGAATGAGAGGGAGGGGCATAAGGCAAAGTGAGAAACTGAGGCAAGTTTTACAGCAGGGTGAAAGTTTATTAAAAAGCTTTAGAACAGGAATGAAAGGAAGTAAACTACATTTACAAGAGTGCCAAGTGGGCGACTTGAGAGATCAAGTGCGTGGTTTTGTGTCCAGAATTGGTGGGTTCTTGGTCTCGCTGACTTCAAGAATGAAGCCACTGACCCGCGCGGTGAGTGTTACAGTTCTTAAAGATGGTGTGTCCGGAGTTTGTTCCTTCTGATGTTTGGACGTGTCCAGAGTTTCTTCCTTCTGGTGGGTTCGTGGTCTCACTGTCTTCAGGAGTGAGGCTGCAGACCTTTGCAGTGAGTGTTACAGTTCATAACGGCGGTGCGTCCGGAGTTCTTCATTCCTCCTGGTGGGCTCGTGGTCTCGCTGACTTCAGGAGTGAAGCTGCAGACCTTCACGGTGAGTGTTACAGCTCTTAAAGGTGGTGCGTCTAGAGTTCGTTCCTCCTGGTGGATTCATGGTCTCACTGACTTCAGGAGTGAAGCTGCAGACCTTCCTGGTGAGTGTTACAGCTCATAAAGGCAGCGTGGACCGAAAGGGTGAGCAGCAGCAAGATTTATTGTGAAGAGCGAAAGAACAAAAACTACACAGGACGGAAGAGGACCCGAGTGGGTTACTGCTGCAGGCGAGGGTGGCCTGCTTTTATTCCCTTATTTGGCCCCATCCACATCCTGCTGATTGGTCCATTTTACAGAGAGCTGGTTGGTCCATTTTACAGAGTGCTGATTGGTCAGTTTTACAGAGTGCTGATTGGTACATTTATAAACCTTTAGCTAGACACAGAGTGCTGATTGGTGCATTTACAATCCTTTAGCTAGACAGAAAAGTTCTCCAAGTCCCCACCCAACCCAGAAGCCCAGCCAGCTTAACCTCTCAGTTTGACCCTTGACTTAGGGTTTTATATGTTGGTGTACTTCTGAGGTCTTGCATCCCATCTACCCTGATTCTTCCCTTGGAGTGGGTTGTCTGCATGTGCAGTGGTCTGCTGGCATTTGGGAGGGGCCCCACGCAGACTGTGTTTACTGGAGTTGTATGCATGATCACTTGAGGCATTCTTCCCTTGCCAGTTGAATGTTCCCAGAGGAAGGTCATATACCAGTTAAACTTGGCCATTTTACCTCTCAATTCCCATGCTTCAGCCCACTTGCCCAACTCCTGAGATCTTACTGGGAAGCTGCTTATCACCAGTTTCAGGTTTTGTCTATCTACTTGGAGACTGCCTTTCCCTGGCTCTGGCTGCCACCAATTATTATTTTAGAGAAACAGTGTAGCAACTGCCTGACCATCACCTGATGGTCACCTGACATTCCTGGTGGGGTGAGGGGAGCCCTCTCCTGCCCTGCTCATGCCTGACCTTCTGTAAAACATATATATCTTTGTAACTTTTTAAAACAAATTATGTATGATGACTTATAAAAAGTTGAATCAAATACTATGCCAATTTTAGGGTTTTTGAGTAGTGAGTTAGTTACATAGAGTAGGAGAAAAACTTATTTTATTGTAATATTTTTGCTAACTACTGGACTTTCAGTCATTTCATATAAATGAATTCCTGAAGTGAATCAGGCCTTTGATTATAGCAATGAACAAGTAGAGACTAAGTTTGTTCAACATAGTCCAAAAGTTATAACTGGGGGTACAATGGACAGGAAAATACTTTGTTCAGATCTGCTTATGTTATCATGGCTATGCATTAGACTCACCCAGAAAGCTTTTAAAAAATACAAATGCCAAGCACTCGCCCGAGCTCTACTTCAGTTTATGCTGGGTTCTGAGTATCAGGTGTTTTCAAAACTCTTCAGTTGATTCTGGTGAGCAGCCAGGTTTGAGAACTGCTAAGCTAAGAGCCTCCTTTCTCATCTGCTACTAAGCAGCAGCCATTCTTACCATTTGGAGGATGTTGTTATAGACAGTGAGCACCACTGCAAAATTACTGCTTCCTGCTGGTTTAACATTGATGTAGGATTTTTCTTCTCAGTCACTTCACAAGCCAGGGACCCTCAGCCAGTGACACCCTGCCTGGTCCTCACTCGGCCATGCCGGTGTGCCCTAGCTCACCTGTGTTGTAGCTTGTACCCACGTTTGACAGTTCCAGAGCTCCTGTACTGAGCCTAAGAAAAATGAGGATATACTGGACATTAAAGGATGAAGAGGGCAGAGAAGAATTTTATTGAGGGATAAAAACATCTTTCAGTGGAGAGGAAATGGGGAATTGGTGCCCCTACCTGAAGGTAGGAAAGTTCCCCCAAGTGGCTGGGTCTAGGGCCTTTTATGGACTCAGAATGGGGAGTGTGTGCTCATTGGTTTGTGAGTATGCCGAAAAGTTTAAAGCGAAGACATCACTCAAAGGTGGGCATGACAGTATAGCAAACTAATTAGTAAAGGGTAGGTATATGTAAAATAGGTGAAGGGTGGGGACCGATCAGAGAAAAGCATTCCAAATAGGAAGACAAGTTCTCAATCTGGTCCGAGGATTTAACTTGTAGCTCAGCTTTCAGGCTCCAAACTGTCTTCAGCTTGGAGGTGCGGTTTTACCAGGGGCCTTCCCCATCTGCCAAGGGATTTGGCTGCCTCCTGTCGCTATCATCAAGACCTTGCCCACAAACTCCCAGTCCAACTAAACTTCAGTCAGGCTTTGTGTCCAATTCTCAACCTACCTGGGGAATATTTTGTAATTCTGAGGCAAGAACAAATAGCTTTATTTTCATTGTTTTGCAGAGTTAGTGAAGGTTTTTTTTGCATTTGAGATGAAACTGAAAACCATCAGTATTGCCTTTCCAGCTGAAACTTCCTAAAATCTGAGGCATATGTGAAGGATCTCCAGTCTTTGGCTGTGATTTAAACACACGCCCACACCCCCACCTCACACCCCTTTGACTTTTATATGGTTGGGTTGTGTCAGTGTATCACTGGGAGACTAAATGTCAAACAATCCTGAGAGACTGACAGTCTGGTTTTTACAGTGTGTGGTAAATACTTGCTTTATGCAAATCAAAATATACTTCCAAAATACATTCCATTCATTGGAAGGACATGCAAGACAAAAAAAAAAAATGCATTCTAGAAGAGCAAATTGCTTGGATGGAAAAGAGGATTTCTATGAATCTCAATAACAATGAGCCGTGCAAACCTTCCTGTAGTGTTCTACGGCCAGCCAGCAGGATCCTATCCATGCCATTTCCTGCAGTGTACTCAGAATCCCTGGTGTGTGGATGAACCTAATATTCCACATGTGCTACAGAATAATTGAACTTGTTTTCCCTGGATGGAGATGTTAGGCTTTGAAAAATAGTAAAATGTGCTTGTCTTGAGCAGTGTTTGGGAAAAATAGGAATTTTCTTGTTACTGTCTATTAAGCCTCTCAAGAAGCTTACAGAAAGGTTCTGGCTACAGGAATTTTCCTGAATTTATTCCATTATAAATGCATGTGATATTCAGAAAAATAATCAGCAACAACAATAAAAATTGCGTTTTAATGTTGTTGCCCCATCTGAATAAACATTCCTGCCACTTGTTGGTAATATTTATTAAGAAATTGTTTTCTAGTCTCCAAATATAAAAGCATAGTCCCCCCTTATTTATAGGATTGTCAAAGCCAATCTGAATTCAATGCTTTTTATGTGCTAGATGCTGTGCTTGGCACTCTGTGTTGTATCTCATTTAATCTTACATCTGGATGCTACAGTACAATTGTTTGTGAACGGTAGCCAGTTAAGTTCATTGACTCCTAGGTTAGTCTTGTACACTGGGATAGAAGAAAAAGGAGAATATATCCTTAACCTTAGGGTCATATGGTGGAAGAATCTCTGATGGCTTCCAGTAACCAAGTTTACTTTATGGAAAAGAGGAATAATTGCTTTTTTCTAAAAGGTGGTACTATTCAGTGACCTGGTGAAAATTCCTAGGCTTCTGCTATTCTATCTCTTTTGGGTATAAATGACTCAAATACTCATGTGTTCATTAATGATGGGTAAGACCTCAGATATTGGGCTTGCATTGCTGGAATGTGTTCAAACCGCTATGTACTGCCCACTCAACTGTTAATTCACTCTCAACATCTCTGATTCTCTGGTTCCATATTTGATTATGTGTGTTAGATCCAGGGCTTTATCTATGACAACTTACCTTAGGGCCTTCCTGAGACATGGTCTCTGTGTCCTTTCAACTCAGTGATTTAATATGTATTTGTGTAACACTTGCTACATACCAGCACCCTGATAAGTCCTGTGGATATGAAAGTGGAAAGCAAACATCTTTGAACACAATGTTTATGTCCCATGGTAATTACCATTCTTGCTGGCCATCCCTATGGGAGATACCAGCCAGATTTACTTCCCTCCAAGGTCCCTGTCCATGAGATGATAAAAACGTGAGGAATTTTTATTTACATATCACTCTTCTGCCTCAACTAGAAAACATGTATTAAGTGTCTTCTATGTATCAGATGTGGTTTTGGAAACCTTATATTAACTTTTCTCTGATTTAGGTTTACTGTGTATATTGCCTACCAAAGAAAGAAGTAGCAATGTTAACCATCAAGATAATAGGATGATTCATTTATGGCTGTGTGAAAGGAAAAAAAAAAAAATATCAAGACCCCAAACTTACTATGCCAAGGGGAAAAGTCAGGCTCGGGAACTGAGTCATGCAAAACTGTCTCCCATTTTGTTCCTAAATAGATAGTGGCAAAGATGGAAGGCTATATACCTCCCCAGGGGACCTCTCTCACAAATTGCTCACTAGGAAATTCCTTGTGGGCCCATATATCTTTACCCTAACACAGTTCTGTTGAATTTTCACCCGATAATGTAAATTATCTTCACAGGTACAGGACAAAGACAAGCCTGGGAGTCATCCCTCTGCTTACCGAGACAAACACATACTTGACTTCTTCCTCTACTATATGTTCATTTTATCTTATGTAAAAATGCCGATTGGGCACCGTGGCTCATGCCTGTAATCCCAGCACTTTGGGAGGCCAAGGCGGGTGGATCATTTGAGGTCAGGAGTTCAATATCAGCTTGGCCAACATGATGAAACCCCATCTCTACTAAAAACACAAAATTAGCCGGACGTGGTTGTGCATGCCTGTAATCCCAGCTACTTGGGAGGCTGAGGCAAGAGAATCACTTGAACCTGGGAGGAGGAGGTTGCAGTGAGCCAAGATCTCACCACTGCACTCCAGCCTGGGCAAAAAGAGTGAAACTCTTTCTCAAAAAAAAAAAAAAAAAAAAAAAAAGCAGATTCACCAGGACTGAGATGCATGCATAACTGATTCTTTATCCACCACCTCCTATCACATGTAAAATATGGATTCAGTGAACACTGATCAAAGCCTCAAAAGAATGCAACTGTTTGCCCCTTCTATCTACCCTCCTTTTTTTTTTTCTTTCCTCTTTTCCCTATTGCTCACTCTTTCCCCTTTAAATATTGAAGTCCCCAAACCCTCTTTGGAAAAAGTATAGATCACAGGTGTTCCTGTGATTTTTTGTTTTTGTTTTTGTTTCCCCCCCAGGTGCATCCTCAATCTTGGCAAAATAAACCTCTAGAATGATTGGCAGTCACCTCAGTAGTTTTCTCTGATTTACAGCTGTGATGGTGAGAATTGGTGGAGGTAGCATTTAGAAAGAGGTTCAAGCACAATTCGTCTTTGGATTTTCTTACTCTCCAGTGTGTACCTAGAGCCTCATCATTCCTTGCCACGTATTTTTTTCTTAATGTCTTCCTCTACCTTACTCTTTAATCCTTCACTCACATTTGGTAAAGCACACTTGTCTTATAATTCAACGCTCTGTGCTCGCTCTGGAAACATTTCTTGCTTCTGGCTGCATACATTTAACCTTCTAGATAATGAGTTGTACTTATTCTGTTTAGGAAATGTCACCAGAATAAGTAAGCATGATGTACCACATAAAAGTCAATAGGCTGAAATGGGATGACTTATTCTGTCACCGTATCACTTATACAGAGCCTGGGAAAGGATATTCTGGCAGCATCCTACTGCTTCTACAGGGCCTCCAGAATTTTTTCTTGCAAGGCAGTAGAGGGACTAGGTGTGCAGCAGTAGAGCCTAGGATTAACGATTATTGCCTTTGATAGAAAGATGTGAGTTATGTGAGTGGTACTTGGGTGATTTCAGGGCTGTGGGTCAGGAGGACTACCAGCAATGCTCTGAACTCTAGATGAAATGATAGAATGAGAACCAAAGATGGTTGTGTCCTTAAATTTGATACCTTTGACTATTGGTTTGAAGGATTTTCCTGATATTAAAAATTTTAGAAAATCCATGTCTCTGTATTTTGCTCTTTAGTAAATATTAGAAACATGAAAAGGGGAAGCAAGTGGCCTGATTCAGATAATCACTTTCTCTGGGAGAGTCTAACTTGTTTCTGCAAATGAAAATTAGCACGTGGCACTTGGTGGATACTTAAAAACAATTGCACCAGACACAGCAAGGAAAACTTTACTCAAAACTACTGCAATAGAGGTTAGGACTGTATTAGGGGAGAAAGATTAAACTCAACTTCTTTGAAACAAAAGACAGGAGGATTTTTAAGGGCTTTGGGTGAGCTAGTGGAAAAGCCCTGGAGGACATTAGGGGTAAGACTGACCAATGTGATGAGGTCGTCTCTGTGTGCTAATTGTTACTTATGGAAGTTAGGCTCCTACCCTCCCACAGAGGCTGGGAGACAGGGATCCTATCTTTCTTGATAATTACATTTCAAAAGGATGGCTCCCAGGTTGTTGAGAAAGACTTTCCTGGGTTGTAAAACTAGCAAGAGGCTGGGAAAAGATTTACATCTCAAAAGGATGGAGAAAGAATGCACAATTACAAGTTTTCTAACGTAAAAGTTTCTTTAGTAAAAGAAAAAGGAGGTCAGGTGGCTATAGTCAGGAAGAAGTCTATCTAAAGTTAGTCAAGCTGGGGAACATTAGAGACTTCTTGGTCAATAGTCCAGAAATGCTATTTCTTTTTCTTCCTTTCTTGAGGAGTCTCTTGTATACAAAAAACAGTCCTAAGGCACCTTGGACCTGCTTCTTAATTCCTGTAGTTCAATTACGAGCAGTATGAATTTCACTTATTATTTGATGTGTCTCAAACTTGATTTCTTTATATGTACTGTGGAGATCATACAATAATATCTAACTCATAGGTTTATTATTGAAATACAGAAATGCAAGAGGGAGGAAAAGTGATAACTTAAGAATTTAACATTAGAGAATAAAAGAGAAAAGCAGTGCAATATTCATGTAATGGAATAACATAGAACAACTAAAATCAATGTACTAAGTTGTCATGTATCCATATGATTGTGACAATAAAAACAAAAATGTTTAATGAAAACTTTAGATCCAAGTAGAAGTATACAGTATAAAGCTATCAACAGAGAGTACAAATATAATTCACACAAAACTATTTCCTATTGGTTATAGGCACATACATATTAATAAAAGTGTATGCAGTTGGGTGGTAAGGATAAACACCAGCTTCTTGATAATGTTGCCTCTGGAAGCAAAGGAGGGAAATGAGCTTGGGTGGGACTAAGAGTTTCCACCCTATCTGTAGCATTTAATTTCTTATGAAAAGGTTGTAATCAAATATGACAAAATGCCAATCTAGCATTTTAGGAGTGGATTCATAATTTTTCTCATTCTCTTTGAAATTTAAGTACTTTATCATGGAAAAAAAGGAGAGAGAGAAAAAGAAAGGAAGCCCGGCTGGGTGGCTCACGCCTGTAATCCCAGTACTTTGAGAGGCCGGGGCGGGTGGATCATGAGGTCAGGAGATCGAGACCATCCTGGCTAACACCTAACACGGTGAAACCCGGTCTACTTGAACCTGGGAGGTGGAGGTTGCAGTGAGCAGAGATCGCGCCACTGAACTCCAGCTAGGTGACAGAGTGAGACTCTGTCTCAAAAAAAAAAAAAAAAAAAAAAAAGAGAAAGGAAGAGGGAGTCAGAACCAGAGATTCCTCTCTCTCTCTATCCATAGGTCTTAGAGAGAAGTGAAGGGGAGAGAAGCTGAAAATAGATTTAACAAACAGTCCCACACTACATTATGCCTGAGGCATCCAGTACACAGAGAGACATTCAAATAGGCTGTTGGAGAGGTGCTGATTGTTTTGGCTGTCTCTGCTCTCATTTGATTGAAGCAGCACAGGTTTTAAGAGCTTCAAACCCCAGCTCTGATCTGAAAATGAAGTTAGGTGTTTGAGAAACAGCTGTTAGAAACAGCTCGGCTCCCTCTGGAGCCTCTAGTGGGCTTCAAAGCAGCTGCTGGAAGGGAGGGAGGCAAGCAAACTATCTTGGGCATATTTGTATGTTAATAAAAACAAAATGTCTCTCCCTACATAAAACATTGCTGTTTCCGTAGGATGAAGAATTCAATTTTAATCTCATCTTTCTTTCCCTTTCAAGATTTTTAACAAGAATGTAGAGCACTATCTTTCCTTACCCTGAGTGTCTTTGGATTCAAACAGCTCTGGATTTCTACCCCAGCACCAGTTCGGGCACTTCCAATTTATAGGAACTGGGACAAAGTAATTAACCTCTTTGAGCCTCAGTTTCCTCTTTTGTCAGTTAGCTTAGACCCTTATTGTGATAATGCATATAAGGAACTTGAAAAATGGTAGAACTCAATATGAGTGAATACTTTCCACTAACATCATTCAGGTACACGTTCATTTTACTGAAATATCTTTTGCTTGCTTTTTTCAATAACAGGATGATTGGCTTGTCTTGGTTTGCCTGAGACTTTTCCAGTTTTAACTCAGAAAGTCCTGTGTCCTTTTTGGGAAACTTCTCAGTCCTCAGCAAACCAGGATGGTTCATCATCCCACATTGTATTCTGCACAGGACAGAGACCTTGCCCTCAGGAAGTTAATAATCTACCTTTAATGCTTAATTCCCTCATCATTTTTGGTGTATAAATTGTTATTACTGTTTATTTTAGTATGGTTATTTCTCTATAGCCTCCCACACTAGACTACAAATTCATAGACAGAAGAGAATGCATCAATTTTCTTTTAAAAATATTTATCATCAAGTTATTTATATTTGCTAGGGATTCAACAAACATATACCATATACATTAATACATGAGATCAGTGGAGTCCTTTTATTCCCAGTTTTGATGTTTTTAGTCATATCGCTGAGATATTTTGGTTTTAAAATTTCTATGTGAATTTTACACACACACACACACACACACACACACACACACACACACAAACATTGAGCTTGACTGTGTCAATCACTGGTGCTTAAACTTTAGTGTGTTTAAGAATTACTTGGTGGTATTGTTAAAATATAAGTTTAGGGATCTCTATTCCTGAGATTCTGATCTGGTAACTCCGGGAGAGGGCTCAGGAATCTGTAAACATCCAAAGTGATCCTCATGCCTCAACAATGTTGGGAAAACACAGGTCTGTTCTTGCCATGGTTTAGTTACGGTTTATTTGTCCCTGCTAAGTCTCCTGTTGAAATTTGATCCACAATGTTGGAGGTGGAGCCTGGTGGGAGGTGTTTGGGTCATGAGAGCGGATTCCTCATGAATGGCTTGGTGCTGTTCTCATGGGAATGAGGGAGTTCTCATTCTTATTTCATGGGAGAATTGGTTGTTGAAAACAGCCTGGCACCTCCTCTCTCTCTTGCTTCCTCTCTCACCATATGATCTGCACATGTCAGCTTCCCTTTGCCTTCCACTGTGAATGGAAGCTTCCTGAGGCCCTCATCAGAAATAGATGTTGGTGCCATGCTTCTTGTACAGTCTGCAGAACTGCAAGCCAAATAAACCTCTTTTCTTTATAAATTGTCCAGCCTCAGGTATTCCTTTATAACAACACAAACAGGCTAAGACAGTCAGACAAGCAAAGACTTTTGCCTCATTAATAGGCAACATTTTAGTTTGCTTGGTGCAGTCCTGATTTATACCTGTTGGTCCACCGAAATTATCAGTAGTGCCCTCTTTCACCCTTGAGTGTCCCTGATGGATACCTAAACAGCCATCTCACTTACGAGCCTATGTGGGGATGCTTAATGCACCCTACAGATAGAGCTCTTCTGTTAGCTACGTCTCTGGGGATTTTATTTATTTTTTTAAAATCTCACAGCCTCCCTCACTCATCCATCTAGTGAAGTATGCTTTCCCACTTTAAAAATCATGCATCACCTCAAAACTTATAAGTTCAAGAGACTGTTTTAACCTATGTTCTATTCTAAGTGGAAGAGGAAAAGCAACTCACTCCCATTTCTTAATACGTTGCTTAGATTTTCATAATGGAAATATTCTAGCCTGGAGTTTCAACAGAGATATGATTGTTACAAAAAAAATCTACTCACCCTTTTAGATGGGAATATCTTTTCTGTACAAACAGCCCCAGGAGGCCAATCCAGAAATCTTGGTGGATAGTTTTATTAGAAGCTTTCACTGGAAATGCCATAACTCAATTGTGTGGTAACAACTTCAACTAAATCCTCTAAATTACTGAAAATACCTGATTCTTAAAGATAAGTTAGGGAAGTCTAGTTAGCCATGGGTTTTATACTTGAAAAAGGTTTCTTTGCATTTCTTAGCAAAGTAAAAATGAGTACATTAGACAAGAGGTTGTGGAGATTATGTTCCTGGTGGCAGATAATGCAGTGGTTAAGATTTCAGGTTCCATACTGCTTGGATTTGAAGTCCTGCTTCACCATTTACTAACTGGATGAAATATAACGTAGGATATTTGTTCTCTAAGCCTTAATATTCTCTTCAGTAAATGGGGATGAGACTGGTATAATAGCATGTTGTGAAAATTAAATAAAATAAGCCATATCACTGATTTTCTAGTTGCCTTTGCAACATCTCCTTGGCAATCTTTAATTCCAATCACACCTCGGGTGGGCAACTTAGACTCTCATAGATCACATTCCATTTCAAGTACTGCGTACCTTCCTGTTTTTTTGCCCCCAGGGCTTTCTTCAAACTTTGGGAGTCTACTCAGCTCCTGTGCAAGTGCAACTGTGAAGTGCAGAGGAAATAACCTTTAAGCATTGAAGTTTGGAAGCCAGTGGACACAGGCTCCAGCCTCATGTTGTTTAGAACAATTCTGGAAGTCATTTTGCATGCTTCTCAGAAGTCTGGGCAAGGTGAAGACCTTGTTGCCAAATTCAGTGATTTAGGTAAGAGATATTTTTCTTTTTTTGGAGACAAAGTCTCACTCTCTCACCCAGGCTTGAGTGTAGTGGCACGATCTCAGCTCACTGGAACCTCCTCCTCCCGAGTTCAAGCAATTCTCGTGTCTCAGCCTCCCAAGTAGCTGGGTCTACAGGCACCTGCCACCACGCCAGGCTAATTTTTTGTATTTTTAGTAGAGACGGTATTTCACCATGTTGCCCAGGGTGGTCTCGAACTCTGGAGCTCAGGCAATCTGCCTGCCTCAGCCTCCCAAAGTGCTAGGATTACAGGCGTGAGCCACTGTGCCCGGCCCAGGTAAGAGATATTTTGTTAATGTTTGCTTCTTCGCTATCTCCTTCTCCTCATTCCCTCACTACTGTTTCTAAGGATCATCTCCCAGAAAAACTCCCTCCCTTCAAACCCTAGTTTCAAGCCCTGTTTAAAGAAAAACCAAACCAAGCCATATAAAGCACTGAGCACAGATTTTATTGTGTAGTAAGCTCCCAATGAAAGTTAGTGACTACTACTAATGGTAATAAAAATGATATTTTTCCTTTGTGCTACAGGGTGAGCTAGAGATCTGTTTAATTTTAAAGGGTAAAGGAACATTTCTAATTCATTTCTGAAATAGACTTGTGATAAAGTCTTTTTTTTTGTTCATCCACATCCAAACAGTTCACACACCCTCTACAATGCTCATTTTACCAAGATAGATATCTATTGTTTTTTACATTCTACCTTGCAGAAATGTTCTAAGAATCTTAAGTGAGTGCTTTTACTGGGTTCTTTTATCCTCCAGGCAGAAGAAAGGAAACCATGAACATTTAGGGGAGTCGTCTGTATCAAACACCTGTTAATTTTTTTTAAATTTTATTGCCGCTTCTGCAGCATGAAAGAGACTGGTTTCATTACAGCCACCGGCAAATATTATTATTATTTGTTGAACATCCATTTGTTCTTATATTTCAGAGATGTAAGCCACAATTGGTTTTTTTTGGTCTAAAGGCTATGCAGAAATTCTTGTGGGTATTCTGAAGCCATAACCATCTTTTTAGATCATCCTAAACATATATATTTCATCCTCAAGGGACAGGAGATTTCAAGAGGAGTTTAGACCTGCTTCTTGATGAGTTCTTCAGTTAAAGAAGATTCTGGAAATTTATGGGGCTGAAAGGGGTGCATTATCACTGTGGAAAGGCTATTTCTAACACTCTTTTTCTCTCCAAATGTTCAATTCCTAAACTTTTTCCTCACTGAAGATAACAAGTTTTGATAGGTCCTTGATGGAGTTAAAGATAGATAATCTCAGTTTAGTTTATGAAACCTTTTTTTTAAAGTTTCTTTTCCTCAAAGTAATAAGGAAAATGTGTTTTCTTTGTTGGCTTTTACTCTTAAAGGGTCATTTGTGTGAATCCTCATTCGTCAAGGACACTCGTAGCTAAGTTAGGTGTTTGTCTGGTCTTGTAACACCTTGTACTTATCCAATCACAGTCAAGTTAAATTGCCGTCATTGTCTTTCCTTCTGAACTGCAGGCTCCTTGAAGAAAGATCTTTTCTTAATTATTGGTTTCTAACACATAAAAAAACTTCATGAATCTCTCATCCCATGTATATATTGTATTTACTTCATTTTCACAAATTCCATTATATAGCTTCTCGTTGTGACAAAAGTGCAAGAATTATATAGAAAATCCTGTAATCAGGTCACTTATGTCTATTGTAGAAATCATTTCATTTGGGAAAGACATATCTTCCATGTAGTGTAAGTGATGGAAATGCACATTATGAAAAAGAAAATTATAAAAATTATAACGAGCTAGTACAGTAGTCCCTCTTTATCTGCAGTTTCTCTTTCCAGTTTTAGTTACCAGTAGTCAACCATGGTCTGAAAATATTAAGATATTTTGAGATGGAAAGGGCAAGAGAGAGATTACATAACCTCTATTATAGTACACTGTTATAATTGTTCTATTTGATTATTAGTTATTGTTGTTAATCTTTTACTATGTCTAATTTATAAATTAAACTTTATGATAAGTATGTTTGTAAAGGAAAATACATCATATATATAGGGCTTAGTACTATCCTTGGTTTTAGGCATCTTCTGGGGTCTTGGAAAATTTCCCTTACAGATAAAAGGGGACTACTGTAATAGCTAATATTTGTGTAATACTTGAAATATCACTAATAATTTAAAATATAACAATAAATAACATTTACTAGCAGCTGTGTTTCAAGCACTGTGCTAGGCACTGTGTGTACCTTGTTTGTAATTTGCAATGGTCCTATGAACTACGTGCTATACTGAGATGAAATATTGACTTGGAGAGCTAACATAGCCTGCAAAAGATGGATCTGGGATTCCAACCAAAGTTTGCCTCATTCTACAATCTACATATTAACCATGACATAATCTATCTTGTGTCCTATCCATTATCTCATTTCATTCTTACTACCCACAGGCTATTTATGTTCCAGTTTTAGAGACAGGGAAACTGAGATTCAAGAAGGGTCAGTGCACAGCCTTAACTCTCCATACTGAAAGGGGCAGGATTAGTAGTTGGTTTGTCTTATTTTTCTTCCTTGCCTCATCATTCCTCTACCACCTGATTTATACATTGTTTAAAACCTTGAAGACTCATACCTTACACATCAAGGCTACACATGCTTTTTCTACCTAAATAAAACTCTGCTGGAGAATTTTCTTCAGCCGGGTTCTGTAGAAAGCAGAACCTAGGGCACGCACTTTGTGCTAACATATTGTTGGGGAGAGCAATTCTTAGGGAGCAGAAGTAGAGATGAAGCAGAAATTGAGTGGAAAAGGAAAGAGGGCAAATACAAGCAGATCCATTTCCTATGTACCTGGCTGGTACCTGTACATGTACTTTGTATAAGTGAGGGTGATTGCTCAGTTTCATCGGGCGCCTTCCAAATGTCTGTGTGGACTTTTTTTTTTTTAATTGTGAATCTTGGGAGAGGAATGGAAAAGAATATTTCCACATATTCTCATCTCCCATAGTCTCGAGTTATCCCCATTGCATGCCAACTGCCCCACACTTCTGGGTTATTGCACTCAACCTTTCTGTAGCAGCTCTTTTGGAAAGTTAGCAGGAAAAACAATCCCCAAACAATGGAAGTGTCCATATAGCAAGTAGAGTATATGAGGTAATCCATGGAAAATCTCCACCTGCCCATCTGCCTCTTAGAGGTCCATGAACCCCAAGGGACCAGCCAGGGCCCCTGCATAGGCACTGAGCCAGTACTCACCAGCAACAGGGAAAGGTGCAGGATGTGTGTTATGATGCACAAGAAATGATGCTCTCATATTAGGCTTGCATGGGGCATCATCATAAATCCGGAAAGCTCTTCAATGTGTGACTCATTTGAAAGAGGAAAATACTAGCAGATTGAAGAGAATCAGGAATTCTCAAAAGGCTGGGCCCTGCACTGTACCTCATGCATGTAATCCCAGCACTTTGGGAGGCCGAGGTGGGTGGCTTACTTGAGCTCAGGAGTTTGAGAGACCAGCCTGGTTAACATGGTGAAATCCTGTCTTTACTAAAAATATGAAATTAGACAGATGTGGTGGCACATGCCTGTAATCCCAGCTACTTGGGAAGCTGAGGCAGGAGAATTGCTTGAACCTGGGAGGCGGAGGTTGCAATGAGCTGAGATTGCACCACTGCACTCTAGCCTGGGCGACAGATGGAGACTCCATCTAAAAAAAAAAAGAGAGAGAGAGAGAGAGAGAGAGAGTGAGAGAGGCTTGGAATAGGCCTAAGAAAATAATTTATCCTCCAGGAAGAAGTTATCATTTTCCTGACTCAAAGCAGAGGTCAGAGGTTACCCCTACAGCCCTGGTGAGGTTTAATCAAATACCAAGTGCAAGTGCATATTGACAAATTTTGTCAGGTTGTTTTGAACTTCCATTTAAATAAGAGTTTACTTTAGGCAGGTGCTCGGGATTATCGTTACCTCTGTGCGCCTATATTCTCAGATGTCCAATAGGAGCCAGGCTTCTCCACCCCTAGTGGGCCTTAACTACATCTTACTAATGCATTCCCATGAGCTCATGAAGACACAGCTCCTACCAGAAGGATAGTGGCAGAATTTAACAGTCTTTCCTGCAAAGAAGCTAAAAACCTGTCGCCTACAGCCTATTAGAGTGTAATTGTTTCCAGGCAGTCTTCCTAGAAGGTAATCAGAAGCATCAAGCAGAAAACCATGGTTGGGAGAATCCAGGGAGTTGTCTAAAGCACAGGTTTCAAGTTTACCATGTCCCCTTGCTAAAATACAGCTAAATCTGGATAAGTCTAGAGGGCCTTGAGTCAGGTGTGAGGACCCCCTGGCATTTATTGATGTGACTGTCTTGGGTACTTTGGGAGAGACAATATGTACCAAGGAAGAGAGAATGAAAAGAGAAATTTGGTCCAATGACAAAGCATGATTCAGAAGGAGGAGAGAGTTGCCCCTCAGATTTGCACTGTCCCCATTCTCCTAGACTCTGTAAGTCCTATATAAGCAGGCTGTTACAAGTAAATGCAAACTAAAACAGCTGTCCACCTATACTTTCCATAGGGTACTGTCAAAACTCACACTGGTCATGCGGGCAGGGATGTGGTGCATGTTTCATCCCAATGGCAGTATTCATTGTTTGAAGAGCAAGGATAGCAATTCTGGCAGCAGCAGCAGCAGCAGCAGAAACACTGTCAGTGGAGTTATCCTCCATGTTCCCCAAATTAGGAATTGGCATCACCGATACAGACATTTAAGTCCCTGGCCTCCAGCACCAGCAACATTGTCCCACTCATCAGCAGCCTTAGCATCTGGAGCTAGTGAAGCCTCCAGCAGATGTGAATAGCTGGGGTCACACCTTTGTTAAGGGAGATAAGGGTCTCAGAGGCAGACAGTCTTGGTACAAATGCCAATTCCAACTGAGCCTTGATCTAGTTTTTAACTCTCTAGGCCTCAGTTTTCTTCCATAAATGGGGATAATAATAAGACCTATCTCCAAGGGTTGTTATGAGAACTAAATAAGAAAATACGTATACAGTTTTATCTAGCCAAATATCTAGAACATAGTGTGTGTCTAATTAATGAGGGTAGAGGTTAAAAAATATTTGTTGAATAAATTAGTATTAACATTTTTATTGCTAATATGCTTCAGGCAAAACTATAGGCCCTGATGATACAATAACAAAATACACAGAGCATAAGTGTACTAGAGGCAGACAGCCTGGTACAGGGTTGTGAGTGTGCTTCTCTGTGTTCTTCTTGAAGGACGGGCGACTAGTTATGGGGAAGGACTGACTGTGCCTACCATGCCCTTTAATGGTGATGGTGCTGAGGCCATCTCAGGACCACCTAGGTGCCTAGAAACACTTGTGCTACACCTTCTAGAAGGGTTTGGGCTAGTTTAGGACTTGCAAACTTTTTCTGTAAAGGGCAGGTTGATAAATATTTTAGGCTTCACGGGACTTATTGTCTTTGCTACAGCTACTCACCTCTGCCATTGTTGCATAGAAGTAGTCACAGAAAATATGTAAAAGGATGAGTGTGGCTGTTTTCTAATAAAACTTTATTTACAAAAACAGGGCATGGGCCAGATTTAGCCCTTGGGCTACCATTTGCCTAACCCTCAGCTAGTTAAAGCAACAGCATGGTTAGACTAAAGTAGAAGCTTCTGTCTTACTCCTAACAGATCAGAAAACAAACTCCTTCTGCTTCTAATATTGTGCCATTTCTTTCTCTGCCATTAACATTTTATTTTGACTTTATAACTCTTTAACTGCATGAAACATTTACATAAAACAGTAAAGTATAGTGATGTATTCATTATTTTTTAATACCTAGAAGAAGAGTGAAAATGAAATGTACTCACTAGCTGCCATAGTCAACTGATAAAATTATATGTTCTCCATTCATCGATCAGTATATAAATGATATGTGAAATATATATTCTATTATTTTATACGGATAATGTGTGAACGTCATAATTACATATAACACTAAATTCCAACTCATTCTATGAGAGACATGAAGCCAGGGAATAACTGAAAAATCATGTCCTAGCCATAATATAATCTTCAGGATTATGTTCAATATGTACATTAAGTAAAATGAAAACAAGCTATAAAATTTAGCATCAAGGGAGTACTTTCATACAAGTCAACTTGAGTATCTAAATATTCCCTCTGTTTACATAATACGTAGAGTAGATATTTGTCTGTAAAGGAATGCAGGATGCTTCAAGTATTACTAAAATAGAGTTTTACAAATATATGGTGCAATGTATGTGTTTATATATATACATGCATATTCATAGACCCTCATATATACCACATCTACTCACAATATACATATGTACATATATGTATATGTGTGCATATATTGTGCCTGCGTGCACACATACATGCACACATGTATTCATATTTTTGAAGCTCTGTTGACTTAATCTCCTTTTATTTAGGCTTAGGCAGTGTTAAAGACAATAAAAGAAGAGAGCTTAGACATCAGCATCCATCTTATTTTTACTGGATTACTTGCTAATGATGATGACCTGCAAGTTAAGTATGGTCTATTCAAGATACTATGATACAGAGTAAGTCAGAATTCTTTTTTTTTTTTTTTTTTTTTTTGAGATGGAGTTTCACTCTTGTTGCTCAGGCTGGAGTGCAATGGCATGATCTCAGCTCACTGCAACTTCCTCCTCCCGGGTTCAAGCAACTTTCCTGCCTCAGCCTCCCGAGTAGCTGGGATTACAGGAACCTGCCACCATGCCCAGCTAATTATTGTATTTTTAGTAGAGACGGTATTTCACTATGTTGGCTAGGCTGGTTTCGAACTCCTGACCTCAGGTGATTCGCCTGCCTTGGCCTCACAAAGTGCTGGGATTACAGGCATGAGCCACCCCGCCCAGCCCAGAATAAGTCAGTATTCTAAACATCCTCTTCTCCACTCTCGCTATCACACCATGCCTAAGCTCTCCTCATCTCTACCTCCAGTCAGTAACTCTTCTCCTGGCTGGAAATTTCCTTTTAGTTTACTACTCTTTTCATTATACTGAGACTTTATTATTATTTTTATTTCAAGCTTGTGTGGGCTTCAGACCGCATTTGTCATTAGAAATGCAATAATGCAATCACTTGTAAAAGATTTATGGTTTTCAACAGTGAAGTACATTTTCTACTATTCTGCTATCATGCCTTTGTAGATATTTGTAAGTATTCTGAGATAGCAAATGAGCTCTTAATAAATATTACCATTTGCAACTACTTATTTAGGTGATTCAAGGTCTGCTGAATGTTATGAAATCAAAATAAATTGTGGAAATAAATTAGCTGAGGCTGACAAAAGGCTTGCTCTCATGCTTAATTCTCATTTCAAATGATTTTACTGATTGAAATGATCTTATTCTTATGGATTAACTTGTAATATTTCATCTTTGAACTTATAAGATAAATGTGCACTAATAAAATGTAACTTTTATCAATTTTCCAAAGTGCATTTAATGTAAAATATCTTATTTTAAAAAGTTTCTTGGTATTAAAAACACAAATTAAAATGAGCAAAACAATAAAATAAATATAATGCTAAAAGGAGGCTGTTGACAAGTGAATGTGCCATATCCTGAGATACTTAACCAAACTTAATTCGGTAATGACAGCTTAATAAATAAATAACTTCCAAGACTAGTTTTCTGAAATGGTTGCAGAAAGAGCCCAGATATTCACGCAGAAACTCATTTATGGGTCCCCAGTGTAACCGCCCAATGGGTTCTCCTTGCCCGCTGCCTAGAGAGAGCCAATTAATCAAGATGAAAATTGCAATGGAGAAAGAGTAATTCATGCAGAACCAGCTGTGTGGGAGACCGGAGTTTTATTTTTACTCAAATCAGTTTCTCCAAGCATTTGGGGATCAGAGTTTTTAAAGATGATTTGGCAGGTAGGGGCTTGAGAAGTGGGGAGTGCTGATTGGTCAGGTTGAAGATGGAATCACAGGGGGTCGAAGTGAGTTTTTCTTTCTGTCTTCTGTTCCTGGGTGCAATGGCAGAACTGACTGAGCCAGATTACCAGTCCGGGTGGTGTCAGCTGATCCATGGAGTGCAGGGTCTGCAAAATATCTCAAGCACTGGTCTTAGATTTTACAGTAGTGACATTATCCCCAATTTGGGGAGGTTCAGACTCTTGGAGGAGAGGCTGCATGACACCTAAACTGTAATTTCTGATCTTATAGCTAATTTGTTAGTCCTGCAAAGGCAGACTGGTCCCCAGGCAAGAAGGGGGTCTTTTCAGCAAAGGGCTGTTATCAATTTTGTTTCAGAGTCAAACCGTGAACTGAATTCCTTCCCAAAGTTAGTTTGGCCTATGACCAGGAATGAACGAGGACAGCTTAAAGGTTAAAAGCAAGTTGGAGTTGGTTCACCAGTATACAAAATAGTAAACACCAGACATGTTCTGTTAGAACTGGACATAAAGCAGTTGGATGTCTCTAGGCCATTCGAGTTGTCTCTCTTTTGTTTAGTTCAGTCATCCAACATATTTCTAATGTATACCAGACGCTTTTCTAGGCACTGGGTTAAACAAAACCAACAACATCCTTCCTCTCATGCAGTTTACATTCTAGTGAAAGAAAACAGTCAAGAAGTATAATACATATATACATTATTATAATAATGATAATATTAATAACCTAATAATAGTGTCAGATAAAAACCATAGAACAGGGTCATCTCTAATGAGTGGTGCTGGGCTGGGAATAAGTGTTTCGAAAGGTTGTTTTGGGTAAGTTCCTTTGAGAAGGTTCACTGTGGACTTGAGGGAATGCACCATGTGGATTTCTGGGAGCAGGGCATGATAGGCAAAAGAAACGGTCAGTTCACAGGTGCTGAGAGAGCAGGGGGTACAGTGAGAAAGCCTATGTGCTGTGGTGGAAAAATCAAGGGTGAAAATACTAGGTCACGATTACTCACCTCTCCCCACTGCCATAGACCCTGTAATAATTTCCAGATCGATGGTTTTTAAACCATTGTTATAGTCTTATGTATTATTTGACAGATGAAGAAACTGAGCCTTAGAGGTTAAGCTACTGGCTCAAGTTCACAGAAATGTAATTTTGTGGGCATGTTCAGCTTTTATAGCACTGCCCTTCTCTTTGAATCTTAAAATCCTATTTTCTCCAAAAGAAATCTTAGAAGAGTTCTGGTTGAGTAACTCATGATTTCATAACTAATAAATGTTAGAGGTGGGACTAAAATCCAGTTCTCTCTGTTTTTAAGATTGATGTTCCTCTACCTCTCTGGTTTAGATATTTGTCCCTTCTAAAACGCATGCTAAAATTTAGTCCCCAATGTGGCAACATCGCGAGGTGAGGCCTTTTTAAAAACTTTTATTTTAGGTTTAGGCGTACATGTGCAGACTTGTTATATAGGCAAACTCATGTCACGGGGGTTTGTTGTACAGATTATTTCATCAACCAGGTATTAAGCTTAGTACCCAATAGTTATTTTTTTCTGCTCCTCTCCCTCCTTCCACCCTACACCCTCAACGAGACCACAGTGTCTCTTGTTCCCTTCTTTGTGTCCATGTGTTCTCATCATTTAGCTCTCACTTGTAAGTGAGAACATGCGGTAGTTGGTTGTGTATCCTGGATTAGTTTGCTAAGGATAATAGCCTTCAGCTTCATTCATGTTCCCACAGAAAAATATAATCTCATCTTTTTTATGACTGCATAGTACTCCATGGTGTATATGTACCACAGTTTCTTTATCCAATCTGTTATTGATAGACATCTAGGTAGATTCCATGTCTTTGCGACTGTGAATAGTGCTGCAATGAATATTAGCATGCATGTGTCTTCATGGTAGAATGATTTATATTCCTCTGGGAGTATATCCAGTAATGGGATTGCTAGGTTAAATGGTAGTTTTGTTTTTGGCTCTTTGAGGAATCTCCGTATTGCTTTCCACAATGGTTGAACTTATTTACACTCCCAAGGTGGGAACTTTAGGAGGTGATTGGGTCATGGGGGTTCTGCCCTTAAGAATAGACTAATCCAAAGCCAAGTGCAGTGGCTCATGCCTGTAATCTTAGCACTTTGGGAGGCTGAGGCAGGAATATCACTTGGAGCCAGGAGTTTGAGACCACCCTGGAAAACATGACAAGACCCCATCTCTACAAATAATTTTTTTTTAAAAAATTAGCAGGGTGCAGTGGCTAATGCCTGTAGTCCCAGCTACTCAGGAGGCTGAGGTGGGAGGATTGCTTGTGCCCAGTCTTCCAAGGCTGCAGTGACCTAGAATTGTGCCACTTCATTCCAGTCTGGATAGCAGAGCAAGACCCTGTCTCAAAAAAAAAAAAAAAAAAGAATAGAATATATTCATATATTCATAGATTAATTGATTAATAAATTAATAGATTATGATGAGCATGGGACTGCTGACTGTAAAGAAGAGGAAAAAAGACCTGAGCTAACATGCTCACCTCCTCATCTTGTATAGTCTTGGGACTCTGCAGAGAGTCCCCACCAGCAAGAAGGCCCTCAGCAGATGTAGCCCCTTATCCTTGGACTCATCAGCCCTCATAACTCTAAGAAATAAATTCATTTTCTATATAAATTACCCAGTTCCAGGTAGTCTGTTCTAAGCAACAGAAAATGGACATCTAAGTAACAGACATCTGCCATCTATGTCTCAGGGCCCGCACGTGGGGAGAAAAAATCTTGTGAAATTGACTAATAAATTATACCTAACATGCAACTACAAATGGGCAATGTGAAGTTTAGTAAATTTCCCAGAAAGATGAATAGTATTTTGAAGCACACTTTGTCGCACTGAAGAATCTGAGTCTTTTAATGACTTACAAGAGAGAGAAGAGATCTTTTTAAAATGTGTAAGATGGCTTTGCTTAGAGAGAAGAGAATACAAACTCTTTTGAAGTTTTAACTGCTGGTTAGATTCCTTAAGCCAGTGGTTCTCAACTGGAGGCAATTTTGTTTTTCAGGGAACATGGCCAATATCTAGAGACATTTTCAATTGTCATGATTTGGGGTGGGGGAGTGCAACTGGTATCTTGTAGGTAGAAGCCAGAGATGCTGCTAAACATTCTGCAATGCACAGGACAGCCCACCTCCTACCCCTCAAGGGAATTATCTGATCCAAAATACCAGAGTGCCAAGGTTGAAAAACCTTGTTTTAGCAGACAGGGGAGATTAAGATGTAATTTGGGAACTAGTGCGTCTAAACTCAGAAAAGCTGCTACAGTTGGCTACTACTACTTAGTATCCATGGAGGATTGGTTCCAGGACACGACATCCTGCCTTTTCTCCTGCAAATACCAAAATCCCCAGATGCCCAAGTCCCTTAGGGGGCCTTCCAAATAGGCAGATAGGGAGGGCTGACTGTATTAGTATTTTGCTTTTAATCAGGGAGACTGATCTAGTTGATTTGCATAAACAAACAGCACTAGCAACATTTCTCAGCAGGGAGGAGGATGACATAGATGGAGGAAGAGTACAAATTTCAAAGCATATAGACATAAAATAAAATTCTGGAGTTGCTCCATATTTTAGCTGTGTGATTGCTTCTAAAATTCTCAATGTCTTCATCTATTAAGTGGGAAGTGCACAAAGATGTACTTTGCATTGTTTTGGGATTAAAAAAAATATTTTCACCAAAGTTGAGAACCACTAAACAAATGTTAATTATCTTTGCCGAACACCTGTTCAAATTGAGCAAATAATACTATTAAATGATAGGGAATGAGGTACAAATTACAGTCTCCGAGTTTCCATGAGAAACTGTGAGAAATGTCCTAAGTCAGATGCAGGTTTTATCTGGGTGAAACCGACTCAATTTTGATTGGCAGGTGTCAGCTGTTTGACGTATGTTCTACTGATTTCCTACTCTCCCAAATCTTAGAAGAAAGGAGTATTTCACAGAACGAATGCAGGCAATATTTGAAAGACAAAAATCACTTAAGATATTTTTGAGGGCTGGGAGCTAAAAGCTTACCTTGGTTGTTTTTTTTTTCTCTTCTAATTATGAAATAATAAATTCTAGAAAGGGAATTGTACATTGTAGGGTATTTGTGAAATATCGTACTACACAAGAAATAAAAATCACTTCTAAGATCAACACGTAGCAAAAAAATCAGTGTTCACATTTGTGTTTAGAGCTTTGTCTCAGCAGGTGGCTATTTGCTCTCCCTGTTTTAGATAGGTTCATTTCTCCCCGTTTTTCATTCCTGAAAGCCAAAGTAACCATCAGGCTCCCTGTCACTTAAAGAGGAGGAGATTTATTGCATTTAACTGAAAGGGCACTGTTGGAACAGGGACAATGTAGTAAGTTAACTGTAATCAGGGAGGTCCAGACCAGTCTCCTGGCCTCCCAGGTCATTTCTTATCTGTTCCTGTTGCTTGGTCATCAGCAGTTGGGACTCTGTTCACAGAAATGCTGCTGAAGGAAAGGCTCAGCAGGGATCAGCTTTCAGCTGGTTGCATGTCACAGGCTGGGTGACTACTGATTTTTTATGAGACCTGTTTTATGCTATCAGCTTTATTTTTCCACAGGCAGAGGAAAGCATGTCAAGTAATTACTCCTTCAATAACTTATAGGAAAGAGGTAAAGTGCAATAAGCTTTTGGTTGGAACTCAAACACAGCCAAGAAGTACTAGAAGACAAAATTCCACTTCAGCCAAGCGTAGGATATTGGGGTCAACATATGTCTTTGTTCCTTATTTTTGGCTATAAGGAAGTATTTAGTTTTCAGCATAGGAAACAGAGCCATGTCCTGGTTTTCAGGGCTCCAATTCCATGGGCCATGGCCTCTGTGTGTACACGAGGGTCACACTGTCTTAAAAGGTCTTTTTTCTAACACCATGATGATTGTGTGTTTTAAGAGGCCTTTTTAGTTTTTTGTTTGCTCATTTTGTTTTCGAGACACTCTCATGAATACATGTTACATATAAACACATGCATTTTAAACATAATCAGAATATATAATTTGGTGGTAATTATCATTACAGTTTTAGACTACAACATAT
This sequence comes from Homo sapiens, assembly GCF_000001405.40. NCBI lineage: Eukaryota > Metazoa > Chordata > Mammalia > Primates > Hominidae > Homo > Homo sapiens. The sequence continues at coordinate 59,357,553 of NC_000016.10, forward strand.
TTTATATTAACATAAGAAATTCTCCAATATTTCTTAACCAAGAGCTAACTTCAAATGTAATAATGGGAAACTTTCTATTTAATTAAAATACATACTTTCTGGCTAAAGAATAAAGTTTCTTCTTTTTCTTTTTGAAAATAGGTTCTATGATAATATAGATATCATATAATTTCCCCTGTATTCAGTCCATTGTAACTTAACAAAGAGAAACTTTGCCTTTGAATTTGAGGAATGTATTTCCTCCAGAGATAAACTTGTATAATGTTTGCTTAAGAACCCAGGAGTTTAATTTATAATTCCCCATTATATTTGGCAATTGTCAGAGTGGAAGGCAATAGCAGATTTAACAGTAGGGGGAAGGGGTGTGAAAAACTGATGTTATTGGCATTAAACTTTAAAACTTTCTATAGGTGCATGATTTATATTAGAATGTGGCATTGGTGGCATCTTGGGTTTCCCTGAAAGTGCTACCTTTGGGGCAGTGGGATGTACTGTAGGGGAATTAGTTTACTCTACTTTGTTCAAAATGATCATGACCCTGCACATTTTATTTGTTAAGGCACTGATATAGGAGCACAGTTTAAAGTAAGAGTTTTTACTTTACTGTTTTTCTATGTGAATTAAGTAATTAAATTTTAATATGAATTAAAAAGTACAAAATTCCCAGTTTTATAGCTTGGAAAAAATTAATTTCAGCCATATCAAGAAAGAGAATGTTAACAATACTTTAAAATACCCTTCATGATTCCTCCCTGTCACTAACCCTTCTTCCCCAATGATAACTTCTGTCCTAATCTCTAAAACCACAGATTAGCTTTGTCTATTTTTGAATTTGATTTGATATGAATAAAATCAAGTGTTATATTCTCCTTTGTGTCTGCTTTTTTTGTCTCATTATTTTGTTTGTGAGATTCATCCATGTTTCTGTATGTAGCATTAGGTAATTTATTTTAATTGATGTATGGCACATGTAATAAAATGTCATAATTTAGTTATTTGTTCTTTAGTTAATGAATATGTTCGTTACCTGCAAATTTTGCCTATTATGAATAGTTCTGTTTTCTACCAGCACTTTAAAAACACCAATATTTCTGCAGAAATATAAAGCTATTAGTCTTTTTCATTATGAAAAAATTTTACAGGTTTTCTTTATTTTTTGTTTTGATCAGTTTTGCTAAGATGTATTAGTTGTGCTTTTCTGTGTATTTATGCTGCTTGAGGTTGATAATGCTTGATATCTATTGCTTAATATCATTCTTCAGTTCTGGAAAATTTTTGGCTATTATGTATTTTAAATTGCTTCTGCACATTCTCTTTCTTTCCTTTTTAGGTTTTTCATTACACATATATTCGTCCTTTTCATGCCCCTTTACTCTATTTTATTTATATTTCGTCCATTTTCCCCTTTGTAGTTTAAGGATGGTTTTACTGACATCTTTTCCAAATCACTGATCTATTCACCTGTGTCTAATCGGCTGTTAAACCCATTTTACTGAGTTCTGAAATTCAATAATTGCTAGGTCCACATCTATAATTTCCATTTGATTCTTTTATAGATTCCAGTTCTCTGATGGTATTCTTTATCTTGCCTCTTATTTTTGAAGATATTAATAAGCTATTTAAGTCTTTGCTTGACAGTCATAATACCTGGATCACCTGTGAGTCTCTTGCTATGGTTAGTACTTTTTCTTTTAGTCCTTTCTCTTGGGATTTCTATTAATATTTCATTGAATGATGGTTATTGGCCACACGAAATTGAAGAGGCTTTACCTGTTTCTGGGCAAGATTATAATCTCTGTAGAGACTTATCTTTTTATAACTCGTCCTTACTTCCAGGGTTTGGTCTTTTAGGGTTTCCTAACTGAAAGCCTGATGTATTCATAAGTGCCGTTATCCCTTGTTGGGACCCTTCACCAGCTTTTATAGTCTCATCATTATGAAGCTGCTTTGTCATTCTTCTGCCTCTTGGTTTCTCATTTTTGTGAAACTTTTCTTGACCTATGTCCATACAAGTTAGTGCAAAACTCAAGGGAGAAAATTGAGTAGAATTTGGGCTTATCTCAGTTTGTCATCTCTCCAGATCTTAGTCCCTCAAGTTTGGCTGCCTTGATAGCTCTCATGACTTCAAGTCAATATTCAGAGCTTCATCTGCTGCATGCCAGTCCACGATTACTAGAAAGGAAAATTCAAGATTTAAAAAATATATTCGTATTTCATCATCAACTTCTATCTCATAGTACTAAACAGAATTGCAATTTTACCTTTATTTTTGTGGTGCTTTGAATAATATATATCTCCCCCATTAGACAGTAAATTCCAAGAGGAAAAAATCCATGTGTGGTTTTGTGCATCATTGTGTCCCAAGTAACTGGTACAGTGCCTGATGCAGAGTATGGAATCAAATAGTATATGAATGAAAGAATGATTATGGAGTTTTTGAATGTATGGTGTGGATAGAATGAAACAATAATTTCAAGTAGCAAGGCAAAAATAAAACCTTCACCCAAAACAAAGGAGCTAACAAAGTCATCAGGAAACATATTTAGTTGTCTTATGAGATGGAACTTAAAATGATGGCCTCAGACAGTGATGTGAAATGAGAACAATATTTTATTCCAGCCTTTAGGAGAACTTATAGGCAGAGAAGGTGTTATTAAAGACTCTGATAATTTAAATATCTGGGCTTCAGAATATTTTTGAGGACTAAACAAGATATTGCTTTGAAAATTTCCACTGCAGTGCTTAGAGAATATAATAGCTATTCAGCCCCAACACCTATTATATTCTATTGGTTGGGTTGCCACTGGCCATTTCCAAGTAGTGAATACTAACTTTTGAAACTCTGTGTGCTTAAAATTTTCATACTCCATATTTTTACAGGACAAAGTATTGTTGATTATAGACTCTCTTATAATCTCATGTTTGAAAGGGACTTTGGATACCATCACTATAAGATAAAATACACTGGAGGCATATAGACTCCCAGAGGGTTATAGTTAAAAACAAATAAGTGGAAGTTCTATTTTTTTTTTTTTTGAGACAGAGTCTTGCTCCGTCTCCCAGGCTGGAGTGCTGTGGCGTGATCTCGGCTCACTGCAATCTCCAACTCCCTAGTTCAAGCTATTCTCCTGCCTCAGCCTCCTGAGTAGCTGGGATTACAGGCATGCGCCACCACGCATGGCTGATTTTTGTATTTTTTTAGTAGAGATGGAGTTCACTATGTCGGCCAGGATGGTCTCGATCTCCTGACCTTGTGAGCCGCCTGCCTTGGCCTCCCAAAGTGCTGGATTACAGAAGTGAGCCACCATGCCCGGCTGGAAGTCCTATTTTATAACTTTGGCATTGGGATGTTTTAGAGCCAGAGAAAAATTAAATTTGCTAACTTTGTTTAAATGAATCAATAGTGAGTAGAATATTTCATACAAGATGGTCCAAGTTAAAAATAAAAAACACTATTTTTCAAATTCTAGTTATCATTGATCCCTTGCAAATTAAATCAGAGGTTAAAAAATTATCTTAGAATGTCAAACAGCACAGCATTTTGCTAGAGCTGGGCATCAGCACCTTATTTCTTTAATTTTGAAAGGAGAAGATTTATGCATTCATTCAGTGCATTTTGTTGAGTGAACACTAAGTGCCTGGCTCTGTCCTGGGCCTTCAGGATATAGCCAATTTGGTAGAAGACTGTGTTTCACCTGAAGCATCGCCAGGTACTCCGATATGTTGAGTGTATATAGCTGCATGTTGGGAAGGCCCAGAGAACCAGAATGAAAAGCCTGAATTCATTATCTCAATGAAGAGTTCAATAGGATACATTTAATGCCAGGAACTGCAAGTGTGGCATAAACAGATTTTGGTCCTGGACTGCTGCACGGCCTAAGAATTTCTTTGTTTTACAATAAAGCAACTTTTAACGAATATCTCCATAGAATGGTACAAGGCTGGATGGCTGGATTTAAGAGCAGGGGCTAATGTCACAGGGAGCAAATTCTATAGATGCCTGTTCTATGAGGCAGTATAGCTTAACGATAAGGAGTAGACAGACAACCTAATGTTAAATCCTAGTTCAGTAACTTGTTAACTTGATAACCCCCGGCAAGATTCTTAACATCTGCATCTTCATCTGTAAAATGGTAGTAAAATGGTAGTAAAACTAATGATTGTATCTATTTTACAGGGTTGTTATTAAGGGATGATATGGTTTGGCTGTGTCCCCACCCAAATCTCATCTTGAATTATAGCTCCCATAATCCCCGCATGTCATGGGAGGGACCCAGTGGGAGGTAATTGAATCATGGGGGCAGGTTTTTTTTCATGCTGTTCTCATGATTGTGAATAAGTCTCATGAGATCTGATTAAAAAAAAAAAGGCAGTTCCCCTGTACATGCTCTCTTGCCTGCCACCATATAAGACGTGCCTTTGCTCCTTTCTCGCCTTCCGCCATGATTGTGAGGCCTCCTCAGCCATGTGGAACTGTGAGTTCACTAAACCTCTTTTTCTTTGTAAATTACCCAGTCTCAGGTATGTCTTTATTAGCAGTGTGAGAACAGACTAATACAAGGGATGAATGAAATAATGCGATAATATTAATCCTTTAAGAAATGGAAGCTGTTGTTTCTTCTTAGATGCGACTTTGGACCTGATTTATTGGGAATGAAAAACGTAAATAAAAGAAGATGTGCTGAATGACAACCTTGCCCTCCCCAACCCTACAAAAAAAGCACATTGACAAAGCAACACCATTTTCTGTTTTTAGAACTGCCACCTTTTTCCTGCACTTTTATTCAGAAGAGGTGTTATTGTTGGAACATCCTTGCCAAAATGTTAGTGGTCCTTGACAAGCACCATTAGGGGAAACTCCAGCAAACACAGTGTGCTCAGCAGGGGTCCACAGTAACTCCTCAGGTTGCATTGTTTTTCAACACATGTCCCAGAGCCAAACAATCTGTGCAGCAGGTTAGTCCTACCTACCTGTCATCTACATAAGTGACATAAGATATATGCAATAATTACCAGGGGGAAAATATGGATACGTAACAGGCTACATGAAATTGTTATTTCCAATTATAAGTTCCTTGTAAGATGGTTAGAGCACCTGATAGCAAGAGGATACTAAGAAAATGTAATCGGTCTTTTCCCTTGGGTCTGAAATATTCTCTTTTGCTCACCTACTGCCATGTCAATTTCTCTGTGACCAAACAGAAAAATATAACCCAATTTCACAAAGACAAAAACAATTAATAGTGAACTTTATTTTTCCCTGAGTGTAAACTTTTATACACACAAAAAACTTAGCCTTGTAAAGGAACTATTATAAGGCATCTGCCTACTTGATCTATATATTCTGTTCATATAATGAGAGAAGATTCCAGTTGACTTCATGATGGAGTTCCTACCATGTGCAGGGAATAGTTATATCAGGTCTGGAATACAGAAACTAATAAGAGAAAGTTTTTTTTCCTCAAAGAGCTAAAAGAGTAGTGTCGGATATATGCACAAATATACGTGAACAACAATGTGAACAAATATGCACAAATATGTGTGAACAAGGGATGGGGTAGCGAGTCCATGAAGAGGAGAGGAATGAGAGGTCATTTACTATTACGACCAGATTTGGAATATCTCATATTCACAGATATTAAAATCAATGAGAGGGCAGCCAAGATGGCCGAATAGGAACAGCTCTGGTCTACAGCTCCCAGCGTGAGCGACGCAGAAGACGGGTGATTTCTGCATTTCCATCTGAGGTACCGGGTTCATCTCCCTAGGGAGTGCCAGACAGTGGGCGCAGGACAGTGGGTGTAGTGCACCGTGCGCGAGCCAAAGCAGGGCAAGGCATTGCCTCACTCGGGAAGTGCAAGGGTTCAGGGAGTTCCCTTTCCTAGTCAAAGAAAGGGGTGACAGACAGCACCTGGAAAATCGGGTCACTCCCACCCTAATACTGCGCTTTTCCAACGGGCTTAAAAAACGGCACACCAGGAGATTATATCCCGCACCTGGCTCGGAGGGTCCTACGCCCATGGAGTCTTGCTGATTGCTAGCACAGTAGTCTGAGATCAAACTGCAAGGTGGCAGCGAGGCTGGGGGAGGGGCGCCCCCCATTGCCCAGGCTTGCTTAGGTAAACAAAGCAGCCGGGAAGTTCGAACTGGGTGGAGCCCACCACAGCTCAAGGAGGCCTGCCTGCCTCTGTAGGCTCCACCTCTGGGGGCAGGGCACAGACAAACAAAAAGACAGCAATAACCTCTGCAGACTTAAATGTCCCTGTCTGACAGCTTTGAAGAGAGCAGTGGTTCTCCCAGCACGCAGCTGGAAATCTGAGAATGGGCAGACTGCCTCCTCAAGTGGGTCCCTGACCCCTGACCCCCAAGCAGCCTAACTGGGAGGCAACCCTCAGCAGGGGCAGACTGACACCTCACACAGCTGGGTACTACTCTGAGACAAAACTTCCAGAGGAACGATCAGACAGCAGCATTCACAGTTCACGAAAATCCGCTGTTCTGCAGCCACCGCTGCGGATACCCAGGCAAACAGAGTCTGGAGTGGACCTCTAGCAAACTCCAACAGACCTGCAGCTGAGGGTCCTGTCTGTTAGAAGGAAAACTAACAAACAGAAAGGACATCCACACCAAAAACCCATCTGTACATCACCATCATCAAATACCAAAAGTAGATAAAACCACAAAGATGGGAAAAAAACAGAGCAGAAAAACTGGAAACTCTAAAAAGCAGAGCCCCTCTCCTCCTCCAAAGGAATGCAGTTCCTCACCAGCAACGGAACAAAGCTGGACAGAGAATGACTTTGACGAGTTGAGAGAAGAAGGCTTCAGAGGATCAAACTACTCCGAGCTACAGGAGGAAATTCAAACCAAAGGCAAAGAAGTTAAAAACTTTGAAAAAAATTTAGATGAATGTATAACTAGAATAACCAATACAGAGAAGTGCTTAAAGGAGCTGATGGAGCTGAAAGCCAAGGCTCGAGAACTACGTGAAGAATGCAGAAGCCTCAGGAGCCGATATGATCAACTGGAAGAAAGGGTATCAGCAATGGAAGATGAAATGAATGAAATGAAGCGAGAAGGGAAGTTTAGAGAAAAAAGAATAAAAAGAAACGAACAAAGCCTCCAAGAAATATGGGACTATGTGAAAAGACCAAATCTACGTCTGATTGGTGTACCTGAAAGTGACAGGGAGAATGGAACCAAGTTGGAAAACACTCTGCAAGATACTATCCAGGAGAACTTCCCCAATCTAGCAAGGCAGGCCAACATTCAGATTCAGGAAATACAGAGAATGCCACAAAGATACTCCTCGAGAAGAGCAACTCCAAGACACATAATTGTCAGATTCACCAAAGTTGAAATGAAGGAAAAAATGTTAAGGGCAGCCAGAGAGAAAGGTCAGCTTACCCACAAAGGGAAGCCCATCAGACTAACAGCGGATCTCTCGGCAGAAACTCTACAAGCCAGAGGAGAGTGGGGGCCAATATTCAACATTCTTAAAGAAAAGAATTTTCAACCTAGAATTTCATATCCAGCCAAACTAAGCTTCATAAGTGAAGGAGAAATAAAATACTTTACAGACAAGCAAATGCTGAGAGATTTTGTCACCACCAGGCCTGCCCTAAAAGAGCTCCTGAAGGAAGCACTAAACGTGGAAAGGAACAACTGGTACCAGCCACTGCAAAATCATGCCAAATTGTAAAGACCATCGAGGCTAGGAAGAAACTGCATCAACTAACGAGCAAAATAACCAGCTAACATCATAATGACAGGATGAAATTCACACATAACAATATTAACTTTAAATGTAAATGGACTAAATGCTCCAATTAAAAGACACAGACTGGCAAATTGGATAAAGAGTCAAGACCCATCAGTGTGCTGTATTCAGGAAACCCATCTCATGTGCAGAGACACACATAGGCTCAAAATAAAGGGATGGAGGAAGATCTACGAAGCAAATGGAAAACAAAAAAAGGCAGGGGTTGCAATCCTAGTCTCTGCTAAAACAGACTTTAAACCAACAAAGATCAAAAGAGACAAAGAAGGCCATTACATAATGGTAAAGGGATCAATTCAACAAGAACAGCTAACTATCCTAAATATATATGCACCCGATACAGGAGCACCCAGATTCATAAAGCAAGCCCTGAGTGACCTACAAAGAGACTTAGACTCCCACACATTAATAATGGGAGACTTTAACACCCCACTGTCAACATTAGACAGATCAACGAGACAGAAAGTTAACAAGGACACCCAGGAATTGAACTCAGCTCTGCACCAAGCGGACCTAATAGACATCTACAGAACTCTCCACCCCAAATCAACAGAATAAAATCTACTAGGAGTATAATAAGAAGTAGTTTGTGTAGGGGTTGATTGGGATCCTTCTTTCATGGCCTTAAGCAAATTTCAGAGACTGAGGGGACAGTTGCCACTAGAGAGTAGGATGAACTTTAATCAGAGAGAAGAAAAATGATGGTCCAGTAGTTGGAACACAAGTGTGGATTCCCTCATCACAACTAATAGGCTGTGGGTAAATGATTGGTCCGCACTGGAGAGGAGTTGAATAAGAACCTCATTTCTGTTAAAATAGAAGACAGAGAAAGCCATTTGTGAAATTTAGAGGTTGAGGAGGATTTAGAATATAAGACTTAGAGTTACAGAAAAAAGAGTTAGGGAAGAAAAGCAGAGTTATAGAAGAAAATAATTTACTGGGAAGGTTACCCTGTTTGATGACTAAGAATTACTGTGATGAAAGGGATCACAGAAAATGATTAACTTTCAACCTCTTAAAGTATTTTGCTGTCAAACTGACTTAGGCTCAGGTTCAAGGTCCTAGGTAGTAATTTTGGTTTGGTCTCAGAGAACTCTGTAACAAAGTTTATAGCAGGCTGATGGGTTTCCTGTCCTTGATGATAGTTATCTTTCAGCATAAAGAGCAACATCAGTGGCCCTGGTTAGGAAATTTTGGAGAGTGACTGATTCTGAACAAGTCTTAAGCTGTTTGGAGCAGCTCCATGAAAACTTCTCAGAGATATTTGAAACAATGCAGTGGCTTTTTCACAAAGAACAGCATACACATGGAAGAAAAAAAGAATTCAGTGAGACTCACCAACATTTTCTGACTCTTGTAATATATAAACACATCTTTGTGAATGGAGAAATAGTGAATTGACATCATTAAGATATTATCAAGTAGATTCGCCAGTATTTTGTCATCAAGTGAAGATACATGGGAAAACACCATATGAAGGGTTGCAGGTCAGCTGTTTCTTTGCTCTCAGATTCATTGCCTTCCTTTCCCTTGCTTTATTTTTTTGCCACAGGTTAGTGCATTTACTTTGCTTCCTGGCCTCCAATTGGGTTTGGGCTGTGGGAGGCACTGGCAGAATACTGGAGAGCAGGAGAAGGGGACAACTGGGATGTCTTTCCTTCCTTTCTGTTTCTGATGTCATCTGCATGAGGGACTGGGTCTCCTCTTTGGTTCTGATATAGGAGTTAAGAAGAACTTACTTAGGCAGATAAGGCACGGGAGTCCTCAGTAAGGTTTTCCTTTTAATAAAAAGCAGCCCCCAAGTAATTTTCTTTTCTAACAAAGAGCAGCTTGTTAAATTGAGCTGCAGACATAGACAAGCAAGCTGGAAACTTGCACAGGCAAATGCCGGCAGTTGTGCCAATAGGAAAAGCCTAACTGGGAACAGGCATGTTAAAAATCATGGCTCTGGCCGGGCACAGTGGCTCATGCTTGTAGTCCCAGCACTTTGGGGGGCCGAAGCCGGCGGATCACTAGGTCAGGAGTTCGAGACCAGCCTGGCCAACATGGTGAAACCTTGTCTCTACTAAAAACACAAAAATTAGCTGGATGTGGTGGCGCATGCCTGTAATCCCAGCTACTCAGGAGGCTGAGGCGGGAGAATGGCTTGAACCCGGGAGGTGGAGCCAAGTTGGCAACAATGCACTCCAGCCTGAGTGACAGAGCGAGACTCTGTCTCAAAAAAAAAGGCAGCTCCATCTTCTCTTTGCCAGCACATGTACAGTAAGGAGCAGATAAGATGGTGCTGGCCAAGTAGAAAGCCTATTTGCATAATAATAAGATTAGGGTAGGTGCACTATGTAAACTCACACCTGATTGAACCAATCTGTGGGCCCTATGTAAATCAGACACCACCTCCTCAAGCCTGCCTATAAAATCTACTGTGATCCCTTGCAGGTGGGCTTTTTCCTTTCCGATGCCTCTCTCTTGCGACAGAGACAGAGAACGGCTGTCCTCTTTCCTTTCTTCAGCCTATTAAGCTTTCCGCTCCTTAACCCATCCACATGTGTCAGCGTCGTTATCTTCTTGGTCCGAGATGACAGACCCCAGGTGTTTACCCCAGACAATGATGCTGCTTCAGTTCCATCTCCCACTGGAAAAACCTTCCCTCTATGGTACCATAGTTTCCCCTTATCCATGGCGAATACGTTCTGACACCCTCAGTGGATATGTGAAACTATGAGTAGTACTGAACCCAATTGCTGTCAATTGAATATATTTCTTCCACTAACACATTTAATGTCTTTTCTATCTTAACTAAGCACTTATCACACACTGTGGCCATAAGTTTTGCATTTTGAGGTGCAACAGCAAAACTAACACAAATTTTTCTTTTCTTCTTCAAAATTTTATGGCTAGAAGTTTCATTCTTAGTGTGAACATTGGAAACCTCAGCATAGATATTTTTTTCCTTTTCTTAAGAACTTTCACCTTTTCACTTAAAGGAAGCACTTTACAACTTCTCTTCCGCATATCCAAATTACCAGCATCGCTACTCTTGCGATTTGGGCCCATTATTATGTAAAACAAAGGTTAATTGAACAAGTGCACTGCTATACCAACAGGCTATCTGATAACCCAGAGGGCTCCCTAAGTGACTAACAGGAAAGTAGCACAGACCACGTGAATAAACGGGCAAACAAAAGGAAGATTCATGAGCTGGGTGGGATGGTAATGAACACCTTGAGATTTCATCACTCTGCTCAAAATGGTGCGCAATTCAAAATTATTAAATGTTTATTCTGGAATTTTTAATTTAATATTTTCAGACTGCAGTTGACCTTGGGTAACTGAAACCACAGAAAGGAAAACCATGAATAAGGGGGGACTAATATACTGATACCTTTGCTATAGTTTTCACTCCCGGGATGTGCTTGGCTTCTAGGTTCTAAATCACCAATTCCTCCTGTCATTGCACAACCCTGGTGTGACCGCACCTTCCTGCTCTTGCTAATCTCTGGGTCACCTCGCCATTATCTTCGGCTCTTTATTTTTTCTAACACCTAAATAACCAATTTCTTTGAATGCAGTTCCTCCGTTTGAAAGACATAGAAAGATTTCTTATTTATTTTCTTTTTTTTTCCTGACATAGCCTCACTGTTCCAGAGGGCAAAGATTCCATTAAAAAAAGATTAAACAAAGATAAAGAATAACAGGAGAAGCAAATTTGAAGTAAAAAACACAAATAAAACAAAACAAGATTATTGGAACAAAATGCCTCGATTGCAATTTTCCATGGTGAGGTATGGGAGCAGGTGAGTGGTGGATGTAGGTTAAAGCCCTTTCCTGAAATGGCTTTGGTGACTTGTGTATTTCCAGATGCATAAGCCTCTTACAATCACCTCCCTTTCTTTAATTAAAAAGAAATTAGACCTTTAAAACCTCGTATAAGTAAAGTTAGTTTAGTTCAAGTGCACACAAGTTTTTACCATGCGTTTGCTAATTTGTTTAGGCCATTTTTTTTTTTTTTTTTTTTTTGGCAGGGACTATAGGCTTTTGGAAACTGGAGGTAACCCTGGTTTTTGAGGCAAACTTCTCTGTATCTGGAAGTCTTTATTTGAGGTTTTTAAATCTCAGCATCTGCTCATAACCTTCAGAAGTGAGCCTTTTTTGATGAGTGCTCTAGGAAAATAAAGACAATTCACAATGCGGTTGAAAATAATGACTTGATGTCAAAGAATACAGGGACAATGACAATTGCCTTGGACGCTCAGAACAGCTTTTTACTGCTCCCTAATACCGTCTGGAGTTTCCTGGGTGATTGTCTTCCATTCTGTGCCATTAGCCTTCTGCTTTAAGTAGTGGCAGTGGGTATTTTACAGGAAGAGAGACTCCCTGATGGGAACAAGCAAACACTAGATTTTCATACAGGGACAGAATACTGATGCTGTGATACTTTATAAAACCATTAAGCATCATCCCTGGCTGCTACGACTCAGACTGAATCAGCAGTCCCTGCATCTAACACCAGAAGGTGACAGAAATACCATGGAACGTGTAGATTCTGAACGCAGGCAGTGAAGGTTATTCAACAAGCAAAGTTTAGTTAGTACCTTGGATTCTATAGTCACATGTTTGGAAGTCAAAATTGCTGAAACTCTCTATTAGCCTCTGAAGATCTAATGACTACATATTTTCCCCCCACAATTAATACTTTAGAATAAAAAAAATCAGAAAGGTGGCTAACAAATCTAATCCCTTTTTAGTCCGAATTAATAAGCTTTTACTGTATTAGGAACTTATGATACAAAAATCATTTTATAAGCTACTAAGTTCTAATCTGCTTGAAAGTAGAATCTCTTCCTATCCTTACTCTAGCCTCTTTCTTCTTCTAATGCTCTGCCTGTAACAAATCTCCAGCCGGCAACCTCCTCCTGTTTCAGCTTAGCTGGCCCCCTCCTGACACAGTCATTTTAATTTCCATCTAATAGTTTCCCAAATTTCTTCTCATGCCTCAGCTACATTCTTTACTAGTGCTTTGGCTGGTTATATTTTCATACAAATTAATACTGTGAGTCTCAATTTTTTTTTTTTTTGAGACAGAGTCTCTCTCTGTCGCCCAGGCTGGAGTGCAGTGGCATGATCTCAGCTCACTACAAGCTCCACCTCCCGGGTTCACACCATTCTCCTGCCTCAGCCTCCCGAGTAGCTAGGACTACAGGGGCCCACCACCACGCTCGGCTAATTTTTTTTTTTATTTTTAGGAGAGATGCGGTTTCACCGTGTTAGCCAGGATGGTCTCAATCTCCTGACTTCGTGATCCGCCCGCCTTGGCGAGTCTCTATTTTTTAAAACAACACTCAAATGACTCATTATCAGGTCATTTGTATATACTTCACAGATTATCTATTTGGGGGTATTTTAAGTGTGTGTTTGCCTAACTGGCCCCCGTGCAGTCTCCCCATAAGTCTTTGGATTAAATGAAAAATCATTCATTTCTGTATCTCCAGTGCCCTATACAATGTCTGACAGGTAGTAAAGGTTCAATCACGATTTTGTTTTGTTTTAAGCAAATATTTGTTGAGTAAATAGACGATGGATGGGCAGAGGAAAGACTTGGCTTTTAATAAAAGAGGATTGTTGGGAAATTTAATGATTCAGGAAAGGACCGTCTATCTTTCACAATGCCACCAGTGATTTTTCTAAGGCAGTTTCACAGTCTTTTATCCAAACTTCTTTGGAGTAGTTGTAATTTAGGCTTCAGAACTTAGAAGATGGGGGCAGTTTTAGAAAGGTAATATGAAACATATATGTGTTATATAGTATGGATCAGCAAGAGTAGGATAATGTCCCAAAATCAAATAAATTAACATTTCTGTATTAAAAGAGATAAACACTAACAATAAATAAAAATTTAAAATAGGCTTATATCAATTCAAGTGCAGCTTTGTAGGCAAACGAGTTTACTGTGAATTTATGGAAAAACAAACAAACAGACAAAAACCATCTGTTTTGAGAGCCTCTTGAATTTTGGAATTGTGGGTAAGAGAGCACCTGAGAGCACACTCGATCATCTAAGAAATTTTCCATTGCTTATTGCAGAAGTTGCAAACTGTTGGCCTGGATCTGAAATCGTGTGCACAGACATGGTTTTCTTTGCCCTATATAAAGAGAGAGTCTTGTGTTTAAATAAATAAGTAAATAAATAGTAGGTAAAGTTGGAAAATTAGAAAATTTCATGTTAAAAAATTATACTTTGAAAATTTCAAGTGTTTAACAATAGATCTTAATCCAATTCCTGAGCAATTTAATTAACTTTGTTAGTATTAGTTTCCTCATCAAAACAATAAGAATGGTAATAGCTTTCATGTAGGTTCTTTTTGAAGATTAATTGAGAAAAGCACACTGAAATTTTAGTGGAGTCTAATTATTCAACAATGGTTACTGTTGTTTCATTATTGTTGTTTAAGTGAAGTCTTTAGTCAGTTTCCCATCTTGTTTTATGTCACAGACTTTACGTAAGTTATAATTTTTGTATGACTCTTGGCTTAAACTGTAGATGTGTTGGAGCATGTGAGAAAAATGCATTTTCTTAAAATGAGGTAATTATGATGATGAAATAAAACAAAAATTAGTAAAGTTTTAAAATACTGAACATAAAGATTAAATGAGAAGTTGGACTTGCTTTTGTGAATGTAACTATTTATTTATTTGTAATACTTTTTGTTTGGAGACAACTGTAGATTCACATGCAATGTAAGAAATAATACAGAGAGATCGTGAGTACCCTTTTACCCAGTTTCCTCCAATAGTCACTTCTTGCAAAACTATAGGACTGTATCTCAACCTGGATACTGATTTGATGCAGTCTGGATGCAGAACAATTTATCATTTTGAGCTTTCACATAGCCAAGCCTACTTCTCTACCATCTAACCTCCTCTTGAGTCACTGGAAACCACTACACTGTCTTCATTTCTATAATTTTGTGATTTCAAAAATGTTATATAAATGGAATCATACAGTATACAACCTTTTGGGAATGGCTTTTTTTCGCTGAGCATAATTCTCTGGAGAGTCACCCAGTTTGTTGCACATATCAGTAGTTTGTTCCCACTTACTGTTCAGTAATGTTCCTTGGTCTTGGGCGTACTGCAGTTTGTTTAACCTCTCACCCATTGAAGGACATAATGTTTCCAGAGCTTGGCCATTAAAAATAAAGTTCTGATGAACATCTGTCAACAGGTTTTTGTGGAACCTGTCTTAATTTCTCTGGGATAAATGTCCAGGATTGCAAATGCTGGCTTGTATTGTAGTTGTGTGGTTACATGTTAAGAAACCACCAAACTGTTTCCAGAGTGGCTGTACCATTTTACATTCCCACCAGCAATGAATGATGATCCAGGTTCTTCACATCCTTGCCAGTATTTGGCATTGTCACTATGTTTTGCTTTGGCCATTCTGATAGTTGTTTAGTGATACTGAACTGTTGCTTTAGTTTGCAAGTTCCCTGATGGCTTATGGTGTTGACCATCTTCGCCTGTGTGTATTTGCCATCACTTTATTATTTAATCACCACCACCAAAACCACCATTGCCATTAGTTCATCATTTCATTAGTGAAATGTCTCTTCAAGAGTTTTATCCATTTTCTTATTGGACTGTGTTGTTTTGCCTATTGCATTTTGGGAACTCTTTATATACTCTAGATACCAGACCTTTGATGGATTGTGTGGTTTGTGAATATTTCTCCCACTCTCCAACTTGTCTATTCATCTTCTTAACAGGGTCGTCTGTGAAGGAAAAGTTTTAAATTTTGATGAAGCTCAATTTATTGATTTTTTTAAATAGATTGTGCTTTGGATGTCAAGTCTATAAACTATTTGCCTATCCCTAGACGTTAAAGACTTTTCTCCCAGGTTTTTTCTTTTTTCAAAAAGTTGTACAGGTTTACCTTTTACATTTAAGTCCATGACTCATTTTTATTTAATTTTGTGTGAAATGTGAGACTTAGATCAAGATTGATACACTTATTCCTTCCTTCCATCGATCCTCTCTCCCTCCCTCCCTCCCTTCCTTCTTCCCTTCCTCCCTTCTTTCCTTTTTTTTTTTTTTTTTTTGCCCATTGATGTCCAGTTTTTCTAGCACCCATTTGTTGAAAAAAAATCTTTCTTTTATTACATTACTTTTGTACTTTCATAGAAATATCACTTGATCATATTTGTGTGGGTCAATTCTGGGGCTCTCTGTTCTGTTCTATTGACCTGTGGCTCTATCTCTTGGCTTGTATCACATAGTCTTGAATACTGTAGCTAAATATTGTCTTAAAATTGTAGAATGATCTTTCCAAATACACTTTCTTTTTAATAATTATTTAAGCTATTCCAATTCATTTGTCTTTCCATATACATTTTAGAATAATATTTTATTTATCTACAAAATATTTGCTGATATTTTTAATGGGAATTGCATTAAACCTGTATATATATTTGGGGAGAAATAGTACCTTTACAATGCTGAGTCATCCTTTCTTCTTTTATTTAGATCTTCTTTTATTTCTTTCATCAGTATTATATAGTTTTTAGCATACAAGTCCTGTACTTATTTTGTTTGATTTACACCTAAGTATTTTATTTTTTGAGTGATGTAAGTGGTATTGTATTTTTAATTTTGGATATCAAAATGTTCATTGCTAGTTTGTAAAAATACATTTTTTGACATTTACATTATTCATATGACCTTGCTGAGCTTACTTATTAGTTCTAGGAGTTTTTGTAGGTTCCTCATGTTTTCTACAAAGGCCATGATGTCATCTGAAAATAGAAGCAGTTTTATTTCTTCCTTTCAATTTGTATGTATTTTCTTTTCTTTTCTTGTTATACTGATTAGAATTTCTAGACTCTGTTGAAAAAGAGTAGTGAGAGTGTCCATCTCACATTGTTCCTACATGTAGAGGGAAGCACTCAGGTTTTCACTGATAAAAATAATAATAAGTATTGTTTTTTTGATAGGTGCTCTTAATGAGTTGAGGAAGTTTCCTTCATATATTTTAAAGCCTTTATAAATACATGTTTAATTTTGTCCAGTTCTTTTTCTTTATTAAGTGATGTGATCATATGGTAGATTACATTGATAGATTTTAAACCAGCCCTGCATCCCTGGAATTAACCCCGTTTGATCACGATGTACACTTTTTAAAAAAATATATTGCCAAATTCTATTTTGTTAAGGATTTTTGAATTTATATTCATTAAGAATAGGGGTCTGCAGTTTTTTGTTTTGTTTGGTTTGGTACAGCCTTATGCAACATTTACAACAAAAATTTGGGCAGTGTTTCCCCCTTTTCTACTGTCTGGATAAGATTGTGTAGAAATGTTAGTTCTTCTTTAAATGTTTGGTAGAATCCTCCAGTGAACCCATCTAGATCTGGAAATTTCTATTTGGAGAGTTTTAACATTACAAATTTGAGGAAGCAGTCAATTTTATCTAAGTTGTCAAATTCGTGTGTAGAGTTGTTTGTAGTATTTCATTGTGATCTTTTTGATATGTGCAGGACTTATATTCTTGTTTCATTCCTGACATTGGCAATTTATGTCTTCTCTTCTTTTTTCTCTGCTAATCTTGCTAGAGTTTTGTGGATATTATTGATGTTTTCAAAGAGCCAACTCTTCATTTCATTGATTGTGTCTATTGTTTTTCTGTTGTTAATTTAATTGATTTGTGACCTTGTCTTTATTGTTTATTTCCTTCTTCTTGCTTTGGGGTTATTTTGCTTTTAAGGTTCTTGATGTGGGAGCTTGGATTATTGATTTAAGACTTTTCCTGCATCTTTTGACATTTATGGATTTCTAGCTTCTTTAGCTCCAAACCAAGAAGTGCCTTGTTACTGCTGGATGGAGATAAAAGTCCTGGTTCCTTACCTGGCCTCCTTTGATAACCCTGGATGGGGTTGTTGGGGCACCTTTATACCATCTTGCAAGGGTGGAAGTCTTGGCTTCCCTGTTGAAGTTGGAGGACCAGTCCAAACTGAGCCTACTCTGTTGATAACAAAACAGTGAGTTACCTTATAGGTATAACAGAGCCCAAAACTGTGAGTCATGAAGCCCAGGCATGAACAATGAAAAACAAACAAACAAACAACAACAACAAAAAAACACCTTTGACCTCTAACAACACCCAGAACCAACAATTCCCCCCTCAGAACCAAGAAGATTAGGATATGACCAGAAGTTCAATGCTGGAACTCTTTCAGAAGCAAGTGTTCCATTGGCCCGGAAGATTCAGAACTAAAATCTGCCTCAACAAATCTTACTGTAAATGGTCGAATTTAAAGGACTTCAATCAGATTCAGCCAAGCCATCATCCTTAAATCCTTTGCTCTATGATCCTTTGAAACTTGCCCCAGACACCAAATTGAGGAGACAGATTTGAATCTGACCCCTATCTCCTTGTGGGTTGGTTTTGCAATTAAACCTTTCTTTTCTCAAAAGCTAGTACCATAGTTATTGGCTTATGTGTGCATCGGGAAATGAGACCATTTGCTTGATAACAACATTTGCTTGCATGAGTGGGAGTGTGTGGCCACGCCACACTTTCATCAGTGGTGTGACCAAGACAACTTAGTGTTTCCCTCTCCTTGACCAAATTTTAGACAGGCTTTTTTCCTGCCTTTATGCTACTGGCCTCCCTCTCCTTAGAGCATTTACTTTAAAAAACTTGTAATACTTTGCTCTGCCTCTCTGAGATGTACATTTTTTAAAAGCCTTTTGCCAGTTTTACAACCCAGAAATCTTTCTTCAGGACCTGGGGACCATCTCTTTGAAAGGTAAACTTGGAGGGAGATTTTACATGGATCTCCCGATCTCTGGTGGAGGAATGGGAGCAGGAGAACTTCCATAGGCACCAATTAGCAAACACAGATGGCCTAATTCCAGAGAAGAACATTTGCAAATTCAGGAATAATTCAATGTGCTCTACAGGTTCTGTTGATCAACCTCTTCTCAACATATCGCATTATGTTTCTACTTTCTCACCCCAGTGCTTAAAAACCATCATGCTTTTTGTTTAAGTGGAGGTGAGTTTAGTTCTTCCCCCTGTATTAGTCTGTTTTGCATGGCTCTGAAGGAATACCTGAGACTGGATAATTTATAAAGAAAAGAGGTTGTTTTGACTTACCGTTCTGCAGATTGCACAAGAAGCCTGATGCCGGCATCTGCTTCTCATGAGGCCTCAGGAGGCTTTTACTCATGGCAGAAGGTGAAGTGGGAATAGGCATGTCACAAGGTGAGAAAGGGAGCAAGAGAAAAAGGGGCAAGGAAGAGAGGAGGAGGTGCCATGCTCCTTTAAACAACCAGCTTTTGTGTGAACTAACAGAATGAGAATTCACTCATTACTATGAAGAGGATGCCAAGCCATTCAGGAAGGATCTGTCCCACCCTTCCCATGACCCAAACACCAGGCCCTACCTCCAACACTGGGGATCACATTTCAACATGAGATTTGGAGGGGACACACATCCAAACAATATCAGTCCCCTATTGGAATAGTCATGAGTTTGTTTAGCAGAATGTTTACTTTTAACAAGTGTGTGATTGGAGTGGTGTGACTACTGTCTAATGGTTTTTGTCTTGCTCAGATGCCCCTTTCCTGGTCTGCTGGCTGGAGAGAATGGGAACTTTTTCAAGCTTTTTTGTTTGTCTGCACCTTTTGGCATCTCTGGATTTCTGGTTTCTTCAGCCCCAAACCTGGCATATATGAGCCAAAAAGAAAAGCCACGGAACTCACTACTGTGTTGTTCCTCAAGTCTCATGATCTTTAGTCAGTCTGCCTCCTTCTCTCCACTATTCAAAGTCTTCTGTTTGTTTTAAACATATTGTCCAGGGTCAGTCCAGGCTGCTATAACAGAGTATCATAAACTGAGTGGCTTAAACACAGAAATTTATTTTTCACAGTTCTGAAGGCTGGGGAATCTGAGATCAAGGTGTTGGCTGATCAGGTTTTGGGCAAGGGTCTGCTTTTTTGTTTGCAGATGGCTGTCTTCTTGTATCCTCACATGGCAGGGAGCAGAGAAAGAACCAAGTTTTCTCATGTATCCACTTATAAGGGCACTAATCCCATCATGAGCCTACCACACTTATGACCTCATCTGACTTTATTACCTTCTGAAGATTCCGCTTCCTGATACCATCCCAGAGTTTCAACATATGAATTCCGAGGGACACAAATATTCAGTGCATAGCTGTTGTACTTGGAGGAATAGAGGGGAAAACCCCACCTCTCTGCTTCATTATTCCAGAGTGAAATTCCTAACTCTTTATTTTTTTTACATCGCTTTTGTTCTTCAGATAGCTATTTGACCTCTTCAAACTCTTGGAAGTTGTCATTAAGAGAGGAACTTCATTCACATAAGTGATAACGTAAATTTTTTTTATAGTCATTCAAAAATTTGTGGCACTTGACATTACATTTAAGGAATCAAACTGCTTTTTCTTATCTTTCATAGCTAAATGTAATGTTGAAACAAGTTATCATAATGGGAATGGGTTTAGAATTTAATCAAACTTTTTCATGTCAAATATTTCAAAACCCTGATGAAGCCATAATTTGTAGAGTATGTCCCTTTTACTAAAACAGTCATCTGGAAGTTAGCTTGTATGCTGCAAAAACAAACAAACAAAACAAAATAAATGGACAGAAATGAAAGAAATATGAGAAGACAGTTTTTGCCCTGCCTCCTGGAGCTACTCCTCTTCAAAGTCCCTACTTGGCTTGGTGATCTTTTCCCCAACATCAACAGACCACACTTGAGCCCACCTGCCATGTTCTGTGGGTGCCTGGAAAAAAGTCTCCTTCAGCAGTTCATCAGACACAATTTCCAGAAATCCAATAATAATACATTTGCATCTGACTGTTGACATATTTGCCCAGATGATGGAGGAACTCCTTGGCCACCTGCAGCATGCCATGTTGGGTAGTACCAGGTAATGCTCACTGGATCTGTCAGCTTAGTGAGTTGGAGGAAGGAGAACAGTCAGATACCACTCAGCTAAGGCCAGACTCCCAAGAGCCCTAGAAAAGACTACTCATGGAGGAAAGTGACCTGCTAGGAAGCCTGATGACCTCTGGTCATTTCTGCTCCTGTGGAGGCTGAGGTGATCAATATCTCACGGAACACCTGTAACCAATTTGCTGCACATCAGTTGGGAAGCGTTTCCTTAAGTGCAGACAGAGGTTATGGCTTCTTCACCTTACTCTTCTCTCCAGCTGGTACCACAATGCCAGGAGTCTGGTAGTGGTGATCAATAAATGATCATTAAATAAATTTACAAAAAATGGATGTAGTCACCTCTACGTTTTCTATGCCCTGGATAGACAGGTCGTTTTAACCTTTTATTATTTGTAAAAGTCTCCCAATAAAAAGAAGTTGTTACGATGAAAATAGATTTTTTTTTAAAAAAAGATAAATAACCATCTTCCTATTTGTCAAGTTTTAGAACATCCATATCCAGGGAAGAATGGAAACAATATCAACTAAATTGCCAGACCAATATATTTCAGCTTTTAGTAACATAGAAAGCATAGATTCCATCTCAGTACCTAAAATGAGAGGTACTTTGAAATTTCTCTACTGTGCACAGATGTATTCTGCAGTTGTATACATCAAACACTAGGCTGACAGCTCACATCACAGATGTTTCAAAACAAACAAAAGGCAAATGCGATTTGATTATTTGTTTATTTCTGAAAGTTCTAAGAACAATGCACTGACACTTCATTCGGCTAACGGGAGAAAATAAAAGACGCCGCCTATACACCATTTCCCATCTCAAATGGGCACGTTTTCCACTGTGCCTGTTTTCTCTTGTGACTGCTCTACATTTCCTTGAAACACATCCCCAGTCTGTTCTTCTAAAACTGGTATTTCTTAAAAAGCTCAGCTTCAAAAATGTCAGACATAATGAAAAATGAAAATCACAAAAGAGAAAGTTGTTCACAGCCACTCCCCTGGGGTTCCCTCATGTTTCCGGGTCACCATGCTGACTCTCCATGTGTTAGAAATAACATCCGTAGTGTACTTAGCAGGTAACTCTTGTGATCAGGGTCAGAGTGGTTTCCAAATAAACAAAGCCAACCCTTTCCTTGAAGACAATGCACCATCTGTTCAGAAATACTCTACAGCATCTACCAAAGCAGTTCCAAAAGAAGTTCTTATCTCAAAGTATAAGAAAAGGAAAGCTCCTTTGGAAAAATTATAAAAGCATACATCATTTTCATCACCTGGGGCTAGAGCAGATGAAGAATATGGGAGCAGAGACCTTCCCATAAGCAAAAGGAACTTGGGTGAACTACAGTCTGCAGGAGTGAATAAGCACTCAGGCTCTGGTGAATTGAGGACCTGTAAGATCCAATCAAGATAGAGGAGAAACAAATGGCACAGAATCATAGTAGGTTAAAGTCAGAAATCAGCTTTAGAGTTTATAAAATTTACTCCTGTCTTTTAAAGATGAAGCATCTAAAATAGACAAATAACCTGCACCAATTTTAGCCCCTAGATACTTCTATGCTTATATTATTAACATTAATATCACTGATAATCTTAGCTATGGCTTATTAATCATGTGCTATTTGTGCCAATAAATAGCACAAGTATGCTACTTATTAGCTAGGTTACTGTGGCCAGACTATATCATGAATATCTCTCAGATGCAGTTCCTTTATTTGCAAACTGTGTGAAATAATACTCGTTTTCTCCTTGGTGGTGATTGCAGTTAAGTAGAGAATGCAGGTAAAAAGCTTAGCACAGAACCAGGCATTTTGTAAATAATCCACCAATGTTAGTTACAATTATTTAATCAGTTATAATGAACACTCTTTTCATTTCCTACCTGCTGAAAAGGAGGATAATCATATGCCTAACTTCTGAAAGTCCTCAATATCAGGCATTGGCAGCTTTTGTGCAGAGCTATAGATATATCTGACAGTATTGGACTTTGAATCCAATTGGTATAATACTTTAAATATCGAATATAGTGAATATTAGTATAGTATAGTTGATGTCCTATATATTATGCATCTATCAAAATTTTCCTAGCTTTATTGATTGTTATTGCTTCTGCTATAGATTCCTCCATCTTGACATTTGCAACAGACCCTATAGTATCTGTGTTTCTCCTAATTCTCAAAATCATACTGTGCAGTGATTTTATAAAGGGAACTCACACAGAGAAGAAACACCAGGCAATCAAGTCAAATACAAACTTGCACTACTTCCAATAAGTAGCCTCAATGGCCAAATGCCCTTCACAGCTTTTTAGAGGACCATTCTGTTTGCCAGCTTTGTTCCTAACTGTTTCATTTGAGAACATCCATGGCATATGAGTGAGCTGTTGGCATGCCTGAATATGATCCTGAGTGTCAAAGGCTAGGTCCTTCCTAGGGTTTGTCTCAGATGTCGGTTTGGTTTGGAATATCCTGGAGGAAAATGACCACCATTTCCTAACTGAATTATGTGGTGAAATCCAGAAAGTGCACCATTTGGCAATGCTAATTAATGAGTTTTACCTCAGTATGACCTATATAAACAGATGGTGGGCATGCCAGGAGCTGTGATGGCTCAGAGATTTTTATTCTCCACAAAAGCTAACAAGTTAGTTTGCTAGTTTCAGAGATGCTGGTAGAAGATACAGACTTCTGGGCCAGAGGCAGAGGACTTTATTACTCACAGCATAGTAGGCAGCATACACTTCACGGTGACAGTGTTTTCTCTTGCCCCCACATGCCATGGGATGGGGCAGAGGTGGGCCAGCTGAGAAACCTGAGCTTGGGAAAACATCCAGTCTTCTAAGAGCTGATGGTGGGAGGTGCTAACAGACCTGTCCAAACTTTGTCCCAGAGACCTTCTGCTCAGGCATCAAATCCACCATTTGTCTTAGAGGGAGATACTGTCTTTATCTTCCCAGACTGTTTGCTAAAGTGTCTTTGGAAAGATTATTTAGAATTAAAGCTCTCAGTGCCATTGCTTGCAAACTGGGAGAGACACAGAAACCCATGGAGAATTGTCTTTCAGTAGGGACTAATACAGTGTGGTTTTGTGAAAGCGACTCATTTTTGCCTCCATGGACAGGATGAGATGGAGATCTAAGAGCAGTCACTTCCATTTCATGTTTTACATAGAGGATTTCTCTGTAAGCTTTCACTTAGAGAAAGATTTCCACGGTTAAAACCAAACCAATCTAGGAAACAGAAAAAAGCTCAAAAGAAAATAAAACAAACATGCAATATGACATTATTGTGGAGAAAGGCAATGATTAGCTATGGGTTAAGAGGATTGTGTAGTATAGAGTCTCACACTAATGTGTGATGGTGAACATATTGCTTAAGCACTAAGAGACTCAAATTTATTTGTAAAATGGTGCTAATAGCAATGTCTATCACACAAGGTAATTGGAGAGTATGAAAAAGATAATGTATTGGATTCTGACACATGGCCTCCAAAAATAGTGCCTCCTTTCTGTGGGAGACACCGTTGGCTCACTGTTCAGATATTCTGGGATCCCTTTTATCTATTTGATGCATACATCCACCTGCTGCTGTAGGTAATACTGTGAAGGGCTCACCCCCATGTCTTTCTCAGAGAGCTGTTCTTGGGTGATTGGACAGCCTTTCCTGATTGTATCTTGGACTTATGTTATCTTCCTGCCCCTTGACTAATGGTCGATTATGGCAAGGATTCAAAACTCCAGCTCCCTTGCATCAAGGTGGGAAAACCTCTGCAGTGCAGTTTATACCCTAGAGCTCCTAGATCAGGCTGAAGTTAGACTTCACCGCTAAGCACATCTTTGCTTAGTTTCTTCTCATTCTCCATCTTGTACCCCTTCCTTCCTTATGCATCTCTCCTTGAGAGCACTCCCTTAATAAACCACTAATTTATTAATAAATAGAGAACATGAATAACTCTCTCATGTTCTGTTTCCAGGAGAAGTTGCCCTAAGACATTATTCAAGCATTGTGTCCATGTTGACACAAATTCTTCAGTGTTCAGCTCTACTAGAGAAATTTATATTCTGATTTCCTCCATTACTGGAGATGAAAGACATATCCCTTCCTCTGTACTCATTTAAAACAAGAAATATTTCCCCAACCTAAATATATTGAAAGAGAGTAGAATATTGTAGCAGGGCAATCAGGGGGCATATAGTTTTCTTTATTTTGTTGACCCAGATCTGTAATTAGCACTTTAATCTGTAATCAGCACTTTATTTTGTTTTATACACACACAGACACACACACACACACACACACACACACACACAAGTTCTGCTATAAATGTCTATTTTAAAATGTGAATTTGTTCCAACATCATTGATATATTAGGGAACAATTTGAGCAAGATGTGAAATTTGTGTTTGCTTATGTTCAATTTCATCCCTGAGAAACACTAGTTGAATTCAGGAAACTACACTGAGCTGACCTGAGTCTTGCAGGGATAGAAAAAAATGCGTGCACCTAAACACACACACACACACACACACACACACACACACACACACACACACATCCCCTCTTGTCTTAGACTGGGAAATTTATAAGGAACAGATATTTATTTATTTATTTAGAGATAGGATCTCCCTGTGCTGCCCAGGCTGGAGTGCAGTGGCACAATTATGGCTCACTACAGCCTCAATTTCCTGGACTCAAGCAATCCTTTCACCTCAGCCTCCTGAGCAGCTGGGACTGCAGGCGTATGCCACCATGCTAGGCTAATTCTTTTTATTTTTTGTAGAGATGGGGTCCCACTATGTTGCCCAGGCTGGTCTCAAATGCCTGGAATCATGTGATCCTCCCACCTCAGCCTCCCAAAGTTCTGGGATTACAGGCATCCACTGCATACAGGTGAGATTTATTTCCCGCTGGAGGCTGGGAAGTCCAGCATCAAGGGTCGACATTTGGCAAGGGCTTTCTTGCTGCATCATCTCATGGCAGAAGGCAAAACGGCAAGAGAGAAAGTGCAAGCAAGCAAGAGAGCAAGAGGGGACTAAATTTGCTTTTATAACAAGTCCACGCTCATCATAACTAACCCATTCTCTCAATAACTACATTAATTCATTCATGAGGGCAGAGTCCTCATGGTGTAATCACCTCTTGTTAGGCCCCACCTCCCAACACTGTTGCATTGGGGATTAAGTTTCCTACACTTAATCTGCTGGGGGACAGATTCAGACCATTGCACCCCTCAGACAGTAGACCAGTTACCTTGATTTGCTGTACATGTTGTCTTATAATGTTGCCTTTTGCTCTTCTTTTGCATTTATGAGCTTTTTTATATCAAAAAACAAAACAAAACACTCCCTCAATATGCCAAACGTGTTTCAATGTAATGGGTCAAAATTACCAGCAATGGATGCAAAAGTAAAGCTTTATGTATTGAAAGAGAAGAGAGAACATGCGATATCTCCTGAGTAACAGGCTTAAAGGAATCTACATTGCAGACCATCAGAGACAATGCCATGAAAATAAAAGAAAAGTCTGTGGCTTCCAGTGCTGTGAAGTCAATAAGAACATGGCCTGAAGAGATAAAAGAAGTGGAAAGATTGTTAAGCATATGGATTGAAGACTAAAGAGAGAAAAAAATCAGGAACAATCTTTCTCATAATCAAAGAGAAAGTACTATCAATATATGAAGACCTTAAATGAAATCATCTAATCCTACAAAAGCGGCTCTTTTTAGTGTTAGTAGAGGCTGGTTTGAAGGTTTCAAACATTGCTACAATTTCCAAAGCTTTCAGCCGTTTGGTGAAGCCCTGAGTGCAGATGAGAAAGCCACGAAAGGAAATCTTCCTAGTGCTGATACCAGAAGTTAATTGAAGAAGGTATTCACTGGATTGAATTTTCAGTTTTGACAAAATAGGTATCTATTAAAAATGCATTTCCCAAAGGACATATATCTCAAAGGCAGAGAAACATGCCTCAGGATTTAAGTCTGCAAAAGATTTCAGATTTTGATAACCTTCCACTAATTCCAGTAAGTGACTAACTACAATCTAGTTTTCTTTTCTTTTTTAATATTTTTCTTCTATTTATTTTTAATTGATAAATAAAAATTATGTATATTTATCTTGTACAACATGTTGTTTTGAAATATGTATACATTGTGGTTACTGGGGGCTGGGGGGCTGCAGTTTGGGGACAAGGAGAAAGGATGCAAGTTTCAATTAGATAAGAGGAATAAGTTCAAGAGATCTGTTGTACAACATGGTGACTATAGCTAATAACGACATATTATATTCTTGAAAATTGCAAATGGAGTAGACTTTAAGTGTTCTTAACACACATACACACACACACACAAAATGATACGCATGTGAACTACAATTTTCTTTCAACCCCTTCTGCCAATGGTTTATGCACCATTTAACATGTATACATAACCATGCAACCATTTTTAACTGGGTTCCTGTCAGTTTTGTATGCCACTCATGACATCTTTGAGCATTTTGCCCCTAATTCCAGCGCACGATTTTGCATGGCATAGTGACACTGAGGAACATATGTGTAGTAGTATATGTTTGTGTGCCTTCCATGTCGTTCTCTCTGCCTGGAACATGCTTTCCTTCTTATTTTTCTACTTGAGTCCTATTCTTTCTTCAGACTTACCTCTATTTCTCTAGAAAAGTGTAATATCTTTGGCTTATTGTTCATAGAGTAGACTAAGACACAAGGATCTGGAGTGAATATAGTTTATTTGGGAGGTAATTCTGGGAAAAGCCTGGAGAAGGTAGAAGCCAGTCCATGAAGGGAAGGAAGCCCATTTACAAGGAGCATTAGCAAGCAGCTTACTTCTGAGGCCCAAGTCTGCTGGGCCCTTTTGAGAGATGGGGTGGAAATACATTTTAGAGTTGTCTTACCTGGGGACAATAAAACTTGGATGTTCACCCTCCTACTCCCATTTGTCATTGTCTGAGGGTTGCTCCCAAGGATGTTTTTTCCCTGGCACTTCTGGTCTTCTCCATGTGTGGGCTGAGAGAAAGCCCTCAGATGGAAAGTCTCAGGTGTTTGCCGTAGAATGCTATTAGCATATAATGAAATGGTGAATGCCAATAGGATACGGGGTGTGTGTGTGTGTGTGTGTGTGTGTGTGTGTGTGTGTGTGTGTGTAGGGAGCAGACACCAGCACCTGCTACTCCTCTATTGACTTCATTGCCAAGGAAAAATACTGCAGTTATACACTTCTTTGCAGCACTTACCACATTGGTCATTTTACATTTATTTATGATGTGCTGCAGTTAGCTGGCACTGGTTTGCAAAAGCCCATTGTTCTAAGAATTTATTAACATTATGTTGACAGCTTAGAATAGGCCTTGGTGGGAGTATTTAGATCATAGAAATTGGTAAACATCACAAACTGTTTCCTGCCCCCTAGTCTCCCGCCTGCTGCTGGAGAGCCAGCTGTTAACCTTTTGTAAGCACAGCTACTGCGTGAGCCTGGTTTGCCTCACTAGGGCATGAACACCTTCTTCTGCTGGGCCTCTGAGGCCCAGAAGACTTGGGCCTCAGAAGTAAGCTGCTCGCTAATGCTCCCTGTAAATGGGCTTCCTTCCCTCCATGGAATGGCTTCTACCTTCTCCAGGTTTTTCCCAGAATTACCTCCCAAATAAACTATATTCACTCCAGATCCTTTGTAAGCACAGCTACTGCATGAGCCTGGTTTGCCTCACTAGGGCATGAATACCTTCCTTTCCTCTTAGCCACACAGTAGCCTGGATTCCTCCTATGGCTGAACCGGCTGCCTGACTGGATGAGGCAACTGAGAATGCTTGCCTGAATTGTGAAGAATGTCTGCCAAAAACCACATTATTAATCTTAGCAGAGTGGATACTGACCTCTTCTTGGCAGTAATTAGGACGCAGGAACTTTTGCAATTTGAGGCCACCATGTCGTCAGTGGTCAGCAGAGAGGAGGATATTTGTCATCTTAATTGCTCTGGGGAGAGGACACTCATCCAGCACATCTTAATGCTGAATATTATTAACTCTAAGATCTCAGAGAAGAAAGAGGGCTATAAATGTTTGAGACAGAACTTACACCTCTAAAGAACATGCTTACTCTTGTTTCTAAAGTGTTATTATACAGACTTTGCTAAACCAAATAAAATCACAGAGATGGAACTTTATAACCGATTAAGTTCCTTATGATTCTAAATATCTGTGATATACTGCCAATAGCTTCCACTATCTTTTAAAAGTGTAATGTTAAGATATATTACTTAGGCTGAAACTTCAGCAACAGTAATGAAAATCCCCAAAATAATAAGCTATATGTCAGTGAATACTTCAGGAAAATAAAATAACCTCCAAAGAAAAGGATCTGAGGTATATGACTGGCTATAGTTTGATATACCTGCACACTTCCGGAAACAAGTTTCACTGGGTCAAATTGACTCTCCAAGTGTCTGATGCTCATATTCATACTTTATTTATTTTTATTTTTATTTTTTTGAGACGGAGTCTCGCTTTGTTGCCCTGGCTGGAGTGCAGTGACATGATCTCGGCTCACTGCAACCTCCGCCTCCCCAGTTCAAGCGATTCTCCTGTCTCAGCCTCCTAAGTAGCTGGGATTACAGGCACGTAACAACACACCTGGCTAATTCTTTTTGTGTTCTTAGTAGAGATGGGGTTTCATCATGTTGGCCAGGCTGGTCTTGAACTCCTGACCTCGTGATCTGCCCACCTCCGCCTCCCAACGTGCTGGGATTACAGGCTTGAGCCACCGCGCCAGGCTCAGTCATACTTTAGAGATAAAAGGAACTTGCTATAA
The DNA here is from genome assembly GCF_000001405.40 of Homo sapiens. Classification (NCBI taxonomy): domain Eukaryota; kingdom Metazoa; phylum Chordata; class Mammalia; order Primates; family Hominidae; genus Homo; species Homo sapiens. Next base: position 59,387,122 of record NC_000016.10, read on the forward strand.
AACAGGTAGGTTTCTAACTCCAGTGACCAGCCAAGAGGCAATTAGTTTTGACATGGAAGATATTCCTAGTGTGCAGTCTTTTGTGATATTGAGAGAAATCTGGAGCAATCAGACTCATAGAAGAGAGTACAGATATTTACATTTTGGGGTTTGTGAGCTTGTCTATGTGTGTGCATGCAAGGATGGAGGATGGGACTATATATAAGTAGCATTTACATTTTTTTCTGTTATTTAAAATGAAATCCTTGCTTTGACTCTAAACATAAACAGCAACTTTACATCAATCCTAGAAATCCCTGAAAAACGTCTCTACTTGGAATATTGCAGACATGTAGGTATTAGGTATTTGGTTTCAACCATGCAAATCTCACATCTGGGTAATAGAAAATGTTTATCTATTCAAGTATCCTTATCTGATTCAAATAACTGCTGGTGGTCCTCATGTCTGCAATTCAATGGACCAAGAACTCCCAACTGTTTCTTTTATGTAAATGATCAAAGCTGCACTAGGATAGCCACAATTAGGTTGAACAGAATAAGACATTCCTATTTCTTCCTTGAAATCAAGATCAGAATAGAAAACAATCCATGCATGTTTACTTTTAATTTCTTTTTAATCAGCTTCATTTTAATCAGAAAATTATATCTAGAAAAAACTCATTGAATGGTATCTAGAAGAAATGACATGAACACTTAATATTGTGTTGACGTATCTTTTAATGTAACATTTCAGCATGAATTTATGCTAGACCAGTGAAATATTTTTAAGAAGATGAGATTTAAAGTGCAAAGAAATAAGGAACTTTCTAATCTACATCTTGCAAAGAATTAGCCTCAGGACTTATATTTCTATAAACTTTCAACACTTTAAAGCCTCATTTTCCTATACAAATAATGTACAGCAAATACAAATACAAAGAATTTAAAAATTTTCATAATATAAAACATTTTTCAGGCATGATATCAAGTTACTTTTAACCAACCCTTTTCAATGTATACAGCCTGTGTTGGTTTCACTTGTTTCTCCAGGAACCCATTCATCTAACAATCATTGGTCACCTAGTGTGTATCAGCCCATGCTAACTAAACATCTGTAAATGAAAAGAGTCCAACTCTGTAGAATATTTGAAGAAATTTATTCTGAGCCAGATATGAGTGTCCGTGGACCATGACACACTGCTCAGGAGACCCTGAGAACATGTGCCCAATATGGTTGGAGTGAAGCTTGGTTTTATACCTTTTAGGGAGACAAGAGGCGTCAATCAAATACATTTAAGATGTACCTTGGTTGGGTTCAGAAAGGTGGGACACCTCAAAAAGATGGTGGTGGGGGGCTTCCACGTTATAGGTAGATTTAAAAGTTTCCTGATTGGCAATTGATTGAAAGGGTTATTATCAATAGAAAGGAATGCCTGGTTTAGGATGAGAGGTTGTGGAGACCGAGGTTTTGTCATGGAGTTGAAGCCTCGGGGTAGCAGGCTTCAGAGAGAATAGATGTAAATGTTTCTTGTCAGACTTAAGGTCTGTGTTGATGTTAAATGCTGGTTGGATTTTCCTGAATTTCAAAATGGAGGAGGGCATCATGAGGCTTGTCCAACCCCCTCTTCCCATCATGGTCTGAACAAGTCTTGAAGGTTAAATTTAAAGTGCCCTGGCCAAGGAGGAGGTCCATTCAAATGGTCACAGGGAGCCTTCGAATTTTATTTTTGGTTTACACGTCATTCAAACTTCTCAGAGGATTTACAAGAGATTTCCAACACAAGTCAGCTTCTTTTTGCTTTGAATTCATCATCTGCGCTATGCATATTAAATTTCATAATTTTAAATTGTAACATAATACACTCAAAAGTATGCATTAAAACATTGCATTATAGTGGCAAAATCATGGACAGTAGAATCAGATCATCTGGGTTTAAATTCTAGCTCTGTCTCTTACTATCGCTATAACATGTGTTTCAGTTTTCTTTTTGTTACTGGTAGAAGAGATCCAAGTTACTGGTGGCAAATCCATACAAGTTTGCAGCAATCCCAATTCTCACCTCCTCAGAAGAAAGAATTCGACTGAGGGGCATAAGGCAGAAAAAGAGACTGAGGCAAGTTTCAGAGCAGGAGTGGAAGTTTATTAAAAAGCTTTAGAGCAGGAAATAATGGAAAGTGCACTTGGAAGAGATCCAAGTGGGTGATTTGAAGAACAAGTACAGTGTTTATCCTTGATCCTGGGACTATATAGGCTGGCCCACCTCTGGTGTCTTGTGCCCCTTATCCCATGACTCTTCCTTTAGGGTGGGCTGCCCACATGCACTGTGCCCTCCTTACCCTTGGGAAGTGAGCATGCCCAGTGTGTTTAGGAGGTTGTACGCATGCCCATCTGAAGCTTTCTTCCCTTTTCTGGTGGTGTGCCCCTGGAAGGTCATACTCCACCATTTTGTGTCTTAATGCGTACACCCAGGATCACTCGCCCAATACCTGAGATTTTATTGGAAACCCTTTTTGCTTCTTCCTAGTGCCTGCATCCAATTAACACTTCAATGCAACAGGTGTGGACCCTCAGGAAATGGCCTCTCCCTGGCACTGGCTGCCAAATTATCATTTTTAGAGGGGCAATGTGATTATTGTCAAACCATCACCTAACATTCCTATTGGGTGGGGGAGAGCCCTCTCCTGCCCTGCTCATGCCTAACTACCTGTAACATTTCCTGTAAAATAAGGATTTTAATAATAAATATTAAATGCAATGACTGTCTGTACTTATACTATTAGAATAGTTCCTAGCATGTGGCAATTATATAATTACTAATAATTTACAAATGTACAATGTTTACGGGGTGCCACACACTGATTTGTGTTACTAACTAGAGAGGACAATTTCTAAAGCAAATAAAAATCTGACATTCTAATAGGGAGACACATCCACCCCTAAATAGCTGTTTCACAAAACATAAACAATATAGCAGGCGAACATGTTCATATGTGGCAGAAGTCAGAGAAAGAAGCAAAATTTAAGCTGAGATCCAAAATACAATTCCTATTTCTATAAGCAAAGAGGAAGGAAGTTTGTTGTAAGCCCAAGAAACATGTTCTAATTCGAAGAGGAATCCAAATACATGACAGAACTGTGTGTTTTACAGAAAATTAAAACACATTTATAATGTTATAATGTATGTTTTGTGTGTAGGTGGTATCTTTATATTTAGAGATGATTGCTTCGGTGATAGAATAAAATATTTTGTAGTGCTGTAGAAAAAACACTGGCTTGAGGATGTAAAGCCTAGATTTTCTTTGCATCAGCTAACTGTGAGACTTGGAAAAATTTCCCAAAGGGCTAAATGCCCTCTAATGTCCTTTTACCTCCCCAGTTCTGCTTTCTCTTTTTAAACACTTTTTGAGTTAAGTTTGCAGTTCAGTGCAAACACTTGACAACTTCTATGCAAAATGAGTTTTCAGATCTGTAAATACAATCTAGTGTGGATGCCAGGGAGAAAGAAAAAATGGATTTTGATGCTTGCTTTGTTAATTCACTAGGGTTTTTATATGACAGGCAATGATGAAGAAAACCACTGTTTAGTTTGAGTATTTATTGATAAATTGATAACAATAACATATATCAATTTTAATAATTGGTTAATGGCTAGTTTTTTCCCCCCAGACTATAGTCTTATTTTAATTCTCATGGTTACTGAATTGGTTCACTAAATTAATAAGATATTTCTTCTACTGTGACCAAGATTTCTCTTATTAGAATCACACCAGGGAGGAAAATGTATGGACCATAAACTCCTCGAGGCCATGCATTGCAGAAGCTTCAGACTCACATTCCTGTGAAGTGGCATTGTTGTCTGGGATAAATACCCAAGGGTCATTGTCTCACGGCCATGGAAAACTAGGACATGGACACGCAAAGAGTGAATTTCAGAGCAGAAGTTTAATAGGTGAAAGAAAGAGAAGAGCTCTCTCTGCCGCACAGAAAGGGGTCCTGGAGAAATGGGTTGCTGCTTCTGTGGTGAAATGCAGAAGGTTTTATAGATGAGCTTGAGGAGTCAGTGTCTGATTTACATAGGGTATGAAAGATTGGTTGGACCCGGTGATCTATTTGCATAAGGTGTGAAAAACTGGTTAGGACTAGGTATGCCATTTTCATGGCAAGAAAAAAAAAAAAAGGCCACCGCACCCTAATCTTTTATTATGCAAATTATTCTCTACCTGTCCCACTGCCATGTTACCTGGTTCAATACTGTACACGTGGTGACAAAGAAAAGGGAAGACGGAGCCTTCATGTTGAACATAACTGGTTTCCAGGTAGCCATTTTCTATTGGCACAGCTGCCGGCATTCACCCGTGCAAGCTTCCAGCTTGCTTTTCTATGTCTGCAGCTCGATTTTTCAGGCTCCTCTTTGTTAGAAAAGAAATGATTTGGGGGCTGCTTTTTGTTAAAAGGGAAATTCTGCCGAGGACTCTTTTACTCTATATGCCTAAATAATTTCCTGTATCACCTATAAACTTAGCAAGCTCTGAGGAGGAATATTCTCTTTCCTAAATGTTCTAGCAAAAGTCCCAGAATTGAATCTTCTTGGCTCTCAGTGGCCTTCCATGTGTCAAGTGTCTATCCTGAATTATCTATGGCAAGAAGACATAAGGCTCTGATTATGTTGGCTTTTTATCATAAGACTGCCCCTGGGGCTGGCAATGAGTCAGTATCCATGAACCATGTGCGCTAAGATCAAGGAAGGGTGGTTCCCAAATCAAATCTGGGTAGAGTGACCCAAGGCAGTGAAAGAAGATGCTGGTTGGCAAAAAGCAACAAACAGCCCTGCAGACAAGGTCGAGCTAGACACCTGGCTCCACGAAGGAACCACCTTCCATCTATGAGTCATAAAATCATGATGGAAGCCATCAATAACTTGACGTTTTCTTTTCACTCAGTTGTCTCATTTTAGAGCTCTCTTTCATGAGGAAGTTGAAGAATTATTATGCCCATTAGTATCTGAAATGATGTAATGGCACTCTATCTGTCAAATTGCTTAAAATTATTTGTATTAAGGGCACAGAATGTGTCCCTAGCCTTTGCTCAAATAACATTTGCCTTCTTATTTAAAGATAATATATCTTCTAAACAGAGGATAAAAGGAGAGTAAAACAAAATCTAGAGGCATATTCTAGGCAGGCCAGAGAAATTAGACACTGTAAAAGTTAGGTTTAGAAATTAATCATTATTGATAGCTCTTTTAGATTAATTCAGCTAAAATGTTTAATATTAGGTTATATCGCTTTTAGTTATTTTTCTTCCTCAAATACTATGTTTAACAAAAAAAGAATTATATCCAGGTCCCAAACACATTCTACTAAAATATAGGCAGAGTCTGAGCTACAACAGGTACTACTCTTATTGAAAAGGATGAAAAAATTCAGTTTACTACATAGTCATATTTTAATTTTTTAAAGTTTTACAGAGCAGATAAATTTTGTCTCTGGAATATATAAGACCTTGATATGTATCCTCTTTCTGCAAATTATGAGCTGTGTGACTTTGGGCAATTCACTTTAATCTCTTTAAGCCTCTGTTTTCTAATGAATAAAATGAGGAAGGAATATAGTGCCTCCCTAAAGGAGTTATTGTAAGGATTAAATGGCATAGGCTATTTAAGGCACGGAGTATGCTATCTTGCTCAATTACCATTATTTTTATTTTTGTGGTAGCTATTATACAGGCATACTATTGTTTATGCAATCATTCTGTTATGGCTAAAAATTTGATTTGTCTTAAAGATTTCTGAATAACCCTGAAATGTGCATTTTTGTATATAAAGTATTCTTGGTAATTTGGCATATTTCTTTAGAATAAAATCCTCAATAGGTGCTCCCAGGTCAAGCACTTGTAGAGTTACAACAATATTCTGAAATTCCATTCTGGTGCTCCTGACCAAGAGTGACTGGGTTTACTTGTGGACTGGAGCTTCTTATTGCATTGCAAATAGCCACAGGAACGTGGCTTGTTTTCTGTGGAGTGACCCACACTCAGTGGTCTATTTTCCTGGTTGCTGGCCTTTAAAAAGGCGAACTAACAAGCTGTTAGATTGCTGCCCTTTGAAAGGGCAAATCCCAGACTGCATTCCCAGACCAGAATTGCTTATTTGTTCTAGCCTGACATTTTTGTTCTGCACATGCTAGAAGGTCTTCAGGTTGGTCCTGGTGTTTGTCCCTGAAAGCTGTAAGGTTTATGGGTAACAGGGAACAAATAAAAACGCGGCATAAAAGCACCTATCTGATAATGTTGCTTTCCCCCCAATTAACTCATTGGTTGTGTCTCTGGATTTGTGGCCATGTTTGTTGTCCTTAAGGAAATAATCTTAAAGAGAGGAAGAGAGAAACATCTCTCTGTTTCTCTCTCTACCTACCTATATATTTATCAATCATCATCATCTATGTAGCTATGATAGATAGAAGGACTTAAAGTAATTTTATAAAGAAACAGAATTTAAAAGAATTAAGAGAGAGATTTTCCATGCACTGAATCGGAATAAGGCAGTATACAAGCTGACCTAGGGTGATCAACTATACCAGTTTACCCAGGACTGGGGGATTTTCTGGGTTAGGACTTTCAGTGCTAAAACTGGGAGAATCTCAGGGAAACTGGTGTGGTTGGTGAACTTAGGGGAGATTTTAAGCCAGAATAAAACCATCTTACTGGTCAATACTCTTAATAAAAGCCCCCTTTGCATAGTGTGTTTTAGACTAAATTTCTGCCCCTTGGTGTGAGAAGAATTATAATTAACACACCTTGCTCCCCCTCTTCAATGCCTGAGACAACCCTGCTTGCATCAGGTTGTGGTAGGGACTGAAACATCTCTGTAAAACACATCTTCCTAAAATTGCTTCAGTCCAGTTTAGTTGGTCTCATGGGTTTTTTTTTCCTTCTTTCTTTTTTTTTTGATGGAGTCTTGCTCTGTCACCCAGGCTGGAGTGCAGTGGCACGGTCTCGGCTCACTACAAGCTCCGCCTCCCGGGTTCATGCCATTCTCCTGCCTTAGCCTCCAGAGTAGCTGGGACTACAGGCGCCCACCACCACGCCCAGCTCATTTTTTGTATTTTTAGTAGAGACGGGGTTTCACTCTGTTAGTCAGGATGGTCTCAATCTCCTGACCTTGTGGTCCGCTCGCCTCAGCCTCCCAAAGTGCTGGGATTACAGGCATTAGCCACCGAGCCTGGCCAGTCACAGCTTGTTTTACTTCCTGTCTTCTGTGGAGTCAGGAAAACTTGACTGGCTAAGATTGTTTAGAGCTTTCCTTCTAAGTCACTCAAGAGGAGGAACAGGATATTTTGCAGGAAACGTCTCATTAAAATGATAGTGGTAGGGACATGGGCATGTGGTCCTTTCATTTTTTATTCTTCTTGTGCTTTACCTTTAACATCAACATTTGTCCCAGATTCACTTCCTGTGATAGCTGTTGTCTTCCAATTACCTGTGAAGAATATAAGCATTTTACTACTTGTGATGGTTAATACTGAGTGTCAACTTGATTGGATTGAAGGATGTGAAGCATTGTTCCTGGGTGTGTCTGTGAGGGTGCTGCCAAAGGAGATTAACATTTGAGTCAGTAGACTGGGAGAGGCAGGCCCACCCTCAGTGTGGGTGGCACCATCTAATCAACTGCCAGTACAGCTAGAATAAAGCAGACAGAAGAAGGTGGGAGAAGCCAACTTGCTGAGTCTTCTAGCCTTCATCTTCCTCCCTTGTTGGATGCTTTCTGCCCTTGAACATCAGAGTCCAAGTTCTTCAGCTTTGGGGGTCTTGGACCTACACCAGTGGTTTGCCAGGGGCTCTCACACCTTTGGCCACAGACTGAAGGCTGCACTGTCAGCTTCCCTACTTTTGAGGTTTTGGGACCCTGACTGACTTCCTTGCTCTTCAGCTTTTGCAGACGACCTATTATGGGACTTCTCCTTGTGATCATGTGTGTCAATACTCTTTAATAAACTCCCCTTCACATATACATCTATCCTATTAGTTCTGTCCCTTTAGAGAACCCTGACTAATACACTCCTCCTCCTCCTCCTAATTATTACTAACATAATTATTATCACTTGTTATCATTATAATCTTTCTTTTCATCATTATAAAGAGCCAACATTTACCAAGCAAATACTGGTGTAGCGACTTTATATATTTCACCAAGAATTTCACCATGAATTCTATGAATTAGGCAAGATTATCCTTGTTTCACACATGGAAAAGCAAAAGCTCAAGAGTTTAGGTGACAATATTTTAGAATGAGGAACATGGAGGTTTGGTACGTTGGGTGAACTCAGGTCCAAATCCTGGCCATTTTCCCTTGGCAAAGATCTTGCAGTCGTGAAGGATGCAATAGTCCTCTGTAAGGAAGATTCCACTCAATGCTCCTGGAAGTGGCACATGAAGCTGTGCTTCTCAAGCTTCTACATACATTAAAATTGCATGGGGACCTTGGGAAAAGGCAGATTCTGATTTAGTAGGTTTGGTGGCAGGCCTGAAATTCCTCATTTCTAACCAGCTCCCAGGTGATGCAGATACTGTGGTTCTGCAGATGACCAGCAAAGGTGGGGGTATGAACGCCTAAAGCCACATTGCCCATGAATTAGTACTGGAGGTGGTCAGACAGATTAGATGGTCCTCTTTGTACATAGATTCTATACATTTCTATTGACCAATGGCAATGTTGCTATATCTAATCAAACTCTTTGAAAACTGCAGCTAGTAAAACCAAAAGCTCCTCTCTTCAGCCAACTGCCAATCTTTGCATCACAATGCAGGGGGCCTTTGCTTGCCTCACAAATTGGATTTCCCTTCAGTGACACTTTCTTGTGAAAAGAAAAAAAAATCTCCTTATAGACAGGCAAAAAGCAAAGACAACAGCAGTTGGCATCCTCCTGAATGCCAGTACTTGGGGTAGAAGAATTCAGCGCTAGCCCAGGGGATGCCAAAGAGTGTTACTGAGCTTTCTCTGTTTCAACCCTTCTCCTAATTGATTAGTCTAATAATTGATTAACCAGTCCTCTGTCACACTGCACATTGCCTAGGACATCATGAGCATTCAATAACTGAAAGCTTGTTGAATTCATTGTATTCACATACCCCTGAATGGTCTATAGAACTTCCCACTTTTTAAGATGCGTCATAAAACAAAAGCAGTCTTTTTCCAATAAGTTTTGGAAACTGCATAGCATATCCCATTCCTGGAGGTTCACAGTACGCTAGGTGTAAAATTCTCTGGGAAACTCTGTAGTAATAACTCTATTGCACAGATTGCTTTCTTCAACGATCTGGCCAAGATTTAGGGGGCTTGGAGTTTGGATTATATGGAGGAAGTGCGTTGCAGACTCATGAGCCTAGAGTTTGGATTATATGGAGGAAGTGTGTTGCAGTCGATATTCTCTGAATGAATCCCATGAAATTCCTTCAATAGAAGTCAAGAAAGCTCGTATTGAAGAGATCATATTGCAAAATAAGACTTTTATAAGTAATGATCTTTTCATTTAGTGGAAAGAAGACTGCACTGGGAATAAGAGAAGTTGGGTTCTAACTCTAGTTCTGCTCCTTTAAACATGTATGCCTTTGGGTTCTAACTCTAGTTCTGCTCCTTTAAACATGTATGCCTTTGGACAAGCTCCTGTACCTCTCTGAGTTTCCCCACTTTGTCTATAAAAGGAAGGGGCACTGAGAGCTTCCTTTGAGAAGTGGCAGGGATAACACTGGAGTGCCAACACCTTGATTCAATGATTATCATGTTGCTGTGCACATTAAATTAGAGTGTTTCTGTTTTCTGAATCTCAGTTTTGCTTTTTGTCAATAGATTGCATTGAAATTGACTAGATGATTTTGTTGCCTTTCCAGGTATGTTAAACCCAGAATCCTCAGCCTTTGTATCATACAACCTTAGAACTTAGTCCCTATATTAGTCAGAGTTCTCTAGAAAGACAGAGCCAATAGGAGATCACACACACAGACACACACACACACACACCGGGAGAGAGAGAGAGAGGAGAGGAGCTTTATTAATGGAATTGGCTCACATGATTATGAAGGCTGAGAAGTCCTATGAAAGGCTATCTGAAGGTGTGAGAACCTGGGAAGCAGCTGGTACAAGTCTTGGAGTCCAAAGGCCAGAGAACCTGGAGTTCTGATGTTGAAGGGCTGGAGAAGAAGAGTGTCTCTGCTCCAGGAGAAAGCAAGCATGCATTCACCTTTCCTCTGCCTTTTTGTTCTATCTTGGCCCCCTCGCCCCCAGCCAATTGAATGATGCCCACCTACATTGTAGGCAGATCTTTCCTATGCAGTCCATCAACTCACCTGCCAATTTCCTCAAGAAACATCCTCCTCACAGACGCAGCCAGAAATAATTTTTTACCTTTTGTCTGGGTATACGTTAATCCAATCAAGTTGACACCTAAGATGAACCATCACAGTCCCCTTTTTTAGTTTGGAGGCACAGGAGAGATATAATTTCAGCTGAGAGCCCTGACCCTGGAAAATAATGTTGTTTTTGAGAAAAAGGGAAATAAGTGACCAATACTTTTCAGGAGATTGTTATTGAATCTAGCATGTTATATTTATGTGGAGATAGAATTCCTTCCAAACTGTATGTATGCTCCAGGAGGATAGGAGATTTTGTTTTGTTCAGTCTAACATTTCAGCACCTAGAACAGTACCCAAATGCAGTTGTTGAATGAATGAATGAATGAATGAATGAATGAGTGAATGAGTGCTCTTGTAGTGGTTGACTAGTTTCTTTGTGCGTCCTTGACCTTTATATGCTAGCAGTTTGTGGTTATGATAATTTGCAGTGATAAAGACTGCTCAAAGGAGTTAGTGTTAATGTCTGGAGGTGTGACAACAACCAACACCATAGCTTCCCAAAGGGGCTACGATCTGTGTGATGATTCTAAACTGGGGATTGTTTTCCCCTGCTTAACACTGTCAGTGTTGAGAGCATGGTAACTTATGGGGGATGACAATGTCTTTTTCACTTTGGTAGGGGTGGCCAAATCACCATGGCGATTACTAAAATTATGACATGGCCTCATGAGGCATGTGAGCAGAGATTTCAAAATTGTCAGTCATGAGTGTTCCCACACATACAGAGTCCACAGTGAAACCAAGGGGTATTGTAAGTACTATGTCATCTATTAGAGTTACTAGAAAGACTAATGTCAAAAAAAGTAAACCACTAGGTTTAAGTGAACTCTTCTTCCCTTTGCTCAATTCATTGTGTTTCACATCTATACCTCTCAAGGGTGGGTAAAATCTTGTTCATGATTTCCCACTGCTTTAGAATCATATTCAAACTTCTTGGAATTGTATTTGAGCTACTTTCCATGTTCTACATGCTCTATTTATCCAATCTTATGATGCTCTCTCTCTTGCTGTTCTGCTTTAGCCCCATGGCTTTCTGACAATTTCTTAAGCATAGAAAATTCTGCCTAGGAATTTCTCTTGCTAGTCCTCATTTTGGAAGATATTCCATGTGCTGTTTTCCTGCCTGGCTCCTTCTCAATCCTCAGGGCCCCATTCAAATGCCAACTTCCTGAAGAAAGCTTCACCAACCAGCCTATCCAAAGGAGGTCCACCCCCTGCAATCATTCTGAACTGCACCTTCCTTGTTTCCTGTAGATCAAAAATTATCCTGATGTTGTTTGAATTATTTGTTCTCTTGTTACTTGCCTGCCACCTGCCCTCTCTTCCACCACTAAAATGTGACTTCCATGAGGGAAAAAACAAAAAATGCTTATGTACACTTTGTTGTGTTCAGGCTTTATGCTAGAGGGTTATGAATGTAATACTTGTTGAATAAAAATAAACCTAAGTAGACAAAAGGAAACTCCGTCTAGCAAATCTTGATGGCTTCGGGTATAGGAAATGACCACGCAGGATATGGTACATAAAGTTCTAAAAAGCTTTGCTCTGGAGCCCTGGTCCTAGTCTTTCCACATGAAATATTTCCTCAACTCAAATTTTGTAGAACTCCTTAAGGCTTTGGGGCTGTGAAGAGCCACACAAGGCTGAATGACTCCTCCTGAAGGAATCAGCTTATGATCTTTCAGGTATCTAACTATTTGATTAATAATAAATTTATGGTTTTCTCAAAATAAAACTTCTATTGTGAGAGTGAAAGAAACAATAAGGAAAGAAAGTCTATTTTTGTTTTATTTGAACTGGCAGCCCTCAAACTGAATTTTTTTCAAGGCATTAGTGCTGTCTTATTTTCAAGAGTGTTTGTAGGTATGTCTGAAATCAAAATGATGCAAATCATATTTTTTATTAATGTAAAGTGTAGAATTATTTATAGCTAAGATTTGAAACACACACACATAGATGTCTGTGTGATTATGTAGCAGCAGTGTGCCCTCCCTAAGATAAAAAACATAATTCTCTAGCACAGGGTTGGCAGATCACTGTCCATGTGTCAAATCCAGCGCAATACCTGTTTTCATGTGACCCATAAGTTTTGACTAGTGTTTACATTTTTTTTTTTTTGAGACTGAGTTTCACTCTTGTTGCCCAAGCTGGAGTGCAATGGTGTGGTCTCGGTTCACTGCAACCTCCGCCTCCCAGGTTCAAGCAATTCTCCTGCCTCAGCATCCAGAGTAGCTGGGATTACAGGCATGCGTCACCACACCCAGCTAATTTTGTATTTTTAGTAGAGACGGGGTTTCACCAAGTTGGTCAGGCTGTTCTCGAACTCCTGACCTCAGGTGATCCGCCTGCCTCAGCCTCTCAAAGTGCTGGGATTACAGGCATCAGCCACCTCGCCCAGCCATTGTTTACATTTTTAAATGTAAAACATAAACTCTAAAAGATACTGTTGGCGTTTCAGCAATAATAGTTGCTCAAAGAGTTGAGGGCATTGTCCATTGGCCCCCACAATATTTACTCTCTGGCACTTTACAGGACAAGTTTGTCAACTCCTGGTTGAAGACATAAACTTGTAGCACAGTGTGCCTGTTGGAAGTCCTGCTGGAAACCCTGTAATAATAGTCTATTGTTACAAAATATTCTTCACTATATAATTTAGGGAAATAGTATGTATACTATTCTATTGCTAAAGTCTCTAAATTATGCCTTTAATTTTCTGATTGCTAAGTAATAAAAACATCAATGATAACATAACAATAAACACTAATAATAATAAAAATATTTACTGAGTACATACTGTGTTCCAGGCACTATTCAATGAGTTTTTAAAAAATCAGCTGTTTCTTTGACATTTTCTTTACTTACTGTATTAGAAAGTGGATGCCACTATTAAGGCTACTCCAATCATTCTGATCAACTTCTAAGTAAAGTAAGGGCTCTGCCTGACACAAGCATTCCTAATATGCTGAAGGAATGTTACAGATGATGAGACAGCTCCAAAGATCCAGATGCCAGGGGTTAGAGAGCAGCAAGAGAAATATGTGTACTAAGGGACACACCTGTGCCATCTCTCACCATGCTATTATTTAGTTTCTTCATCAAGGTTTCTAAGAATGAGTACTTCAGGAACTTCCTTATGAGAATCCTCTACAAGTATAAGTCACCGTGAACTGTATTTCTGCTTTCAAGAGGAACATGAGGACTTGCATTGCTTTGGCGCCTTCTATATTCCCAGATCATGAACTAAGGATGTTCACTCTATAATCTCATTTACTGTTGAGTGCTGTAACATCTCCTACAATTGGTCCTCTTGGGTCCAAGGATATCTAATTACTAGCTTCTTCATAAAGGTCAACAAACTAATACAAACATTACATGGACTTAGTAGGTCACCCTCAAAGTTCTGAGTAGAACACATAGGAAGTGTTTTGTAAACCCTACAGATGAAATTAGAATAGGCTCCTGTTGATAAATTCAGTAAATCCTCATTCTTTGAGCATTTCCTAATAGCATTTTGAGATTATTTTCCCCATCCTGTGAGTCACCTGTCAAGACAAATAGAAATTCACTGCTTTTTCACAATTGAGGAAAGAGATGATGCATGCTATTTTTTTTATTTATTTTTCTGCCTAAGGAATAATGAATCAAACATTGGGTTAGTAATTGAACTTGAATCTTCTTGACCAGTACTCAATTTTCCTCCATGTCCTGAAAAACCTCACCAAACTGAAACATTTTAATATCAACAATAACCCGTCCTCAAAATTTAAAAGGAGATGTCTTTTTAATGCCTACCATGTCTGATAATGTCTTACTAAAAGCTTTGGAATAATTTTTCTTAATCTATACTTTATTTCACTGTTGATGCACATATGCTGGCGAGTATATAATGTGGAGAAAGGAAAAGCATTTTAGAAGCTCTTGGCAAGCCAGCAGGGAGCATGTGGATGCCCCCTAAATGAATCAGGGGAGTACTTCTGTCATGTACAGCATGAAGGTACAGAAGGACTAGTTAGTATGCTTAACATCACTGGTCTTTTCTACTATTGTTTGGTATTAAGAAATATATTAATATTAGGTAGACTTCATAATTGCATATTCCTGCTCCAATTTTGCCACATTGTATATTCCTGCTCCATTTCATTTATTCTACTTTTACATGTTTCATTTTACTACCTCCAAAAGAGAGTTGGTAATATTTTAGTTTCCAGGAATTCTTTACATTTTAATGTTTGAGGACATGTAGAGGATTCCTAGACTACTCTTCTTCCTCACCTTCCTGGTTCCATTTGACCAGTGAAGCCCAAATCCCCCTTTAAAGCCCAGACAAACATTCCCTTGAAGTGAACCTAACCTGAGATTGGGCTTGTTCTTCTTGTCCTGTCCTTGGCAATTTAGAGCTTTTTTTTCTTTTTTCTTTTTTTTTTGTTGAGTTAGAGTCTCGCTCTATTGCCCAGGCTGGAATGTAGTGGTGTGATCTCTGCTCACTGCAACCTCCGCCTCCGCCTCTCGGGTTCAAGGGATTCTCCAGTCTCAGCCTCCTGAGTAGCTGGGACCACAGGCGCCCGCCACCATGCCTGGCTAATTTTTTGTATTTTTAGTACAGACGGGGTTTCACCGTGTTAGCCAGGATGGTCTTGATCTCCTGACCTCGTGATCCACACGCCTCGGCCTCCCAAGGTCCTGGGATTACAGGCATGAGCCACCGCACCTGGCTGAGCTTTTGTTTTATTTTATTTATTTATTTTTTGAGACTGAGTCTCGCTCTGTCACCCAGGCTGGAGTGCAGTGGCATAATCTTGGCTCATTGCAACCTCCACCTCCTGGGTTCAAGTGATTTTCCTGCCTCAGCCTCCCAAGTAGCTGGGATTACAGGTGCGTGCCAACATACTTGGCTAATTTCTGTATTTTTACTAGAAATGAGGTTTCACCATGTTGGCCAGGCTGGTCTTGAACTCCTGACCTCGAGTGATTCGCCCTCTTCAGCCTCCCAAAGGCATGAGCCACGGTGCCCGGCCCACTTTAGAGCTTTTGATATCTTCCTGTACTGAAAACACAAACACATTGCACAATTGGACAATGGCTATTTATTTGTGCCTCTTGTTCTCCCATCATATTGTGAGTTGAGGCTTCTTCATCATTGTACCTTTAAAGCCAAACTCAATGCCTGGAAGAGAAGGCAACTATATAAATATTTGTTAAATGAATAATGAAAAATGAATAAATGAAAAACGATTTCCTTTTTAGATTTATCTCTGGCTACTATTCTATTTATGCAGTGAACTCTGCTAGCCCCAACTGAATAGACATTTCCCAAGTAGGTCAAGTCCTTTCAAACTTTCTTGGTATTCCTCTACATGACTGAATCTTACAGTCTTGTTTTCCTAGGAACTTTCTATTCCAAGCAACTTGCTTGCACATCATGACCTTTCCTGTGAAGTATGTTCAACATGCAAAGACTGAAATGATAACTCCCTCATGTCCTTCTCTCGCACTTTGTTCCTTTCTCTATCCTAGCAAGAACTCCTTTTAGTGGGAATAGGAGTTGTTAGCTTATTCTGCCTCCTCATGACATGGAAACCCTTTGATGGCAGGAATTATGCTTATTTAAAAAGTGCAGAATTGGTGTTATATAGTAGTCTATTTAATGTGGATTCTAGCAAAACTAACCTTTATTGGAATACCATATGCTGGAATACATCTTATTATTTCAATTTTCATTGATTTCTTTAAGGATTTGGGGAACAAATGGTTACAATGAATAGTAATTTTGCAGAATTCTAAGGATCTCACAAATATATCTTGCCTTTTTTTTTTTTTTTTTTTTTTTTTGTGACAGACTCTCTCTTTGTTGCCCAGGCAGGAGTGTAGTGGCACGATCTCTGCTCATGATCTCTGCTCACTGCAACCTCTGTCTCCAGGGTTCAAGCCATTCTCCTGCCTCAGCCTCCTGAGTAGCTGGGATTATAGGCGTCCAACGCCACACCTGACTAATTTTTGCATTTTTTGTAGAGTCGGAGTTTCACCATGCTGGCCAGGCTGCTCTTGAACTTCTGACCCCAAGTGATCCACTCACCTCAACTTCCCAAAGTGCTGGGATTACAGAGGTGAGCCACCACAGCTGGCCATTTCTTGCTTTATCATCTCCTTTTAAACTAACCCTTTTCCCAGGATACATTTAACCTCCTTTTACAAAATGGTGCAAGCGTTTGGTTCACTTGATCTGCCACTTTCATTTGTCTTTGATCACTTGGATTTCTCATTTTTGACAACTGTTTACAAATTCAAATGATAATATTTTTTGATAAGATGATAATTTACTATAAATGAAACATGGAGTTCAGCTAAAAAAAGTTATTTTCCATCAGGTGCAAACTATTTCAAGGAAGTGAACATTGCAATTCATTCTTAGACATCCAGTCAACTATTATTGTGGATAATTGTGCATAAAATGAGGCATTTTAAAGAAATTTGTTGTAGACACTAATTTTTAAATATTATTTAATCCTGTTCTTCTGTCAACTGACCTTACCTTTGTCTCCATCTATCTGTTTACTATGAGTGATAATGTATTAGTAAGATTTTTATTTACTAGGAATTCATTTTGAAGAAATAATATTACAATATGAAATGTGAACCAGGGGACTTTTTGATATCATTCTGCTAAATAAATTGAGGAGAAAAAATTTCAAGGAATAGTGAGGCCAATGCGGAACAGAGGTAGAAATAACATATAAAGAGACAACTAGTTCCCTCAAAGCTATTGTGGCACATCAAGAAAACCCCTTTTTAGCTCAAGCAATTTAAAGTTTAGTTTCTGTTACTGAAAGTAAGATTTCTAACTTAGAAAAAAATTCAAAGTCACATTCTGATATTTGAAGAAAATGAAGAGTTTGTATGAATATGCAGGGCATAATTTAGCTAGAACATTATCTCTCTTTCTTCTATTCTGCCTCATTTCAGGTGGCTGTGTCAGCTCATTATTTATAGAGTAATAACCTCCTACCAATGAAATACTTCAAGTCACTGACACCCACCTCCAGGGTTGTACCTTGAAATTAATCAATTAATCAATCTATAGAATAAGACATAGCTACAATATGCCCTACACAATGAGGAATGATTTTAGGAAGAAGGGATAGAATGACGTTATCAAAATTTGAATGTTGATACTTCATTGAAGTTACTGATGCTTTTTGTAAGAAAAGTAGCATGATGATGGTGTGTAGGTTGTAAATACCTTGCTTAGTGTATCTCTAAAACTCATGAAGTTTTCTGAAGCTAAGCAGATACATACTCATAGTTTCACATTCTGCAGTCCACTCTCCACTGTCTCTGATACGTATCACCATTTTTACAGGATCAAATATTTTGAGGACACATGTGTACTGTGAAGACAGTTTCATACTTTGTTAAATTCTCCATTGTTTCTCAACTCTTGTTTTTTTTGTATTGTATAATAAGTATTAATAACCTGAAGTAGTAGTTTAATATTAATCTTATTGATATTTATTAATTAACTTAGGGATTAATATTCTTATGTGTTCACTTAGTCACGTGTAATTGCACAGAAGCAATTGCTTACCAATAATATGAAACATTTATTGAAAGATTTTTGTATTTCAGGTAGTCTTGCAAGCACTGCTGGTATATTATTTTATGTAATCCTTACAACTCAGAATGAGGTAGGTACTTCTACTATCATCTTCATTTCACAAATTGGAAAAATAAAGCAAAAAGAGTTAAGCAACTTGTCTGAAGTAACATAGTAAGTGTCAGTCAGGATATAAACTAAGATATTATATCTGTAACCCTATACTCAGCACTTCTTATGTTAAAAAGGCCACTGGATTAGGAGGCCTGAGGTCAAGTCATTACCCAACCATACCATGTCATGGTGACTCTTAGCTTAGTTTCTGATCTGATGTGTTCACTAAGACATACCTTGTTGGGGTGTGGTGGTTAATGGCAGCTTTGCTTTTGCAGTCCACAGGAGTTGATCAATATGTTTTTATTGGATGTAAAATCTACATCAAAGGCTCGCAGCTTGAGGTTGCTGGTAAACTAGATCCAAATGTTTTATATATATATATATATATATAAAAGCATATATATATATATAAAAGCATATATATATATATATATGCTTTTTATGGATGGGTTGCCTGAGTTTGTAAAATATTATCTAAAGAATCCACAATACCAAAAAGATATAGATGAGGTGAATATCTAATTTACCTTCTAAATCAGGAGATCTTTGAGAAAGAAAAGAGGCATTATTAATAATTACATTGAGACAACACGTCCAAACCAGCTCCTTCTGAAAATAATATAAATACACATCTCTGAGTTTTAGTTCACTCTTATATACAAATGAAGAGATAAAGTTAAGTTTTCCCTAGGCATCCTTCCAGTTCTAGGATTATATGACTTTTCTCAGTTAAATTTAAATTCAACCAGCTCAATATGCCAGTCAGATCATTTAAGACTGCCTGTCGTTGTCATCTGTCATTTGAGAAGATAAACCACATTTACTGTTACAGTTAGCTAAGATATGATTATGAAAGCAAATGTGCAATGACAACAAAGAAAAAAATCAAAATGCAAATGCAAATATAAATGGATTTCAAGTTATTTTGTTATGTATCATTCAGGATGCCACATTTATCCACCTGCATAGAGAATTATGGAATGACGCACTGGTTTCTTCAAAGTCCTGAACATCAGCATCTTATATCAGAGTAGAAATGTTTAGATATTAACTAAGGTTTAGATTGGCAAGGCTTTTCATCTAACTCTGAGTGTGATATCATAACTCTACACTTGCTCTAAAGCCTTACAATAGCATCAACACACTTGGTGTGTTGTTTGCTAGCTCCAGTGGTCAACTATCTTTAATGACAAAATGGACCAAGTGTCCCAGCATTTTTGGCGCATTATAAGATGGTATTATTAGCATGTTGGACCACTGGCAAGTTTCTATTACTATCTATCTTGATCCAGGACCCATATCTTCTCTAAGTATACCTTAGGACTCTTTCAGAGCTTTGAGTTTATGATAAGCGTAAACACACAGACCAGTGTCTGGAACCAATAAGCTGTTAAAAAAATATTTGTTGGGTTGAAGGAAGAAAAAATTATAAAATTCCCAAAGAAAAGAAAACATAGAGAAGGAATAGCATTAACTACTCTTTTTGCTTGAGGTCGTATGCTATTTATGTCATTAAATATAATAAAATATTATAAGCTAATGGTTTGATTCAGTACATGTCTCCAGAAAGCCATGCTGCCTTCTTAAATTGTAGTAAGATAAACATAATATTAAATCGATCATTTTAACAATTTTAAAGTATACAATTCAATGGCATTAGGTACATTCACAGTGTTGTGCAACCATCACCACTATTTAGTTCCAGAACTTTTTAATTTCCCCAAATGGAAACCCTGCACCCATTAAGCACTCACTCCATATCTTCTCTTCTTGCTAGCTGCTAGCAGTCACAAATCTGTTTTCCATCTCTATCAATTTTTCTACCCTGGATATTTAGTATAAATGAAATAATATGTGGCCTTTTGTGTATGGCTTTTTTCACTTAGCGTAATGTTTTCAAGGTTCATCCATGTTGTAGCATGTATGAGTATTTTTATGACTAAATAATATTCCATTGTATGGATATACTACACTTGTTTACCTATTTATCATTTTATAGATATTTGGGTTGATTCTACCTTTTTGCTACTGCAAATAGTGTTGCTGTGACTATTTGTGTTTAAGTTTTTGTCTGAAGACTGTGTACTATTCTTTTGGGCATATACCCAGGAGTAGAATTGCTGGGTCATATGGTAATTCTGTATAAATTTTTGAGGAAGGAACTCCCATATGTTGCCTTTTTAACTAATTAAAACATGAACTATCTGACACATGCTGCAACCAACCCATCCATATTCATGCTCTTCCTCTCATAGTGTAGGGCTGCTATTAGGAAGCAGTTGCCCAATCGGGGATTGTATTTCGCAGTGCCCTGGCATTTAGGTGAGGCCACGTGACTAATTCTTGTGAGTAGAATCTGAGTAGAAGTACATGTGTAAGGCCAAGACTATGAGAAAATGAGAGTATTTTCTCCATCTCTGTTACCCTTTCTCTAGCTTGATGTAGATGAGTACATTGAAAGTTACATGTGGACAATGATAGAGCAGCCAGGCATGGGGACCTTGGTCCCAAAATTATTTCTGGAGGAATCTGTTCTTGATGAAAAATGCCATTTAAAATTTTTACATGAGTAATAAATACACTTTTAATATCTATGAGCTATGACATATACTGGGGTTTGTTTAATTCAACTGCTAGCTTTATCTTTTTTCTATACTTTAAGTTTTAGGGTACATGTGCACAACGTGCAGGTTAGTTACATATGTATACACGTGCCATGTTGGTGTGCTGCACCCATTAACTCGTCATTTAACATTAGGTATATCCCTAAGGCTATCCCTTCCCCCTCCCCCCACCCCATGACAGGCCCCAGTGTGTGATGTTCCCCTTCCTGTGTCCATGTGTTCTCACTGTTCAACTCCCACCTATGAGTGAGAACATGCGGTGTTTGGTTTTTTGTCCTTGTGATAGTTTGCTGAGAATAATGGTTTCCAGCTTCATCCATGTCCCTACAAAGAACATGAACTCATCATTTTTTTGGCTGCATAGTATTCCATGGTGTATATGTGCCACATTTTCTTAATCCAGTCTATCATTGTTGGACATTTGGGTTGGTTCCAAGTCTTTGCTATTGTGAATAGTGCCATAATAAACATACGTGGGCATGTGTCTTTATAGCAGCATGATTTTTAATCCTTTGGGTATATACCCAGTAATGGGATTGTTGGGTCAAACGGTATTTCTAGTTCTAGATCCCTGAGGGATCACCACACTGACTTCCACAATGGTTGAACTAGTTTACAGTCCCACCAACAGTGTAAAAGTGTTCCTATTTCTCCACATCCTCTCCAGCACCTGTTTTTTCCTGACTTTTTAATGATCATACCAGGAAGAAGTTGAATCTCTGAATAGACCAATAACAGGCTCTGAAATTGAGGCAATAATTAATAGCTTACCAACCAAAAGAAGTCCCGGACCAGATGGATTCACAGCCGAATTCTACCAGAGGTACAAGGAGGAGCTGGTACCATTACTTCTGAAACTATTCCAATGAATACAAAAAGAGGGAATCCTCCCTAACTCATTTTATGAGGCCAGCATCATCCTGATACCAAAGCCTGGCAGAGACACAACAAAAAAAGAGAATTTTAGACCAATATCCCTGATGAACATCGATGCAAAAATCCTCAGTAAAATACTGGCAAACCGAATCCAGCAGCACATCAAAAACTTATCCACCATGATCAAGTGGGCTTCATCCCTGGGATGCAAGGCTGGTTCAACATATGAAAATCAATAAACATAATCCAGCATATAAACAGAACCAATGACAAAAACCATATGATTATCTCAATAGATGCAAAAAAGGCCTTTGACAAAATTCAACAACCCTTCATGCTAAAAACTCTCAATAAATTAGGTATTGATGGGACATATCTCAAAATAATAAGAGCAATCTATGACAAACCCACAGCCAATATCATACTGAATGGGCAAAAACTGGAAGCATTCACTTTGAAAACTGGCACAAGACAGGGATGCCCTCTCTCACCACTCCTATTCAACATAGTGTTGGAAGTTCTGCCCAGGGCAATCAGGCAGGAGAAGGAAATAAAGGGTATTCAACTAGGAAAAGAGGAAGTCAAATTGTCCCTGTTTGCAGATGACATGATTGTATATCTAGAAAACCCCATCGTCTCAGCCCAAAATCTCCTTATGCTGATAGGCAACTTAAGCAAAGTCTCAGGATACAAAATCAATGTGCAAAAATCACAAGCATTCTTATACACCAATAACAGACAAACAGAGAGCCAAATCATGAGTGAACTCCCATTCACAATTGCATCAAAGGGAATAAAATACCTAGGAATCCAACTTACAAGGGACGTGAAGGACCTCTTCAAGGAGAACTACAAACCACTGCTTAATGAAATAAAAGAGGATACAAACAAATGGAAGAACATTCCATGCTCATGGGTAGGAAGAATCAATATCGTGAAAATGGCCTTACTGCCCAAGGTAATTTATAGATTCAATGCCATCCCCACCAAACTACCAATGACTTCCTTCACATAATTGGTAAAACTACTTTAAAGTTCATATGGAACCAAAAAAGAGCCCACATTGCCAAGTCAATCCTAAGCCAAAAGAAGAAAGCTGGAGGCATCACACTACCTGACTTCAAATTATACTACAAGGCTACAGTAACCAAAACAGCATGGTACTGGTACCAAAGTAGAGATATAGACCAATGGAACAGAACAGAGCCCTCAGAAATAATGCCACATATCTACAACCATCTGATCTTTGACAAACCTGAGAAAAACAAGCAATGGGGAAAGGATTCCCTATTTAATAAATGGTGCTGGGAAAACTGGCTAGCCATATGTGGAAAGCTGAAACTGTATCCCTTCCTTACACCTTATACAAAATTTAATTCAAGATGGATTAAAGACTTAAATATTAGACCTAAAACCATAAAAACCCTAGAAGAAAACCTAGGCAATACCATTCAGGACATAGGCATGGGCAAGGACTTCATGTCTAAAACACCAAAAGCAATGGCAACAAGAGACAAAATTGACAAATGGGATCTAATTAAACTAAAGAGCTTCTGCACAGCAAAAGAAACTACCATCAGAGTGAACAGGCAACCTACAAAATGGGAGAAAATTTCTGCAATCTACTCATCTGACAAAGGGCTAATATCCAGAATCTACAAAGAACTCAAACAAATTTACAAG
The DNA here is from genome assembly GCF_000001405.40 of Homo sapiens. NCBI lineage: Eukaryota > Metazoa > Chordata > Mammalia > Primates > Hominidae > Homo > Homo sapiens. The sequence goes on from NC_000016.10 coordinate 59,410,400, forward strand.
AACAAAACAAACAACCCCATCAACAAGTGGACGAAGGATATGAACAGACACTTCTCAAAAGAAGACATTTATGCAGCCAACAGACACATGAAAAAATGCTCATCATCACTGGCCGTCAGAGAAATGCAAATCAAAACCACAATGAGATACCATCTCACACCAGTTAGCTTTATCTTAAATAACACAAACTATAATTTGAAAAAGATAAGGATACAAAGATGATAAGAGTCCTCTCACCTCCTTTCTGCCCTCAGCCTATCCTGCCTGCCTTCAATTGTTAAAGCTTTGCTGAGAAGCTGGAAGAAGAAGGTCAGGAAGCTCATCTAAACAGGGCTTTAAAGGGGTGCACAGGCTTTATTGTCAGACACAACTTGCATGGAAGTGAATTTGAAGCAAGTTATTATATCATGTGTATTAGTACAAAACCTCTTGATCTTTTTTTTCTGAAATTAAAGGCAGTAGGCTATTGCTGGATCTTGGATGGAGATTGATGTGGTTGAGAGGGTTGGGTTGTTGGGAGACAGGTGGACAGAGAGTGCATAGGGGTCACAGTATGGAGGGTTCTGGATACCACATGCAAAGTTAG